>NC_000022.11:48709564-49025639 GCF_000001405.40 Homo sapiens | reverse complement strand
CACACATCCATCCCCCAGGGGAAGGGCTGGCCTGTGTCTTTGTGACGATGTTGCTTATCTTTGCCAAGAGGTCTGTCCTGCTCTGCAGTTCCGGCCTCAGAAAGGCAGGCCCCCTTTTCCTGTGTGGCTCCAACCCCTCACCTGTGCCAAACGTGGGACCCTTGTTTCGTGTGACTCCAGAGTGTCTCCATCAGACGGTGAGGGGACTGCAACCGTGTGTCTGACCATCATTTTCCTCTTGCCCTGTCCTGGGCCTGGGCTCTTGGAGGATGAGAGACACTCAGCACTGAGGTGAAACCAGCTGGCCTCAGGGTTTGGGGGAGACGGGCCCAGACAGGATGCGAAGAGCAGCCTTGCTTACCCCACTGCCCCCATTGGCTGCCCAACCCTCCCCACTCCCGGGCTGCCCCCCAGTTGCCCAGCGGTGCACGTGTTCTGCTGTGGGCTGCTGAGCTCCCAGCTTGTCTGTCACCCACATCACAGCAACAGCAGGGAGGCACCCCACCGGCACTACCTCTGGGGAACCCCTGAGCTCCTCCTTCCTGCTGAGTAGGGCTGAATTCCAGCGAGGTGCAACCCAATGCCTTCCCCTGTGGAAGAGCCAGGGCTCAGCCAGGGAGGGAGCGGTCTCTTGGGGATTGGGGCCTCCCTGAACCCTGCACAGGGTGACTCACCGCCCCGCTTGCCAGGACTAAAGCGTCCCCAGGATGTTGGGAAGGCCGCAGGCACACCTGGATGTGGTGGTCACCTGAGCCCAGGACGCAGGAGCTTCAGCTCCTCTGCTCCATGTGGGTCCCCTTGGGGTCTGGGCTCGTGCTCTGGCGCCGTGGAAAGTTTCCTAAAGTGCCTGGGCCTCAGCCACAGAGTAGGCTCCACACATCCCTGCTCTGCCCCAACCTGGGGCCCCGCCCATAACAGCAGGTTTCTCTCATCCACCAGCTCCGACGCTGCACCACGGGCATGCACCCTGGTGCTCTCCCTGGAAAAGCACCTTGGCCACCGGAAGGAGCCTGCACTGCAGGCAAGAGCCATGGGACCTCAGGGGCTGATCCAACTGGTCGCAAGGGTCTGGCCAGGAGATGCTGGCATGGAGCCCACCCCAGGGCACCCGAGGGCACCGCTTCTGCCCGGGCTCCCCTTTGCTCTTGCCTTGCGGGGAAGGAGAAGTGGAAAGTCCCCTGCCCTGACCACAGAGCAACTGCACACCACGGTGGACGTGGCCAGGGCACCTTCCAGCTGTCCCGGTGCAAAAGCCCCAGCAGGCGCCTCTGACCCACGGTCTGAGCACAGGGCAGAACGCAGGTCCCGCAGGGCGTATGAAAACGTCACGAAACCCGTTACCTGGTTCACATGCATAAAGAGGCAAGATTCGTGGTGGCGTGGTGACGGTGCAGCCACGCTTTCTGCTTCCTGCGAGCTTCCTGAGCCCCACCAGAGCAATGCGCCGGGAGTCTGTTTCAATTGTGCTATTTCAAGTAATTTGAACTCCGATATCACTAACGGGCAGGAACAGACTCCCAAATTTACCTGCATGCATTGAAGCCTGGAGCGTGTGGCCGGCCACAGATGCAGGCCCCACGCAGGTGATCTGTTGGCCAGAAAGATCCACCCGGCTACCTGAGCCCCACGACAGGGCTGCCTGCCGGGACCCACGTGTCTAGGAAGCTGGCTCTGACCAGCACCAGTGGGATTCTTTAACTAGGACTTGAGGAGACAATCAAAGGACATCCAGGTCCACACTCGGAAATGCACTCAGACACTGCTCATCAGTTAAGGCCGGCCCTGCGGGTGGTGACCAGCCGAGATTCACACATGCCAGCTGGGGTGCTGGGTCCAGCCTTGAGCTCATTTGGAATCAGGCAGAGGAGCAACTTCCGGCTCAGACCCGGGATCCAGGATTCCTCTCCCTGGCTGTCGCCCAGGTGGTGCCTGGACTCTCCTTGCTCGTTCCGGTTCCATTTCCACCCCGTGTTTCCCGGCGCCACAGCCCTTCCCACCAGCACATCGCCTCCAGGCTCCTGCAAAAGGATTTGGTGGGATTTTCAGTGAGAACCTGAGCTGAGCTCTGGGAGGCTGCTCACCTGCTGTCCTCTCCTGGGTGCTGCCTCCTGTCCCTTGAGAGGGCTCCACTCGGGTCGGCTGCCTCTGCTTCTGGCACATGGCACATGGCACATGGCAAACCCAGCCCATGGCAGAGGGGGCTGTGGCCACAGGTAGAGCTGGAGGGTGCTCCCCTAACAACTGGGGGCATAAAATCCTTACACAGCAGAGACTCACCAGGAGAGCTGGCAGGCGGCCGGGCCCCTTTCCTTCCAAACCTCTCCCCTCCTGTCTACCCTGTCCTCACACTTCTCCGCAGCACCCGCCCACGGAGCAGGAGAGCTGCACACACCTGGAGACTTCCACAGTGATTCAGAGGCTGCTTCAGCCCTCACAGCCGGCTCTCCTCACCTGCCGTTCCACACTGACGGGTGGGGAGGGTAGGAAACAAGGGCTGCCCGGGCTTGGGGTGCAGTGGGGTCTGTGTGTGAGCCTGTGGAAACAGCAGTCCTCAGGGGCCGCCTCCCCACTCATCAGTAACATTAGAGGGTCCCATCACCTACTGATGAGGAGAGGCTGACCTGCAGGTGGAACCGTGAGAGAAGCACCCAAAGGTGGACACGGCCCAGGAGAGCACTTCTGTCCTCTTCTCTTCCTCTTGGAGAGTCCAACAAGGGCTTGTGGCAGCCACAACTGCAGCCACCCCAGGAACCTTTCACCTGGGACCTAGCTCAGCTCTTCCCTGGCCACCCTGCAGTGGATCTCTTACCAGAACAGAGCCCATGGTGGCCACTCTGCCCGGTGCAGGCTCTGGCCCTCAGGGGCTCCTCTCCTCCCCCTCCTCTTTCTCCACACCAAGGCTGTGGCTGGGGGGAACCAGGCCAAGGCCCTCCCCTGTGTTTCCCTCTATGCCTTGCCCCATCCAGAGGCCACACTCAGGAGGGTTTGCTGGATCTGTTACACAGGAACAGAGAGCGGCAAAGCCAGGGCCTGGCCGAGAGCAGCAGATCCTGGCTCCCTGCAAGGATTCCAGGAGCACCTGCACAGCCTTCCCACTCCAGGCTGGGTCATGTCAACGTGTTTGAACCCTTCTCAGCTGTGCAGCACGAGTGTGGAGTAGGGCAGGGCCTCTGCCACTGCCGTGGGGGTCGGGAGCCGGGGCCTCTTCCTCTGGCCTGAATGTTCTGCCAACCCCATGGTGCCAACCCCAGGTGCCTCTTCCTCTGGCCTGAATGTTCTGCCAACCCTGTGCACGGCACTGCTGGCAGAGACAGAGAATCCCTAGGGGTGAGGTCTTTGGGAGGCCCCTCCTGGCTTCCACTCTCTGCGCTCCCCACAGCCTGGACAGGCTCAGAGCCTGGGAGAACACAGGCTGCCAAGCGAGGTGCCAAGCGGGGCATCTGTTCTCCCGAGTCGTCTGCACGCCCGGCCTTCTTTCTGTTTGCACACACAGAAAAAAGAGGATGTCTCCATTTTGCGCCTCCGGGGAGGTGTCAGTCACTCGGAGGGAGTTGGTGTAGGTCTCTTCAAGCACAGGCCGCAGGAAATATTTGGTTGGTGCCACAGCTTCCACCATGCGGCACTGAGGAAGGACCTCGGAGGCAGGATGCCCTGTGAGTCTTCCTTGCTCACAGCTGCCCTGACGGGGCCCAGCCAACCTCCCCAAGGGGTTGACGATTCTCTAAGGATCCAAGGAACTGGAGCCCCCACTGCATCCACCAACAGGAGGACACACCGAGTCCCAGGCAGGGGCTGTCACCAGGTGGCCAGAGCCAGTAGGACCAAGACGCCGCGTGTACCCCAGGTCTTCTCCCCGGTGCTCTGGCAGTCAGGCCAGCACGCCTGGCGGCACCTGTCCCCTGCTGTGGGAGGTCATACTCCTGGTTGCCCTGGAAACGGGTCCACAGAGCAGAGGGACTCCCTTCCCTGGGTGGAGATTACAGCCAGTGGATTAGTGGGCAAGCCCAGGGCTACCGGCGGAGGCAACTGAGTGATGGAGTTCTCCGGAGACC
Organism: Homo sapiens; assembly: GCF_000001405.40. NCBI lineage: Eukaryota > Metazoa > Chordata > Mammalia > Primates > Hominidae > Homo > Homo sapiens. The sequence goes on along the minus strand of NC_000022.11, from coordinate 49,021,587 downwards.
CCAGGAATTTGAGCCGGTCTCTGCAGATGCGTTTGCTCTGCCGCTGACCGCAGGGCACAGTCCAGAGTAGCAAAACCCCTTTCTCACCAGCGTGACCTGCCTCATCACCTAGCGCTGTGCCCAGTCCCAGTCTCACTTCCCGAAGGGCCAGTGGCAACTCCTGGGGTGGAGGGCTCTTCAGGCCACACCATGCAGACAGCAGAGGCCATGGAGGTCCTCCCAGCAGGAGAAGGGCAACTGGCAGCCACGGGGACAGAGTTTCCATTTCTAGCAGGAGAGGCCCCGCCATTCTCACGTCCAGGCTCCAGCCGATGTTCGTTGTGTGGCTGCCGGGGACCTGCAATGCAGTGACCAGCTTCACAGAGACCTCGCCTCCATGGTGGCCCTGCAGAGGGGGCAGAGAGCAGCGGGCTGTGGGGGGCCCTGTGCTCCATGCTAGCAGTGGCAAGTGGGAAGGAGAAGGTTCCTCACGGCTGCCGCTGTGCACAAGGCATGTGCCTGTTCTGTGCCCCTGGCCAGGCAGAGCAGGGAGGTTGGAGTAGAGAGAGCCTCGCAATGATAAAAATGACAAAACAATGACAAGCATTTAAAGTGATGGCTATGTTAATTAGCTTGATTTAATTATTCCACATTGTATTCATAAATCATAACATCATTTTATAACCCACAAATGCAGATAACTACTATTTGTCAATTTACAGTTTTTTATATATATATATATATATATATTTTTGGGATGGAATCTCGCCGGAGTCTCGCTGCAACCTTCACTTTACGGATTCAAGTGAGTCTTATGCCTCAGCCTCCAAGTAGCTGGGATTACAGGTGCACACCCAGATAATTTTAATTTATTTTATTTTATTTTTAGTGGAGACAGGGTTTTGCTATGTCTACCAGGCTGGTCTTGAACTCCTGACCTCAAGTGATCCACCCACCTCGGCCCCCCAAAGTGCTGGGATTACAGGCGGGAGCCATTGCACCCGGCCAATTTACAGTACCTTTTTAAAGCACCTAGGGTACATGCGTGTTGTAGTGAACAGCGAGCCAGCCATTGCAGTGCAAAGTGCTGAGGGTATGAGACCCGTGCTTGTGCTGTGCAACATTGTAACAAACACTAAACATGGGAAGCAAAAGGAAACATAGGGATCACAATATGCCTGATTCTGGTAGTTTAACTTCATACAGAGGAACTATTTTAAGTGAATTTTAAACAGTAACTTGTGCATGCTCACTCTGAAAAAAGGCCGCTTTCCCTTAACTGCTGGGTGTAAGAATCTCAGTATTGTCTGGGACGTGTCAGGCAGCTCTTGTTTAATGGGTGTGAGCTGCACATCCTGCCTAGAAGGGACATCTGTTGGGTTTTGTTCCATGAACACCTCGAGGCCCAGAACCACATGCAGAGCCTGGTGTCCTCTGTGAAGGGAGGGTGGTCCCAGGGGCATGTGTGTGGGTGAGGAAGAAGGGTGAGGGTGCTGCACCCCCGTTCCTAACCTCAGGGTTTGCTTCCAGGAAGGGGACCTAAGAGGAGGCCACACAATTGGGTAACAATACACAGCTGATGCATTTTAGCCATGAAGAAAAAGAGGACAATTAGTGGAGCCAAAGAGAGGCCCAGCATGGGGCCCGAAAGGCACTGGTACTGGGCCCAGCCCTGTCCCTGCTCCACATCTGTGGCTTGGGGTTCCCGTCTGTCCCCAGGGACCTGCTGTCCGAGGGGGTGGGTGGATGAGGGTCCCGCTTTATGGTCAAGAATGCTTCCTAGGCCGGGCTTTCCTCCTGAACCACAGCATGACAGGAAGGCAGAATGCTTTAGTGATAAGACCCATCAGTGACCTCAATTTCAAAACTTTCTGTAAAGCAGTGGGAGTTAGGGCAACCCAGTAATGGTTTAAACTCAGATAAATAGTTAGCATTATTTTCAAGTTTATAGAATATATAAATATATTAACACTATATATTATTATCTTATTATATATGCATATGCACATTTCATAATGCATATGTAAGGAATATAAATAAAGACATTGGTCAGCGGCTCACCAGATTCTTCTATCTAAAGCACCCTCTTAGGTCTTGTTGGTCACAGCCTGAGTCATTTGCTTTTTCATTAGGGATTGGAAATGCTGACATTCTGGTTCTGCCATCTTTTCTTGATTCCTTAGCTATCATATCCTATGAAGAAGACATTCCCTCCACCAGCCATCTGGGTGCCCTGGTGCGTCCTGCACAGGAAATGCTGATACCTGTGTAATCCTTTCCTCTTACTAGTTTTCTGAAGAATCAGTTGATTCTTTAGTTTTTCTTAAACTGACCTATGTTTTTGGAAGGCCATTATGAACTCCCATTCTTAACATATCTAATGTGCTTTAATTAATTGTAGTTATTCTCTTTGATGCTGAAATTGCCACATCTTTACGTATATGCACATAAATACCAATACATCTCTGTACACATGCAGCCCAAATGGCCATGCAAAGCGTGTTACTATCGACACAGGCACATTTAGTGGCACCTCTCAGCCTCTCCCAGTGCAGCAGACACTGGCTCATTTAATCCTCAAGGCCAAACCATGGAGCAGATTCCAGGATTATCACATAGGGGAAATTGAGGCACCGGGAGTTTCAGCTTGCTCAGGGCAGTGGGCCTTTGGGGTCTGTGCTCTCACCCTGGGTGCTGCTTTTGTGCATAACAGCCTGGGTGTCATCAGGGAAGGGAGCGGCGTGGCTGTGCACGTCCACCACCGAACATCACTCTATGCCTGACACCACCGTGAGGCTCAGGGATAAAGCCAACCCCACTGAGGACGGCTCAGAGTCCATCAGCACAGGGAGGGGGACTCGTTCATGCCCCAACACACACGTCCGCAGGGCAGCCCTGGGCCGGTGTTTTCCCATCCTGATAAAAGTCACTACCTCTAACCCCACTGACAGCCTCCCTCAGAACCCCGCACACAAATCAGCTCCTAAATTGCACCTGTTGCTGCCTCTCAGGCCTCTGGGCCTTGAATGAGAGCTACACCTTGAGCCTGTGGACACCAAGGATTCCGGTCGGTGGTCAGTGTGTCCCTCTGCTGCCCTGCGACCCCCACCCTAGTGCTCCAGAAAGGTGACCCTCGACAGCTCCTCCTTCCACAGACCTCCTCCCCTGATAGATTTTTCAGCAGCTCTGGCTTTTTTACCCACAAAATGCAAAGGATTTTATGCAATTGACAGATTATAAAAATAGGTCTATCAAAGTAATTTTTCTTCTCAAGGGGAAAGACCTTCCCACCATCAACAGGTGCACAGCTGTGCTCACCATGCACGGGACCGGGGTTGTTTATCCTCTTCCAGGACAGAGTGAACGTTCCCTCTCCCCCAAAGCCAGCCTCCAAATCCAGGAACTCAAGTTGTAGTTAGTTGTCCCAAGGCAGCTGGGGGCAGGACCCCAACCAAGGCTATCCAGGGGGTGGAGGGAGGCCTGGGGCATGGGGGTGGGGCATGGGGGTGGGGCATGGTCTCCTTGCAGACACTGACCTCTCCCTGCCCCGACACCCTCCTCTGGTGGGGCTTGGGCCGGCCCAGGGCCTGCACTTCCCATGGGGAGCTAAAGGGCTGTCCCAGAGCACTGCAGCTGGGCACAGCTGAGCACACATTCAGGGTCCAGGCTCAGGGACTCAGAGACCCAAGGGGTCTCCTTCCAGGATGACACTGGGACAATTCTGAGGCCCTTGCGCTTTCTCTCTGAAGATCCTGTAGCTCTGGACAGCACGTCCTCATTAAAAACAAATGCATCCCAGAGCCTGTGGACGTGATGTCGCTGGGAGGAGGGACTGGGTGAGCCGGGGACATCGTGAGACAGAAGTGCTGGGAAGGGAACGGCGCGGTCCCTTCAAATAATATGGAAGGGGGAAGGGCGCGGTCCCTTTGAATAATATGGAAGGGGGAAGGGCGCGGTCCCTTTGAATAATATGGAAGGGGGAAGGGCGCAGTCCCTTTGAATAATATGGAAGGGGGAAGGGCGTGGTCCCTGGCTAGGGCTCCACCCCAGGGCCTGTGCCCAGGGACCTAGATGAGTACACACATTTTTGTTTTCCTGCCGAAATATTGCATTTCCCAAGACCACCCTGGCCTGCTACGCCCCCATCCTGTGCCTATAAAAACCTTGAGACCCTAGCAGGTGGACACACAGGTGGCCAGACATCAAGAGGAACACGACAGGCACCAGGAGGCCACCAACTGGCGGAATGAGGCAGAGTTTGGCCAGGGCTGTCAGAAGAGAGCCCGGGGTGCTGAGCAGCCCGACTCCAGGGGAAAACCTTCCTGCTCCATCCCCTTCTGGCTCCCCCATCTGTTGAGAGCTCCTTCCACTCAATCAAACCTTTCACCCATTCTCCAAGCCTAGGTGTGATCCGATTCTTCCGGTACACCAAGGCAAGAACCGGGGATACAGAAAGCCCTCTGTCCTTGTGACATGGTGGAGGGGTTAACACAAGCCTATAGACGGCAAAACTAACAGAGCACCCTGGAACACACGCGCACTGGGGCTTCAGGAGCTGGAAACATCCACCCCTAGACACGGCAGTGGAGTCAGGAGCCCCATAGCCTGCTCGTCTGTCTGCTCCCCTAGAAGTTTGAGCAGCAGGGCATGAAGAATCGAGCCACTCCCCCATCACACGTCCTGCGAAGGGGACAAGGGGACTTTCCCCATTTCAATAGGGTGACCGTGCTTTGACCCAGAGCCCACAGCAGCACTCTGTTAACCAAGGGCTTTTTCCAGGATATGGGCTCCTATCCTTGCTGCTCCTGCCCTGGAGATGTGGGCCCGAGCCCAGGGTTTCCCCCCGATGTCAGCAGGCAACAGTGGGGGTGTCCGGAAAGAGGCCGAGCAGGGCTGGCATGAAGGGCTTTGGGAGAACCCCTCTTGTGTGAAAATGGGGCCCGGGGAGGTCATTTGCCCAGAGTGCACCTCCAGGCCTTGGTGGAAGCAGGAATGGTCTCACTGAGGCCCGCCCGGCCCTCTTGGCCACAGAAACTTCCTGAAGCAATCCGCCAAGAAAAGTGTGCCAAGGGCGGCTTCGTTTCCTGGATCCTCGGACACATTCTAGATAGAAATCTCTCCCTGTGAACACTGCGCCCGGAGCAAAGTTGCCTTCATGATTAGATAAATTATAAACCATTCCATTTATCGGTTCATCTCTCTAATTAGACTTCCGTGAGACCTTGTATCTGCCACGACACACGGATCCCGCACCTTTAATAAATGGGAAGGGAATGATGCTGCCTTCATCTCCCCCAGCCTGAGATAAAAGAATTACTCGGTTTACTTTGGATTAGAGAAGAGCTTTGACCTTGAGTTGGGAGTCATTGTTTTCTGAGTCAACTTTCAATTGGAAACATTGTCGTCTTTCAAAGAAAACCAGAGCCCTGAAAATGTAGCAAAGCACAAACAATGCCTGGCCCACTGCAGACATGGGCGAACCAGAGGCTGCTTTATTAAAAGAAAATAACTGATTTCAAAATGTTATTGCAGCCGGAGACTGAGGCCAGAGGCAACGTGTTTGCTCATCTCCCGCAGCTGCCTGGGGCTGATCTCCGTAATGCATGCCTTAGCAATAATTAGATCCTTAGTAGGCTAATTATTTTGTGAATAAAATCAAACAAAATCAAGTAATTAAACAACAGAGATGTCTAAGTCCCGTCCTGAATGTTCCTGAAAGTCCAGTTCAAAGAGGGGTTTAAAAATAAATAAGGGTGTGGCAGAATTCGCTGCCCCAGGCCAAAGCTCGAGGCTCCTGGTGGCAGATGGAGACCAAGTGTCGGCCCTGTCACTGAGAGACTTGCTGAGTACATGCGAGGCCCGCACAGGCAACCTGGGAGTGCCGGTCATTTTCCGCTTTGAACCTGAGTCCCAGCTGGCAGAGCAGAGCCCCAGGCCCACCTATCAGCAGCAAAGCCAGGTTGGTGGTGAGGGATGGCCAGGGCCTGGAGACAGATGGTCCCTGTGCTGGGCTGGCACCTTGGCAGTGAACCTAGGGTCCTCGGGGGCCTCTTTGGTGAAGTCTCGCCTCTGTGCAGTGCCCGGGGTAGCTACCGGGTGCTGAGCACACTGCCGGCACTATCCAGGTGGTCTCCCTCTCCCTGCCGGCCTCTGATTTGCTTTTTTGGTTTTTGTTTATTTGTTTGTTTTGTTTTGTTTTGAGAGATGGAGTCTCACTCTGTCACCATGGCTGGAGTGCAATGGCGCGATCTTGGCTCACTGCAACCTCTGCCTCCCAGGTTCAAGCGATTCTCCTGCCTCAGCTTCCCAAGTAGCTGGGACTACAGGCATGCACCACCACACCCAGCTAATTTTTGCATTTTTTAGTACAGACGGGGTTTCACTATATGTCGGCCAGACTGGTCTCGAACTCCTGACCTCAGGTGATCTGCCAGCCTCGGCCTCCCAAAGTGCTGGGATTAAAAGCATGAGCCACTGCGCCCAGCCCAGGCTCTTTGTGTGACCACCTGCTCCCAGGCGAGGCTCCTCAGTGGGTGGACCTGTGTTCACCGAGGCCCCACATTCCTTCACTCCGCAGACTTGGGATGGGCGTTCAGTGCCAGCTCTTTACTTCAGGAGTGGGAAAGTGCATGCCGTGATGGCAGCAGATGGTGGAAACTGGGCCAACAGTCCGTGAGGAGAGGACGGCTGGGGCTGGCCTCAGATGGTGACCCTGGGGCTGGCCTCATATGGTGACCCTGGCACTGGCCCAGGCACCGGAGTTGGCTCTGGAGGTGCCGAAGCAGACAGGGCTCCCTCCTTCTGGCTGCCTGGCCGGGTGTCTTCCAAACACACTCCCTGGGCAGCCCCTGCACCTTCTGTGCTGGGAGCTCTGGGAGGAGCATGGAGGGGTGGGGAGGTGCCAGAGGACAGCCGACCCTCAGAGGGGGCCAGACGGGCCTTCCTGGCAGGCTCAGAAGTCAGGCTCTGTGCTTATCTTGGCTCAACGTGGAGGAGCACCCTGCCCTACGCCTGCTGGGGTCAGCAGCATTGCCTGGGGCCAGACAGAACCTTCTGGAAGTATATTATTGCTTCCAGTGCAAGGGAAACAGGCCGTTTCCCACATAAAAATGTGTTCTACTCTTTCATTCCTTAACTCATGTGTTCAACTTGACTTCCACTCAATGACTGCTGGCCAGGGGCGGCCTCCATAGCTGAGGACCCAAGACAGGCCAATGTGGAATTCCTGGAGTTGCCGTGGAGACCAGGAGTCAGTGAACTTGTTTTACAGCGGGGTAAATGGTAGGGGATAGTAACAGATATTCTGTGAAGGTCAGATCTGTCTATAACCGGGAAAAGATTGGAAATAATTTAGCCGTTAGGGACACGTGGCCTGTTACTCGTCAGCTGCTGCTGTGCTGGGTGCAAAGCCCCAATCATTAAACACATGGGCGTGGGTATGTTCCAACAAAACTGTATTTCTTACGTCTGAAGGAGACTCAGATTTAGCATTAGGGCCACTGCTGGAGGTGATACCTCCCATCAGGGTCCATGTTCATACTCAGCTTTCTCTGTGGCAGACATGGCTCCGGCCTCCTAAGCACAGTCACCGTCTGCTACTAGCACCGCGGGCCTGTCCTTTCTGAGCGCCCTGGGCAGCCTGTGCAGTGGAGCCGATGCTGTCACCTGCACATGGCTGTTCCCTCCTGCAAACCACCCACGGCTCTTCACAGCAGCGATGGAGAAGGGAACCCTCAGGGTGGCTGACAACCTGACATTCCGTGCATCAATTAATAACTTATTATTGGTCAAGGGCGGTGGCTCACACCTTGACCAAGCACTTTGGGAGGCCGAGGCAGATGGATCACTGGGTCAAGAGATGAGACCATCCCGGCCAACATGGTGAAACCCTATCTCTACTAAAAATACAAAAATTAGCTGGGCGTGGTTGTGCGCACCTGTAGTCCCAGCTACTTGGGAGTCTGAGGCAGGGGAATTGCTTGAACCTGGGAGGCGGAGGTTGCAGTGAGCCGAGATTGCACCACTGCACTCCAGCCTGGGCGACAGAGTGAGACTCCATCTCAAAATAATAATAATAATAATAATTTATTTTCATATTCAGAAGTAAGCAAGCAAGGCATCACTTAAACAGAATTGCAAACCAAATGTTCAGTATAGAGCCCACATCTGCTTCTCGGAGACAACGTAGTTAAATGGGTGAGACTTGAGTCCTGGGGAAACAGAGGAGGCAGACTGAAATTCTCTTTGACAGCCATTTCCATGTGGGCCATTTGCTTCACTGAAATTGCAGTTTTCACATCTGTTTTTAAAAAGTTACTTCTCAAGTTTCTGGCATTAGCGAGTCAACGAGTACAAATATTCATTCCAGGCCTCCTGAAATGATAGCGCTCCTCCGTGGGGCCACAGTTCCCAGCAACCAATCCCACCTAGAAAATAGGTCATATGATGTCTGGCACATGGGGCAGGTTCCCAACCCAGCCGGGCAGCATTTTTAAGCATCCTTTTCTCCAAAGAAATCAAGCTTTAAATAATAGCATCATAGGAGAGAGGCAAGTACTAACTATAGAATTAGCTGCATGCAGAAAGATTTGGCACATGGGGTTTGGGGAAGGAAGAAAAGTCTGGCCAGGCACCCTCAAAATAGTCTATTTATGTTCGATCCCTGCCCAAAATACAGACGCCACACTGGCACAGGTACAAGCTGTCTGTTTTCATACAGTCTAGCAAGTCTGGAAAGTAAACACAGCACCCTGGATTGCCTGCCTGGAAGGAACAGAGGAATCCGATTAAGCCATTTCCATGGAGTAGAGCTGTTCAAACCAGAATAAAACGGATTTGGAAGGTGCAGTGTCAGTGGCTGTTAAAATGCGTGGCGGGGAGGGGGCGGGGGTGAACATTCATCGACATCAAATTGTTTTTCAATGCTGTCTGTTCTTTAATAAGATTCAGCTCCTTGAAGTCACTCTGGGTGTCCAGGGACTGCTCCCTGTGCTGCCCCCTCCCAGGCTCTGGGCTGAGAGAGATGCCTGGGTCTCTGCGTGTGTCCACGGTGGGCCAGGCTGGGCTTTGTGTCAGGGAAGGCCAAGGCCAAGGCTGCAGACCCAGAGGCACTGGTACCAAGCATCCACGCTGTCAACAGGCAGCCAGCCTCTGGGGCACCCACGCTGTCAACAGGCAGCCAGCCTCTGGGGCACCCACACTGTCAACAGGCAGCCAGCCTCTGGGGCACTGGCGTCTGAGCACCAGGACATCCAGTCCTCTTGTTCCCTCCTTCCAAGGCAGACACCAGACCATCCTGACGGTGGCTGCCTCCTGGGAATGCAGCACGGAACAAAGAGAGACACAAGCCCTGCCCCCAGGGGCTTGCATTGGATGGACATAAACAAGCTTCACCTCAAAATGAGCGTCATGATGAGTGGGTAAGGCAAGGAGAGAAGCAAAAAACCAGGCCAGGCGGGGCGGGAAGTAAGGAAGGAGTGAGGTTGAACTGTGGATAGCAGCATTCCATAAGACATGGGGAAGAAGGAGGGAGCCCTAGAGCCAAGCGGAGAAGGAACCCGGGAAAGAACAGCAAGCTCAAAGGCCAGAAGGCACATTGAGGACCAGAGATGCCTGGGGCTGCAGGAGGATGGGAGGCACGGGGAGAGGAGGCTGCCTGGTTGGAGATGCCTGGGGCTGCGGGAGGATGGGAGGGATGGGAGAGGGGCCTGCCTGGGTGGAGAGATGCCTGGGGCTGCAGGAGGACGGGAGGGATGGGGAGAGGAGGCTGCCTGGGTGGGAACGGGTAGGTTTCTCTTGGGAGGAAGGTGCTAGGCCTTGAGTAGCAGGAAGACAATGGGTCTGGCTTCTTTGTTCCAGGATCACTCACTAAGTTGCTGGGGACTCCAGGGTCAAGTGTGGAAGGGACGCACCCAGGCCTAAGGTCCACATTAACCCCGGTGAGGTCAAGGAGAAGCCAGCAGAGGCCAGCATGCTGGCCAGTTCACCCTCCTCCCCAGCTGCATGCTCTGCTGAGCCACAGGCTCCCCGGGGCCGGCACCCGCCCTCTCTTAGGCAATTAGGGCCCAGCATGTGTGGGGCTGCGTGTTTGCTCTTCCGTGAACATCCGCCCGCATTCTGGACAACCCGCTTTGGACCCTTTCCCTCTTGAATCATGTGTAAGTGTGTAAGTGTGCACGTTTGTGTGCACACACTACATGCTCTGGGTCTGCAGTGTGTACAGCTAATAGGCTGGTGGTTCCACAGCAAAGGGCTTTTCTGTGACTGTCCAGCGAGAGGCAGTGGGAGCACCTGCCTGTGCTCCACCGTGGCAGGCCCCAGAGGGGACACATTGCACCCCAGGTTGGAGGAAGGGCACCCTGGGAAAGCCAATGTCCCCAGCTGTGTCTGGGTCTCTGAGCCCCGTGTACTTCCCCATCCTCTGTGGAGCTCAGAGAAAGACACAAGTAAAAGCCTCAGCGACCTGGCAGGACACAGCTGAGCTGGTGCCGACAGTCGGCCGGGATTGGCACAACACGTCCCCCCTGTGCCGAGTCCCTATGGAGCACCCTCACCATCGTAGAAAATCTCCTTTGTTCAGCCCTCGGGGCAAGGTGGAAAACAGCAGCAGCCCCACCGGCCTCTCCCTGTCTGGGCAACTCCAGCACCCCCAATCTGGGAGGGCTCAGCTCTTCCCTGCACATCGCCTGCACCCCACCGTCTGCCAGCAGACGCCCTCGTGCTGAAGGCTGCCCTTTGGAGCCTGCAGAATTCCCTGGAAGATTCTAAAAAGCCTCCCTAACAATTTCTAAGCTCAGTCGCAGAAGCAGCCACAGGAAGATGGCATTCGCCAAAGCCTTCGGAATCTAGAAGCCCCTCCGCAAGGGTAAATGACTCCCAAAGTCTGGGAAAAGCAGCCCAGCCTCAGGGTCCCGGGACCCCAGGTGAGTGAGTAGCCCCCACTGCCTCCTGCCCTGGTGGCAGGCCCAGACTCCCGACTCCGGATGGGGTCGCGCCAAGACCGTTATGCCAGGGTGTGCCCTCAGGTGAGTACGGTCTCCTTTGTGTCTTTGAGGAGAGACTGAAAATGATCTCCCATTCCCCTGACTTCATGCTAACCCAGTTTATGAGATGCTGGTCTGAGCATTCAGGGAGGGAGAGCCTTTCTAAGTCCACAATCCAACAAGGAGGTCCCTGTGCACAGTGCACTGAGGCCTGTGCCAGGCTGGGATCTTGAGCTCTGGTCCCCTCTCTACCCTGAGCCACTAGATCCTCCTCAGCCTGGGCTGGGAGCTCTCAAACCTCCAGACCACCCCGGTCAGAAAAGAGCGATAAGCTTACCGGTGCAGAAACGACATTCTTGGTACATAATGAAATTGTAGGAATCCCAGGACAGCAGCGAGCGCAAGAAGCAATAAAACGTTCTGGGGCCAGAGCTGGCGGGCTGCGCTCGCGACGCTTTCAGACAGTAAATGAGAGACGCGCTTGAAATCATTCTTTGAAAACAAGATTGTAAAATATGCAAAGCATCTTATGCTAATGTTGCATCCTTAGTTTGAGTAATTTCTTCCTCACTTCTTTTCAATCTAACCCATAGCGTGGACGGGCAGTGGACATGGGTCACGGGGGTGACTATTCTTTCAGGAATGGCCTGAAAGGGCCTCACTCTGAGTCCTGGGAGGGAGAAGCCAATTCGGTATCTCAACTTAGGCATGTCTCGGGGCACACACACTTGTTCAAAGTCCCCCTTCCAGGTGCCAGGCCCAGCTGACTCTCTGTGATGGGGAGCAAGGCATCCCAGCTGGCAGAGCTCCCCTTTTTATGCCCAGGATCCTGAGGAGCCAGCACCACTCCTAGCACAAATGTCCCTCCTAACCGAACCCCAAATCTTGCTGGGGACAAGGGACATTCCAAGCAGGATGGGGTACACAGGATGGAGTACAAAAGCCTCTGGGAATGACCCACAGTTCAAGAATTCACCAGTCCCTTGCCGGGGGCTGCTGGCAACCAGGCGCGAATCCACCCACCCTCCCTGCAAGCCTACAAGCCGGCCTGGCACACGGTTCATGCCAATTTCCAGAGAAGGAAGCAGGGGAGACTGGGAAGGCAGGCCTGATTCACTCTTAGCACAGCCCACAAGCTGTGTAATGGGCTGAATGGGGGCCCCCACAACAGGCTCACTGTGAACCTGGGACTGTGCCTTTCTTGGAACAAGGGTCTTTGCAAATGTAATCAAGTTACGGATCTTGAGATGAGGTCATCCTGGATTAATCAGATGTGCCCTAAGTCCAATGACTGGTGTCTTTAGAAGACCTGTGGACACAGAGAAGAAGGCAGCGAGGGACAGTGAAGATGGAGGTAGAGAGGTTGGCACCAAGGGTCACGGCCACCGCCAGAAGAGCGAGGGGGCAGGAAAGGTCCTCCCTAGAGCCCCTGCAGGGAGTGCAGCCCACCTTGGTCTCAGGCTTCAGGCCCCAGGACAGGGAGAGAATGGATTTCACTCCTGCCTGTGCCCACCCCAGTTTGTTGTACTTGGTCGTGGCATCCCCGGGAAACTCATGGGCACAGCATAACCTGGGTCCTGTCCAAGGTCATCCATCTTCTCTGCCAGGTGCATCCTACAGAGCAGAAGGGGCTGACCGCTGCAGACACTGGGCCTGGCAGCCTGTCCCCCAACCCAGGTTCCAGGTCATCCGCCCATGGCTGAAGCTTCCTTCTCCTGGGAGCCTCCCTTCTCCTGCATCCTACAAACCGGGGGTTCCCAATCCCTGGGCCACGGTCGGTACCAGCCGTACTGCGGGAGGTGAGTGGCAGGAAATATTACTGCCCGAGCTCCGCCTCCTATCAGATCAGCCGTGGCACTAGATTCTTATAGGAGCGCAAACCCTATTGTGACCTGCACATGCAAAGGATCCGGCCGGGTGCGGTGGCTCACGCCTGTAATCCCAGCACTTTGGGAGGCTGAAGTGGGTGGATCAGCCTGGTTTGAGACCAGCCTGGCTGACATGGTGAAACCTCGTCTCTACTAAAAATACAAAAGTTAGCCAGGCATGGTGGTGCATGCCTGTAATCCCAGCTACTCAGGGGACTGAGGCAAAAGAATCGCTTGAACCTGGGAGGCAGAGTTTGCAGCGGGCTGAGACCGCACCTTTGCACTCCAGCCTGGACCACAAAAGCAAAACTCCATCTCAAAAAGAATGAATAAAGTAAAAAGGATCTAAGTTGTGCACTCCTTTTGCGTATCTGACGTTCTGAGTCTGAGGTGGAACAGCTTCATCCCAGAACCATCATCCCCCCTACTTCCGTCCGTGGAAATATCGTCTTCCAGGAAACCAATCCCTAGAGCCAAAATGGTTGGGGACTCTGCCGTAAAAGCACCAGAGAGGACCACAGTCCCAGAAGGAGGAGGCATTTCCAGACAGCAGGAGGCATTTATTTAAACTTGCAGCTGCCATTTGCGGGGTTTATGCTACGCACAGGTCAAGTGGCACCTGCTGGCAGAAAAGGGATCTTGATCCAGGCCCCAAGAGAGGGTCTTGGATCTGAAGAAATTCAAGGCAAGTTGCAGAGTGCAGTGAGAGGAGAGGGTTTACTGAAAGCTGCTCCACTTCGGAGGAGGGCGTGCTGAGACAGCCAGTGGAAGAATGCCCCATCTCTGTTCTAAGGCTTATTTTTTATTTTTTATTTTTTTTTTTACCTAGGGGTCTTGTCAATGTAAAGACTAAACTAAGCTGTGTGTATGTGCACAACGGGAGACAGCATGACAAGATGTATTATTCTATTGATTTAAAGAAAACTTTCCTTGACATTCTAGTGTGTGAGTACATCAAAGCATAACTATATCTTGAAAGCATATATTGTTATGGGTATTAGACATCTGGACTTTCTGTTGTTGGAGTAGTTTGTCCTTACCACCGTCAGCAAGCTGCTTCCTTCGCTGTAAACATCTTAGGACCATGCGTAGTGACTGGCAAGGAATGTGCCCTGCTAGTTTTAAGGTGCAGCTGATTTTAAAATGGTGCCGCTCTGGCTCTCCTGGGCTCCTGCTTCCCTAGCACATCTGCCGGCCTCTCACATCCAGGAATGTGGGAGCTCTGCGGAAATCCTGACCCTGAATATAGTTGCTGAGACCACCCAGAGCAGCAGAGAGGACACTGCGTCCTGAGGCTGAGGCTGAGGCTGGCCGGGCCACAGAGGCCCCGAGGAAGGAGCAGCTGTCCTCTGGGCTGCAAGGCCTCTCTCCCCTGCGGGGGCTGCTTGCTCCCCTCCCAGTCCTCCTTACTGAGAGGGAGGAGTCAGAGGGGATGTGTTGGCCAGAGGTCCTCCGAGGTTTTGCTGGGAAACTCCTAAGAGAAGGATGAGAGCTGCCCACACCCCATCTGCTCTATCTAGGGTTCTAGGATTTGAGGACATTCACGCTGCACTCACAGTCCCCTCATGGCTGATGTACAGGGGTCATCCCTGCCCCACGGCTGTCTGCTTTGCAGATGACAGAGGTGGACAGGAAGGGCCTGCCTGGCTCCCCACGCTGCCCAGTGGCCAAGCTGCACTTGACCCCAGTGTGGCCTCCTGGGCTGCTGGACTCCTGGAACCCCGCCTGCCTGGCCTGGCTTCTCCACTGCAGGGATGGATGGTGCTGAACGACTTCCTGCAGGATGAGCCGTGGCCATGTCCCTTCCAACCACCACAGAAAGAGCCAGGACCCTGCAGGTGGCCATGGGCCATTTTCACAGAAAGGCAGCTCTCTGTCCCTCCAGCACAATTGGGAACTAGAACAGAGGCCAGCGAGTGTCTGGAGGGCATGGCGGCTGGGGCTGGTTGTGTTTGCACTCAGATCTTCTCCCAGCAAGAGAATAGCCTCCCAGAGGGGCAGGCACCATGCAGCCAGCGCCGGCCCCAAGCCCTGGAGCAGGGTTGACATGGGCACAGGGGTCATGGGCCCTTCTCTGTTATAACTCAAGTGGGTGAGCACAGCCCCCAGCTCAGGCAGCGCAGAGGACACCTGCCTGTGGAACTTCAAATCCAACTGGTGGGTCTGCAGAGGATTCATAGGCCAGGATCTGCACCTCAATGAGACAAAAGGAAAACATAGCAAGCCCCCCCCCCCCGCACACACACTCACTCACACAAAATCATGTATGCACACATACACTCACACACAATCACATGCATACACTCACACATGCACACATGCACACACAATCACACACACCCACGCACACACATGCACATAATCACATGCACACATGCACACATTCATGCAAACACACACACACACACACACACACACACACACACTTGCCTCCAGCTAGGAAACTGCACCACGTCTGCTGGAAGTTGTTCCAGGACAGGCGTCTGCTGCTCTCCTCTCACCTGCACTTCTGATCTGGTATTTCTAGTTGCAGACATGTTCTGCTATTAGCTGCAGCCAGGATATCCTGGGACCTGGAGATGCAGTTACACTCAGCAAATGACCCTCACTTCTTCCCATTTCTTTCCAAAGAGCTCCAGATTCCATTATGCCAGTTAAAGATGCTGTTGGCCCATCCTCCCCAGAGTATTCCATAGGCTGGAGAGCTTCTTCTGAGCTGATCTTCATTTTCCAACAATGAGAAGTGACATTTCTGAGTTTTGACATCAGGTAAAGTGCCTGACGAGGCCATGTCAGAACCACAGCAGATGCCCAGGGGGCCTGATGGATGCATGTAGGCTGAGTGGGCTCCTGGGGCTGAGGGAGAGCCAGGTCTCAAATCCCATCACCTCTGAGCTTAAAGACATCAAAAGAATATTCTGCCTGCCCCCACCCACCCAGCACCGTAACTACACACACATGCACAAGCGAGCACATGTGTACAGGCACACACAGACACACACTTGCAACACACATGCATGAGCACACACACATGCAGGCATGAACACATGCACACTGCCCTTGCATGCAAGCACACACACACACACGCGCGCATGAACATACATGCACACATGCAGGTACGAACACACATGCAGGCATGAACAC
The DNA here is from genome assembly GCF_000001405.40 of Homo sapiens. Taxonomy (NCBI): domain Eukaryota; kingdom Metazoa; phylum Chordata; class Mammalia; order Primates; family Hominidae; genus Homo; species Homo sapiens. The sequence continues at coordinate 49,005,614 of NC_000022.11, read as the reverse complement.
ACATGCATACTGCCCATTCACACGAGCACACACACACACACACACACATGAACATACATGCACACATGCAGGTACAAACACACATGCACACATGCAGGAACGAACATACATGCACACTGCCCATTCACACACACCTCACAGCCTTCTTCAGTCTCAAGCGTCAGAGTTCCCTGATGGTGTCAAACAGAGCTGGAGGCTGGTTGATTGACAGCTTTCAACAGAGCCGGCGGTGGTGTCTTTAAGGACGTCTCCTCTGCAAGTGTTCTGCTCTTCTCATATCTGTTCACTGAATTTTCACAACTCAAGGACCTGGGCTATGATTGACCTTTGGCCTTTTTCTTAACTAGGACATGGGCTGTGAGGTCTGGTCATTTGCAGGGAAGGAGTGGAGCTGGCACCCAACCCCAGGCCCACTGGGTGGCAGAGCCACTGCCTTCCCCGAGGCCACAACGCCCTCCGTGATGGATATGAGAGCAGAAGAGCTGCTGCAGTGGCAGGTGTCTGTGCCCACGTGCCCAAGGCGCACCTGCCTGATGCAAGTCCAAATGTATCTCTCCATATTCTGGCTGAAATGTTGATGAAGTGGGAGTTCATCTCAGCTGGATGCTCTGCCAGACATCAAAGGCCAGGAGGGGCAAAGCCGGAGGGGCCAAGGTTCCCCTGTCTGCCACCCTGTCCACCCATCTGCCAGAGCGTCCTGCCTCCACCGAGCTCCTGCAGATCAACACCTGACGGCGTGACCCTTGTCCCTTGTCATCAAGTGCATGGGGTACTGGTGTCCTGCCCTTCCTCAGGTCTGCATGAGGACTGGGACAAGGTACCCCCTGTAGATGTTTGTCGGCGATGAGTTAGTAGATGCGGAAGACAGATCAAGTGCAGCCCAGCAGAGCTGGCCCTGAGGCCCGCATGTCAGCTGTTTAATGCGGCCCTCCTCACGCTCACAGCCTCGCTTCACCTCGCCCGCTCCCCCAGGCGAGCCCCACGGAGCCCTCAGCATGGCGTTATCATCTCTGCTCACAGATCTGCTGTGAACGCCTGCGAAGGTGACCGTCTTAAAAACAGCCGACTCTGAATGCTGGGCACAGGTGCCCTGGCTAGGATGGCCTCCCACAGATGTGTGCAGCTAACAAATGACACGATGAAAGAATAGGAAGTGAATGATTGAAAAAAATAACAGGCAGACGAGTGACCGGGCCACGTGGTTATGAAACAGCTCTGTCTTAATCACCAAAATGTGAGCATCCGGAGGCCAGCAAGAAGACTTTGCATTCACTTTAAGACAAGGACCCCCTCCCCAGCACCTAGCCCAGGAATACATGCCATGTTGGCGATTGATAAATACTCACCAGATGAAAATGTAAAGGGTTTTCCATTAAGTTATCGTTAATGAAAATATTTTAATAGTATTCTAAATAAAGCCCAGAATTATTTCGGTACTTTTCCATCCTGAACTGCACGTAGGGGAACCATCTGGGAATGAACGGATGGAAATGACAGGAGAAATAGGTTGTAATATCTTTCTGGGCCATACTTTGGTGAAGTCATTACTGGAAATACTGGGAAAGGAAAGTGGTTTATTAATGGTAAGCAAACCTCAAAAGTTTTGGAAGGTTCCTTTTCCTCCAGATAAGAATCCAATTATGTAAATGCATGCACTTTCTCCTTCAGAAATAAGCCTCTAAATAATAGAACATCAAATTCCAACTTAAAATTGTGTCTATTCTTTCTAACTTTTGGTGTGGAGGTAGAATAAATTTTGTGCTGTGAAGGAAAAGAACTCTACCTCTTGACTGTTCTTCCCAAAATGTGTATCTGCTTTGAAAATGGAACTTTAAAAGGCTCACAACTGGAGCATGACAATGAAAACGACTAGAGAGAGCTTAGATCCTGCGACTCACCCAGCGAGGAAAACCAGCTGGGAAGAGGATGAGGCATATGAGCCCCACTCTCTAGATGAGGGCCTCGGGGCACAGAGAGCTTAAGAAACTTGCCCAGCGCAGCACAGCTGGGGGGCAGCAAACCAGAGATTCAAAGAAGGTCTGCGTGACACCAGGGTCTGTGTGTTTTGCCACTTCTCTGCTAAGAGCAAGAAGTATCTCACCAGGGGCTGGGCTATCTTGTTTCTCCAGCCACTACCACTGTAAGCTAGACTAAATCAGTTAATTTAACATGAATTATAATTTTAAAATAATTTAAAAATCCCCAAAATAAACTAAAAAAAGATATATTACCTTGGGATTAAAAAAAATCTCAATTACATATATTTTTTTCTTAAGTTCCCATAAAATTATATCTGCTTTTGTCTTTCGTGTTCTTGTTGTTGTTATTTATAGAGGCAGGCAAACTGTTTACAAAGTTCGGCAGAAAAACAAGCAAAGATAGCCAGAGAAAAGCTTTAAATAAAGGTGCAATGAGTGGAAGGTTAACTTGTCAGATATTTAAAAATCACATAAGTCCTCTATAATTATAACAGTAAGGTGTCAGTGCATGAAAAGAGAGACTAATGGCAGAAAATAGAAAATCCAGAAATAGACACAATTACATGTGAAAGTTTAGTATGCAGTAAAGGACAACATTTCTAACAGCAGAAGAAATATTTGATGAGCAGTACTCAGTAACTCGGTAATGATATGAAAAGATAATATCGGGGCCACTTCCCACACCATATATAAGGATAAATTCCAATTTGATAAATGTAAAAAAAACCCAAACAGTAAGTACTGGAAAAATATGATGAGTTTGGCTGAAACCTGGAGGATTATCTTGACTATATATAAAATGAAAACACCTTTGCAGGGCAAAAATACCATAAGTAAAGTAAAATGATGCATAACAAACTGGGCGTATGTATGGTTTATTATAGATTATGATTAGTTATCCTTAATATGCAGAAATTATTTTTAAATAATGAAGAAAAAGATTGAATACCCTCAGATAAATGAGCTGGAGCTATGAACACAGAAGATAAATGCAAATAACCACTAATAATGAGAAATAATGTTCAACCATTCTCATGAGAACAGAAATGGAAATTCAACCTGTACCTCTCTGGACGTGGTTCCAGGCAAGATGGAGAGAACATGCTGCACCCTGTGCGTCTCACACAACTGCACATCTTGAGTGCTCAGAATAGCATCAGAGGGTCTGAAAAGTAGACAGTAGCATGTGGACTGGTGAAAAAGTCTAGAATTAAATGTTCTACCAGACTGCTAGAGAGTTTATCATTTTTTTTTCTTCTAGTATCACCTGGCCTCAAGGCAAAGGGGGCCCATGACTGTAAATGCACACTGATAACAAAGAGAAGAAACTCCAAAAGGAGCTGTCACGTTCTGTTCTGAGGAGTGGGAAAGGGGACATCTGAGTATCAGACTGTGTGGGAGGAAACCCCACTCTTTGTCTTTCTTCCTTATCTTAATGCTCAGCCGTTGGGCCATACAGCAGAGGAGACCATGGCAGCATGGGGATGGAAGGCAGTCCATCAGGCACCTGTGACCCCGAGAGAGGACTTTGGGCTTTTCTCTCTGGTTGGAGGAGCTGAGACCCTCAACCATGAGCATGTGCTGACTCCCCACTATTTTGTTCCTTTTCCATCCTCCTGGTGCTTGGGTGCAGACAAAGAAGTAGTCACAGCAAGTGTGTGGCAGGGCCAGGATGCTAAAGTCCTGACTTTCTGTCCAGGACCAGGAAGGGAAGCTGCAGAGAGCTGGAAGGTGTTAGTGAGATGATGAGAAAAGGCAGAGTGAGAGGGTGAGCACATAAAATTGTGCATGAAATCTGAGCCTCACTTCTAAGCTGTGTATGTGGAGATCTGACCTGAGAAGCAAACCGTAGCCTTTGAGAACAGAGTGATGAGTGAGGCCAACCACTGCCCAGGCCCCATAATGGACATGCATGTGGGATTGATCTGAACAGCATACAGAAACTCAAAAACTAAACTGACGTTAGAACTACAATCCATGGAAGGCAGATTGAAACTTAAGGCTTGAACATAATCTGGTTGGCTTCTTGTTAAAAAACAAATGAACAAAAATCACCATTCTCCTTAGGCCATAAAATACCCAGAGTCTCAAAAGGGAATGTTGAAAACGTCCGTAATAGAATCCAAAAATGCTGTAGCATACAAAGCACCAGGGAAACAAAACAAACCAACTTACCTAACAAGGAAAAAAATGATCAGAAACTAAGCCCAAGAACCAGCTGTTGGAATTATAACACAAAGACTTCAAAGCAGCCTCTATAATCATGCTTTAAGAAGTAAGATGAACACTCTGGAAACAAATAGAAAGTTTACGTATCAGCAAAGAAGTAGAATATCTAAAGAAGAATCAAACATAAATTTTAGAACTAAGGTCTTCAATAACCAATTTTTAGAAAAAGTTCATAGCATGGAGTCCACACTACAATGGAGGTGAGACTAGAAAGAGAAATTGACTTAAAAATAGATCAATGGAAATTATTTATTCTGAACATCAGAAAGATAAAAAGATTGGAAAATATAGGCAAACCCAAAGAACTTGTGGGATAATATGACAAGACCAAAAATATCTCATATGTAGGCAGAGAGAAATAATGTATTTTATAAAGAGGAATAATAATTTAAATGACTGGTTTTCTAGCCACATTTTGTTGTTGTTGTTGTTGCTAGAGTTAAAAGAGTTGAATATAAAGTTTATCTGGATAAGCAGCCATAAAATATTATGGAGGTAAAGTGAAGTTGAATGACATTTTAAATTGAACTTTTTATTTGAAATAATTGTAGATTCACATGCAGTTGTGTGAAATAATAGAGGTCCCATTTAGTCTTTAGGAAGTTTCCCCCTATGGTAACATTTTGCAAAGCAAGAGTATGTTATCACAACCTGGATAATGACTTTGATACAGTTCAGATGCAGAATATTTCCATCATTATAAAGATTCCTCATATTGGCCTGCCATAGGAAAGTCCACTTCCCTCTCTCCCCAACTCTCTCTCTAGCTATTGGCAACCACAAATGTGCTCTTCACTTCCTTCCCACTGTCTTTTCAAAACTGATATGTAAATGTAACCACACAGTATGCAATCTTGTATGATTAGATTTTTTTTCCACTCTGGATAATTTTCTGGTGATTTGTTCACGTTGTTACATGTATCAGTGGTTGTTCATTTTTAATTACTGAGCAGACTTCATGGTATGAGATGTACTACAGTTCAGTTTGCTTAAACATTCATGTATTGAAGAAATCTGGGCTCTTTCTAGATTTGGCTATAACAGATAAAGTTGCTACGAACCTTTGTGTACGTGTCTTTAGACATACGCTTTAGTTTATTTGGGGTAAGTTCTTAGGAGTGGTGTATTCATCCATTTAGTGTTGTTATAACAGAATACCTGTGACTGGGTAGTTTATAAAGAAAAGAGGTTTATTTGGTTCATGATTCCAGTGGCTATAAAGTTCAAGGTTGGGCGTCGGCATCTGGGGAGATGCTCACGCTGCTTCCACTCTGGCAGAAAGCAGAAGGTGAGTCAATGTGTGCAAAGGACCCCATGCAAGAGAGGAAGCCAGAGAGCAAAACCAAGGAATCCAGACTCCTCTTAACAACCCACTCTCTCAGGAACCAATTCAGTCCCAAGAGAGCAGAGCTCACTCATTCTCACAGGAGGGCATTAATCTGTTTGTGAGGGATGCACCCTAGGACTCAAACACCTCCTGCTAAGTTCTACCTCCCAATAGTGCCACATTGATAAATAAATTTCAACGTGAGTTCTGGTGGGGACAAACCAAACCATAGTCTGTGAAATACATAACTTACATGGTATCTTGGTTCTTGGAAAATTTCGATAAAATTTATATTTCCAGCCAGACTACCAAAGAAAAAAATATAAATTACCAATATCAGAAAGAGAAAATGGCTACACACACACACACACACACACACACACACACTCACATTTTTAAAATGGAAAGAAAAACCAAGTGATATGGTTTGACTGTGTCACCACCCAAATGTAGCTCCCATAATTCCCAAGTGTTGTGGGAGGGACCCTGTGGGAGATCATTGAATCATGGGGCAGTTTCCCCCATACTGTTTTCATGGTAGTAGATAAGTGTCACAAGATCTGATGGTTTCATAAGGGGTTTCCCTTTTTCCTGGTTCTCATTGACTCTCTTGCCTGCTGCCGTGTAAGGTGTGCCGTTCACCTTCCGCCATGGCTGTGAGGCCTCCCCAGCCACGTGGAACTGTGAGTCCATTAAACCTCTTTTTCTTTATGAAACTACCCAGGTATGTCTTTATCAGCAGCATGTCTCAGGTATGTCTTTATCAGCAGCATGAAAACAGACAAATACACCATGGTTTTTTTTGTTTTGTTTTGTTTGTGTGTGTGTGTGTGTGTGTGTGTGTGACATTTTCTTATAGAGAAGAAAGAAATATAGTTGAGAGAGCAGAGAAAGAATAACCTACAACTTTAGTAGAACTTACCTCAAGACTACAAGATTACCTTAACCTTTGAAAAGCAATCACTATAATTCATCATATTAGCTGGCTAAAAAATAAGGGAAAATATGATCATTTCAGAAGATGCAGTAAACACACTTAACAAAATCCAAAATTCATTAAAAAAAAGACTCTAAACAAACTAGAAATAGTATGAAACGTCTCCAAATTTAAAAAGGGCATACACAGAAAAAGCCCGCTAACATCTCATTTAATGATGAAATACCAAAATGTTTTCCCCCTGTGATTTGGAGCAAGCAAAGACATCTGGTTTCACCACCTCTTTTTAAAGTTGTACTTGAAGTTCTAGCCAGTTCAGTCTGGCGAGAAAAGGGAATAAAAGGCATGCAGATTGGAAAAGAATAAATAAGCGATGTTATTCTCAGACTACATGATAACCTACATGGGAAATTCCTAAAGAATCTATAAAAACATGAGAATTACCAAGTGGATTTAACAAATTGCTGGATCAAATGCCAATGTATTGCATTTCTGTACATTAACAATCACATCATTGTATGTTGTATCAAATGTGTCTCTGTATGTTAACAATGGACACTCAAAAATTAACATGGAAAAACAATCACATTTAAAATAGCATTAAACATATTAAGTACTAAGGATACATTTGATAAATGATGTGCGCAATGTACATGGAAATTACAAAGTGTGCTGAACTTTCAGAAGTTACAAATAGATACATTGTGTCCAAGCCTCAGAAGACTCAGTATTGTTAAGACAGCTATCCACCAAATGCATCTACCCAGTCTATACCATCTCAGGAAACATCACCATAGTTTGAGAAATTGCCTGGCTGATTCTGAAGTTTATACGGAAACGCAAGGAAATAGTCAAGATAATTTTGAAAAAGAAAAAAAAGTTAGAGGATTTTTACTACCTAATTTCAGGACTGACCATGAAGCTGCAGTATTCCAGAGAATGGTGTACTGGAACAAAGTTCAGAATAAAAATCAAAGGCACACGAGAGTCCAGAAACAGACCCACTTGGGCCCAGCTCATTTTCGGCACAGGTGTCAAGGCAGGTCTTTTTTTTTTTTTTTTTTTTTTTTTTTGAGATGGAGTCTTGCTCTCTCTCCCAGGCTGGAGTGCAGTGGCGCGATCTCTGCTCACTGTAAGCTCTGCCTTCCGGGTTCACACCATTCTCCTACCTCAGCCTCCTGAGTAGCTGGGACTACAGGCGCCCGCCACCACACCTGGCTGATTTTTTGTATTTTTAGTAGAGATGGGGTTTCACCATGTTAGCCAGGATGATCTCGATCTCCTGACTTCGCGATCTGCCCGCCTCGGCCTCCCAAATTGCCGGGATTACAGGCGTAAGCCACCGTGCCCGGCCCAAGGCAGGTCTTTAGGTTAAGAAGAGTCATCAAAAATTGATGCACAACTGGCCACGCACGCACAAGAAATAGGCACCCACCCTTATCTCCCATAATAGATCTAAGTGTGAAGGTATAAAAACTATACAACTTTTTGAAGACAAATCTTTATAACTTTGTAGTCAAGTATTTATTAAATTCAATACAATAAGACACATTTTTAAATAAAATAGCAGTAAATTTGATGCCATCAATAGTTTAGTTTGCTCTTTGAATAACAATACTATGAAAATGAAAAGGCAAGCCACAGACTGAGAAAAAATATTTGAAATTTATGTAGGTAACAAAGGATTTGAATTATATACAAAGGACTTCTACAACTCAATAATGCAAACAACACAACTAAAATAAATGAATGAAATAATTAGCATTTTACTAAAGAAGATATACAAATGGTAATTATGCACTTGAAAAGAGGCTAAACATCATTAGTCAATAAAGAAATGCAAATTAAAACAACCATGACATACTGCTACCCACCCACTAGAAAGATTAACATTTACAAGGCTGACCATATCAAGTGTTGGCAAGGATATGGAACAACTGGTACATTCATCCACCACTGGTGGGAATGCAAAATGGTACAACTACATTGGAAAATAGTATGTCAGTTTCTTGGAAAGTTAATTATATACCTACTATATGATGCAGCCATATTACTCCTAGATATTTACCCAAGGTAAATTGAAGGACATGCTCACACAAAGACTTATATATAAATGTTCATAGCAGCTTTACATGAGAGAGGCAAAACCAGAAACATTGCGAATGCCCTTCCTCAATGAATGGATAAGCTAATCATGGTATATCCATCGAATGAAATACTTTTTAGCAAAGAAAAGAAACAAACTATCCATGCACTCTACAACACAGATGCATCAAAGCAATCATGCTGAATAAAGGAAGAAAATAATCTATGATTTCATTTATATATGGCTACAGACTTAGCATACAAACCTATAGTGACAAAAAGCAGATTATTTTCTGGGGGTAAACATGGCAGGAAAGGGTGGGGTACACAGGGGCATGAGGAGACTTCAAGTGCTGATGGATGTTGACTTGTTGATAACTTCCTCCTTCTCCTTATTTTCCTCCTCCTCCTCTTCCTCCTTTTCCTCCTTCTTCTTCTTCCTCTTGTTCTTCTTCCTTCTTCCTCTCATCTTATTCCCTTCTCCTCCTCCTCCTCCTCCTCCTCCTCCTCCTCCTCCTTCTTCTTCTTCTTCTTCCTCTTCTTCTTCTTCTTCTTCTTCTTCTTCTTCTTCTTCTTCTTCTTCTTCTTCTTCTTCTTCTTCTTCTTCTTCTTTTTCTCTTCTTCTTCGAGACAGGGTCTCACTCTGCTATCCAGGTCAAAGTGCAGTGGTGCTATTACGGCTCAGTGTAGCCTGGAACTCCTGAGCACAAGTGATCCTCCTGCCTTGGCCTCCCAAAGTTCTGGGATTACACGCATGAGCCACAGTGCCTGGTGGATGTTGACTTCTTGATGGTGGTGACGGGCACACAGGTTTATGCATATGTCAAAATTCCTCAAACTATATAATTTAAATACAGCAGTTTATTGTACATCAATTGTATTTCACTAAAGTTGTAAAAATAAATTAAAAGTTGGCTTGATAAAAAACCAAAGCTCCGTCTTTGAAATGCTAATAACAAACTTGTTCAATATAAAAGAGAGAGAATAATCTTTATCAAAAATACAAAATATATAATGGTAAGGTTTAAAAACTAAATGAACAACATGTACTTCAGAAAATGAAAATGAGAAAAGTTGTCTGAAGGAGAGTAACAGTAACCATAAGGGATGATTTCCAAAGAAAAAATAAAAGCCATCAACGATCAACCTTGCATAGCGCCAGAGCCAGATGGCACACAAGCATGTTCTAACAAACCTCTCATTTCACAGACAAAACCTTCTAGAACGTCCATAAAAGATGGAAAGTTGTTTCAACAAAGTACTTAAAAAATTAGTACATCACAACCAAAAAAGACCTTATATCAAAAGCACAATAATATCTCAATGTTAGGAAATCTATTCACATGCATCAGCTGATTACAGAGGAAATAAAACCTCATATCATTGACAAATGCAAAATGCATTCTATAGATTGAATGTCCATTTCTAATTTTATATGTTTGTGTGTGTGTGTGTGTGTGTGATAGAATTTCACTCTTGTAGCCCAGGCTGGAGTGCAGTGCCGTGATCTCGGCTCACTGCAACCTTCACCTCCTGGCTTCAAGTGATTCTCCTGCCTCAGTCTCCCTAGTAGCTGGGATTACAGGCATCTACCACCACACCTGGCTATTTTTTTTGTATTTTTGGTAGAGACTGGGTTTCATCATGTTGGCCAGGCTGGTCTCGAACCCCTGACCTCAGGTGATCCACCCGCCTCAGCCTCCCAAAGTGGTAGGATTATAGGCGTGAGCCACTGCACCAGGCCTAATTTTAAAAACTTTCAATAAACCAATAATCCAAAGAATCTTCTTTGGCTTGCTACCACAAACCTGAAGTAAACACCCTAATTAATATTGAAAATTAATAGTATTTCCAGTGTCTAAAATAGATAACTTCCTGTTAATCTCTTCTTACGCTGCTTTAAAAAAAATCATAACATTTTGAGGGTTATCACCACAGTGGGCATATTGTCCATCTCTTTATGATCTGTCACCCTCAGAATCTAAGTATGGAGTGACTTTGTTTACATGATCTCCCCAGCATCTGGAATGCAAACAGGCAGACAATCCGTGCTCCTTAAGTAGTTGTGGAATGAATGAACAGAAAACAAGATTCATAGTCACTGCTACTTACATATGGAGGGGTTTTTAGTGCAATAGCACAAGACAAATGAAATACAGGTATTGAAAGGGAGAAGCTTTGCAAATAGATATAATTATTTACCGATGGAATGATTGCATCTGAAAAAGCTGATGGAATGACATGGAAACTATTAGAACTATTTCAAGGGTACAAAAGGTGGCTAGGTGCAGACCAAAATACTTCAACCTATAGCTGTATCAACCTATAGCCTACAATAACGAGGTGGAAAATTTAATATATCTATTACATCATATTGGCAGTGGAAAACTCATAAGCTGAAAAAAGTATATAAGAAATGCAATGTGTATATTTAATATAAGAAAGTAATAAAGATTATGGAAAAGATATAAAGGATGACTATCTAAATGGCAAGAAATACCATGCTTTTGTGTGGAAGATTTAACCCTGTAAGGATACAAATTCTTCACAAATTACTCTATAAATTCAATGCAATTTCAATCAAAATCTCAATTTTATATTTGCAAAATTTAATATTAAAGCCTATTTGAAGTAGAAAACTGGCAAACCTAACCATGAAAATTTAGATAAAGAACAATAGAGAGAGGCTTCCAACGAGATCCCAAGAAAAACTGTGTAATAATGTAATCAAAAAGTAAGTATTGGCACAGGGTAAATAGAAAGATTAATAGAAAAATGAACAATAGCTACAGACCCAAGAATATCTGGGAATTTGGCATGTGCTAAAGATTGTGCTGCCAAATGACACTTAGATGATAGTTTTAATAAATTGTTTTGAGAGCATTACAGTCTATCGGGGAAAATAAAGACAGATGACCAGTGCAAGACATAAGAAAACACATTCACCTTCTAAACAACATACAGAATTTAGGTGTTGTGAAGACAGACAGATTTGTTAGCCTGGAAGTTAAAATATCTGGTAAAAATGGCAACATAGGCAATGTGAATAGAGACAGTTGAAAAAATATTTGCAGGATGTGTACAAAGTTCAAAAAAAATATTTGCAGGATGTGTACAAAGTTCAGTTTTCACAGTGTTTAAGGAGATACACTCAACAACAAAGAGAAAGGCAACCGTAGGAAAAAGGGAAAGAGCATGAATAGGTAACTCATAAAACAAACAAACAAAATGGCCAATAAAGAGAAGCCAATTACCCCACGGGGAACCAGAAAAATGGGAATGAAGATGTGGAGCAAGTGCACTCGGCTGAACTGAGCAGCAGAAAGACAAGCCTGGTGTTGCCTGGTGTTGGTGTGGTGCGGGGAGTCAGGTGCCAGGGGCCACCGTGGAGACCAGTGTGACCAGACTGCTCCCAACTTGAAACTTACGTTGTCTGTGCTCCAGTTATCCCTTTGGAAAAAGGAGGGAGACCCACACTTGTGTGCCGAAAGTGACGGGAAACACTTCAGCATTCATCAGTGGGGAATCAACAGAACGACGGAAACATGAAGGCAGGCTGATGTCACTTGGTTCCTATATCCGTCCACCTGTGCGTGTTCCACCCACATGCACACAGGGCTGCAGCACACGCGTCCACATCCGAGTGTCTGCTTCCCTCTGGGACAAGGGAGCAGAGTGTGCAAGGCGGGGGTGGGTTTCACTTTTCAGGCTATATTTGGGATTGCTTGAGGTTTTACTCATATTTTAAAAAATACAAAGTGGATGGAGTGAAGAAGTAGGGGAAAAATCGTAACTGGTGTGGAGATATAAAGGATAGGTTGAAGTAGAAGAAGGAGGAGCAGGAGGAGAGAACAGGGAGGGGAGATGAGAAGGTTATCCTGGGAAGAGGAGGGGGAGGAGGGAGGGGAAGAAGGAGAGGAGGAGGGGGATGCAGAGGATGGGGCAGGGAGGAGATGAAAAACGGAAATAGAGAGGGGACTCCATGGGCAGAAAGAGCAGGGAGGAAATGACTTTCACCAAGAATGCTGGTGTTTTCATTCTCTCTGCCTTTAAAAAAAATCATTTAAAATTGTGTTTTTAATAGAGAGATAAAGACTGTACATCTCTATGGGGTACAGGGAGATGTTTTGATGCATACCTTGTATACGGATCAAATCAGGGCACTTGGCAAATCCATCACCTTCAATACTTATCATGTATTTGTGATGAGAACATGCAGATTCGTCTCTCCTAGTGAGTATTTTCCAGTAAACACTGCAATATTTTTCACTGCGGTCGCCTTACCTTGCTACAGAATGGCAGGATTTATCCCTCCTGACTGTGACTTTGTGCCCATTGACAACCTCCCCGCCCCTCCCTTTCCCAGCCTCTGATAACCACCATTCTTCTCTCTACTTCTACGAGATCAGCTTTTTTAGCTCCCGCATATGTGTGAGAACATTTGATATTTGCCTTTCTGTGCCTGGCTTATTTCACTTAACATTATGACCTCCAGTTCCATACATACTGCCACAAATGACAGGATTCTATTCTTTGTTTATTGCTGAGTAATATTCCTCTGTCTGTCTATCTATCTATCTATGTATCTATCTATCATCTATCATGTATCTATCTATCATCTATCTATCTGTCATCTATCTATCATCACCTATCTCTCTATCATCTATCTGTCATCTATATATCATCTATCTATCTATCATTACCTATCTATCTATCATCTATCTGTCATCTATATGTCTATCATCTACCTTTCACCTATCATCTATCATCTATTTGTCTATCTTCTATCATCTATCTATCTATCATCTATCTATCATGTATCTATCTATTTATCTATCATCTATCATCTATCATCTATCTATCTATCATCTATCTACCATGTATCTATCTATCCATCATCTATCTATCATGTATCTATCATCTATCTATCTGTCATTTATATATCTATTTATCATCTATTGTCATCTATCTATCTATCTATCATCTATCTATCTATTTATCTATCTATTATCTATCTATCACCATTTTCTTTATCCATTTGTCCATTGATGGATACTTACGTTGATTCCATGTCCTGCTACTGTGAATAATGTTTCAGATATCATGGGAATGTACATGAAAGAGTGCTCAGCATCACTGATCACCAGGGAAATGCAAATCAGAACCACCATCATGAGGCACCATCTCACCTCGATTGGAACCGAGATGATCAGAAAGACAAAAATAATGAATGCTGGAGTGGCTGTGGAGAAAGAAGAGCCGTTGGGGGGAGGAGCCAAGATGGCCGAATAGGAACAGCTCCGGTCTACAGCTCCCAGCGTGAGCGACGCAGAAGACGGGTGATTTCTGCATTTCCATCTGAGGTACCGGGTTCATCTCACTAGGGAGTGCCAGACAGTGGGCGCAGGCCAGTGTGTGCGCGCACCGTGCGCGAGCCGAAGCAGGGCGAGGCATTGCCTCACCTGGGAAGCGCAAGGGGTCAGGGAGTTCCCTTTCCGAGTCAAAGAAAGGCGTGACGGACGCACCTGGAAAATCGGGTCACTCCCACCCGAATATTGCGCTTTTCAGACAGGCTTAAGAAACGGCGCACCACGAGACTATATCCCACACCTGGCTCAGAGGGTCCTACGCCCACGGAATCTCGCTGATTGCTAGCACAGCAGTCTGAGATCAAATTGCAAGGCGGCAACGAGGCTGGGGGAGGGGCGCCCGCCATTGCCCAGGCTTGCTTAGGTAAACAAAGCAGCCGGGAAGCTCGAACTGGGTGGAGCCCACCACAGCTCAAGGAGGCCTGCCTGCCTCTGTAGGCTCTACCTCTGGGGGCAGGGCACAGACAAACAAAAAGACAGCAGTAACCTCTGCAGACTTAAGTGTCCCTGTCTGACAGCTTTGAAGAGAGCAGTGGTTCTCCCAGCACGCAGCTGGAGATCTGAGACGGGCAGACTGCCTCCTCAAGTGGGTCCCTGACCCCTGACCCCCGAGCAGCCTAACTGGGAGGCACCCCCCAGCAGGGGCACACTGACACCTCACACGGCAGGGTATTCCAACAGACCTGCAGCTGAGGGTCCTGTCTGTTAGAAGGAAAACTAACAACCAGAAAGGACATCTACACCGAAAACCCATCTGTACATCACCATCATCAAAGACCAAAAGTAGATAAAACCACAAAGATGGGGAAAAAACAGAACAGAAAAACTGGAAACTCTAAAACGCAGAGCGCCTCTCCTCCTCCAAAGGAACGCAGTTCCTCACCAGCAACAGAACAAAGCTGGATGGAGAATGATTTTGACGAGCTGAGAGAAGAAGGCTTCAGACGATCAAATTACTCTGAGCTACGGGAGGACATTCAAACCAAAGGCAAAGAAGTTGAAAACTTTGAAAAAAATTTAGAAGAATGTATAACTAGAATAACCAATACAGAGAAGTGCTTAAAAGAGCTGATGGAGCTGAAAACCAAGACTCGAGAACTACGTGAAGAATGCAGAAGCCTCAGGAGCCGATGCGATCAACTGGAAGAAAGGGTATCAGCAATGGAAGATGAAATGAATGAAATGAAGCGAGAAGGGAAGTTTAGAGAAAAAAGAATAAAAAGAAATGAGCAAAGCCTCCAAGAAATATGGGACTATGTGAAAAGACCAAATCTACGTCTGATTGGTGTACCTGAAAGTGATGTGGAGAATGGAACCAAGTTGGAAAACACTCTGCAGGATATTATCCAGGAGAACTTCCCCAATCTAGCAAGGCAGGCCAACGTTCAGATTCAGGAAATACAGAGAACGCCACAAAGATACTCCTCGAGAAGAGCAACTCCAAGACACATAATTGTCAGATTCACCAAAGTTGAAATGAAGGAAAAAATGTTAAGGGCAGCCAGAGAGAAAGGTCGGGTTACCCTCAAAGGAAAGCCCATCAGACTAACAGCGGATCTCTCGGCAGAAACCCTACAAGCCAGAAGAGAGTGGGGGCCAATATTCAACATTCTTAAAGAAAAGAATTTTCAACCCAGAATTTCATATCCAGCCAAACTAAGCTTCATAAGTGAAGGAGAAATAAAATACTTTATAGACAAGCAAATGCTGAGAGATTTTGTCACCACCAGGCCTGCCCTAAAAGAGCTCCTGAAGGAAGCGCTAAACATGGAAAGGAACAACCGGTACCAGCCGCTGCAAAATCATGCCAAAATGTAAAGACCATCGAGACTAGGAAGAAACTGCATCAACTAATGAGCAAAATCACCAGCTAACATCATAATGACAGGATCAAATTCACACATAACAATATTAACTTTAAATATAAATGGACTAAATTCTGCAATTAAAAGACACAGACTGGCAAGTTGGATAAAGAGTCAAGACCCATCAGTGTGCTGTATTCAGGAAACCCATCTCACGTGCAGAGACACACATAGTCTCAAAATAAAAGGATGGAGGAAGATCTACCAAGCCAATGGAAAACAAAAAAAGGCAGGGGTTGCAATCCTAGTCTCTGATAAAACAGACTTTAAACCAACAAAGATCAAAAGAGACAAAGAAGGCCATTACATAATGGTAAAGGGATCAATTCAACAAGAGGAGCTAACGATCCTAAATATTTATGCACCCAATACAGGAGCACCCAGATTCATAAAGCAAGTCCTCAGTGACCTACAAAGAGACTTAGACTCCCACACATTAATAATGGGAGACTTTAACACCCCACTGTCAACATTAGACAGATCAACGAGACAGAAAGTCAACAAGGATACCCAGGAATTGAACTCAGCTCTGCACCAAGCAGACCTAATAGACATCTACAGAACTCTCCACCCCAAATCAACAGAATATACATTTTTTTCAGCACCACACCACACCTATTCCAAAATTGACCACATAGTTGGAAGTAAAGCTCTCCTCAGCAAATGTAAAAGAACAGAAATTATAACAAACTATCTCTCAGACCACAGTGCAATCAAACTAGAACTCAGGATTAAGAATCTCACTCAAAGCCGCTCAACTACATGGAAACTGAACAACCTGCTCCTGAATGACTACTGGGTACATAACGAAATGAAGGCAGAAATAAAGATGTTCTTTGAAACCAACGAGAACAAAGACACCACATACCAGAATCTCTGGGATGCATTCAAAGCAGTGTGTAGAGGGAAATTTATAGCACTAAATGCCCACAAGAGAAAGCAGGAAAGATCCAAAATTGACACCCTAACATCACAATTAAAAGAACTAGAAAAGCAAGAGCAAACACATTCAAAAGCTAGCAGAAGGCAAGAAATAACTAAAATCAGAGCAGAACTGAAGGAAATAGAGACACAAAAAACCCTTCAAAAAATCAATGAATCCAGGAGCTGGTTTTTTGAAAGAATCAACAAAATTGATAGACCGCTAGCAAGACTAATAAAGAAAAAAAGAGAGAAGAATCAAATAGACACAATAAAAAATGATAAAGGGGATATCACCACCGATGCCACAGAAATACAAACTACCATCAGAGAATACTACAAACACCTCTACGCAAATAAACTAGAAAATCTAGAAGAAATGGATACATTCCTCGACACATGCACTCTCCCAAGACTAAACCAGGAAGAAGTTGAATCTCTGAATAGACCAATAACAGGCTCTGAAATTGTGGCAATAATCAATAGTTTACCAACCAAAAAGAGTCCAGGACCAGATGGATTCACAGCCGAATTCTACCAGAGGTACAAGGAGGAACTGGTACCATTCCTTCTGAAACTATTCCAATCAATAGAAAAAGAGGGAATCCTCCCTAACTCATTTTATGAGGCCAGCATCATTCTGATACCAAAGCCGGGCAGAGACACAACCAAAAAAGAGAATTTTAGACCAATATCCTTGATGAACATTGATGCAAAAATCCTCAATAAAATACTGGCAAACCGAATCCAGCAGCACATCAAAAAGCTTATCCACCATGATCAAGTGGGCTTCATCCCTGGGATGCAAGGCTGGTTCAATATACGCAAATCAATAAATGTAATCCAGCATATAAACAGAGCCAAAGACAAAAACCACATGATTATCTCAATAGATGCAGAAAAAGCCTTTGACAAAATTCAACAACCCTTCATGCTAAAAACTCTCAATAAATTAGGTATTGATGGGACGTATTTCAAAATAATAAGAGCTATCTATGACAAACCCACAGCCAATATCATACTGAATGGGCAAAAACTGGAAGCATTCCCTTTGAAAACTGGCACAAGACAGGGATGCCCTCTCTCACCGCTCCTATTCAACATAGTGTTGGAAGTTCTGGCCAGGGCAATCAGGCAGGAGAAGGAAATAAAGGGTATTCAATTAGGAAAAGAGGAAGTCAAATTGTCCCTGTTTGCAGACGACATGATTGTTTATCTAGAAAACCCCATCGTCTCAGCCCAAAATCTCCTTAAGCTGATAAGCAACTTCAGCAAAGTCTCAGGATACAAAATCAATGTACAAAAATCACAAGCATTCTTATACACCAACAACAGACAAACAGAGAGCCAAATCATGGGTGAACTCCCATTCACAATTGCTTCAAAGAGAATAAAATACCTAGGAATCCAACTTACAAGGGATGTGAAGGACCTCTTCAAGGAGAACTACAAACCACTGCTCAACGAAATAAAGGAGGATACAAACAAATGGAAGAACATTCCATGCTCATGGGTAGGAAGAATCAATATCGTGAAAATGGCCATACTGCCCAAGGTAATTTACAGATTCAATGCCATCCCCATCAAGCTACCAATGACTTTCTTCACAGAATTGGAAAAAACTACTTTAAAGTTCATATGGAACCAAAAAAGAGCCCGCATTGCCAAGTCAATCCTAAGCCAAAAGAACAAAGCTGGAGGCATCACACTACCTGACTTCAAACTATACTACCTAGCTACAGTAACCAAAACAGCATGGTACTGGTACCAAAACAGAGATATAGATCAATGGAACAGAACAGAGCCCTCAGAAATAATGCCGCATATCTACAACTATCTGATCTTTGACAAACCTGAGAAAAACAAGCAATGGGGAAAGGATTCCCTATTTAATAAATGGTGCTGGGAAAACTGGCTAGCCATATGTAGAAAGCTGAAACTGGATCCCTTCCTTACACCTTATACAAAAATCAATTCAAGATGGATTAAAGATTTAAACGTTAAACCTAAAACCATAAAAACCCTAGAAGAAAACCTAGGCATTACCATTCAGGACATAGGCGTGGGCAAGGACTTCATGTCCAAAACACCAAAAGCAATGGCAACAAAAGACAAAATTGACAAATGGGATCTAATTAAACTAAAGAGTTTCTGCACAGCAAAAGAAACTACCATCAGAGTGAACAGGCAACCTACAACATGGGAGAAAATTTTCGCAACCTACTCATCTGACAAAGGGCTAATATCCAGAATCTACAATGAACTCAAACAAATTTACAAGAAAAAAACAAACAACCCCATCAAAAAGTGGGCGAAGGACATGAACAGACACTTCTCAAAAGAAGACATTTATGCAGCCAAAAAACACATGAAGAAATGCTCATCATCACTGGCCATCAGAGAAATGCAAATCAAAACCACTATGAGATATCATCTCACACCAGTTAGAATGGCAATCATTAAAAAGTCAGGAAACAACAGGTGCTGGAGAGGATGCGGAGAAATAGGAACACTTTTACACTGTTGGTGGGACTGTAAACTAGTTCAACCATTGTGGAAGTCAGTGTGGCGATTCCTCAGGGATCTAGAACTAGAAATACCATTTGACCCAGCCATCCCATTACTGGGTATATACCCAAATGAGTATAAATCATGCTGCTATAAAGACACATCCACACGTATGTTTATTGCAGCACTATTCACAATAGCAAAGACTTGGAACCAACCCAAATGTCCAACAATGATAGACTGGATTAAGAAAATGTGGCACATATACACCATGGAATACTATGCAGCCATAAAAAATGATGAGTTCATATCCTTTGTAGGGACATGGATGAAATTGGAAACCATCATTCTCAGTAAACTATCGCAAGAACAAAAAACCAAACACCGCATATTCTCACTCATAGGTGGGAATTGAACAATGAGATCACATGGACACAGGAAGGGGAATATCACACTCTGGGGACTGTGGTGGGGTCGGGGGAGGGGGGAGGGATAGCATTGGGAGATATACCTAATGCTAGATGACACATTAGTGGGTGCAGCGCACCAGCATGGCACATGTATACATATGTAACTAACCTGCACAATGTGCACATGTACCCTAAAACTTAGAGTATAATAAAAAAAAAAAAAAAAGACTTTCAACTTAAAAAAAAAAAAAAAAAAAAGAAAGAAAGCACACACATCACCGCACACACAGTACATCACACACAAAATACAAAGCACGCAACACAACACCACACACACCACACATCACACACATATCACACGTGCCACACCACGCACACATCACACACACCACACACAAAATACACCACACAGATCACAAACAAAACACGCCCCACATCACACACGACACACACCACAAATAACACATAAAACTCACACACCGTATATTGCACACAAACTGCACCCCGCACACCACACCACACACAAAATACACCACACACATACACCACACAGCACACACATACACCACACAGCACACACAAAACACATACACCACACATCACACACAAAATATACTACACACACCACACCACACATAAAACACACAAACCACACATCACATACACATCACACACATCACACTACCCCCAAAACACACACACACCGCACATCACACACACATCACACACAAAATACACCATACACACACACCACACCATACATACACACACACACCCCACATCACACACACACACCACAAACACACACCATCACATACACCACAGACACGCACTGAATGGGATAATATCCCACAGCCTAGACTTTATTGTGCATAATTGTGCAATGTTTTCGTTGTAAGTACATACTATGGTTTGGGTCTGTTTATAATTGTGTAATAAAGTTAGAGTCCTGCGTGCACTTTTCTGAGTCTCTCTCTTCTTACCCAACAGACAGTGTAACCCCGCTTGCTCCCAGGTGGCCACAAGAGCCCTGACATCCTCTCCCCATGGCTGGGGGACGCTCTGGGCCGGGGACGTTTCCTGCCTCTGCGAACTGTGCCTCCACAATGGTCCTCCTGCCCCGGCCTCCTGCAGGGCTGCGCTGATTTCTGAGGGATGGAGACTCAGGATGGGAAGGCGGGGCCAGTGTGCTGGGTACTGTTCACCCTCTGAGTCTCTGGCTTCTGCGTCCGTGATTCAACCAACCTCGGATAAAAAATAGTCAGGAAAAAATCAATAAAAATTAATAATACGGCAAAAAAAGTAACACAAGTTTTAACAATAACGTCTAACAACAATTTCCATAGCATTTATGTCCTATCAGGTCCTGTGAGTAAGCTGGAGATGACTCGAAGCTCACAGGAGGATGTGGCTGGGTGACATGCAAATACCACACCATTCTATAACGGCCACTTGGGCATCCTTGGATTTTGGCAATAGCAGGGGTCCTGAAACCAGGGCCCCCATGGATACCAAAGGATGACTGCATTTTAATTCAAATCTCTCTTTCCAAATGGCTTTCCAAAAAGCAGTTATAATTCACATTTCCAGCAATAATAAAAGAATGTTCTTTCCTTCGTATCTCTGGGAAAAGGTGTTACCTTTATATTTCTCTGTCTGAGAGGTGAAAATTGGTATCTCCTTATTAAAATAATTTGCATTTTCTGTCTACATGTAAATTTTATACAATTTTTGGCCATTTGGTAATTTTCTAGTAAGTGCCTATCCGTATGTTTTGCCTAATTTTCAAGTTATTTGTCTCTCTAAAAAATCAATTTGTATAAGCTCCTTGTACAGTGTGGCTGTTAACCCTGTAATTGCACCCTACGTTGTGAAATGCTTTCCTATCATTTTTACTTTTGACTCTGCTTCTGGCCTTTTTTGCTGGATGTTAGTTTAAAAGTAGTTACATATGCTTCTCTGTGTATGTATGTTTAATTAATAGCTTCCTAGTAGCTAATATTGATTTAAAACATTTGTGCAAACCACAGGCTATATGCATATTCATTTTCTTCTAAGATTTTGTTCTTTTCCTACCTTGTGATAATTAACATTTGATGTATCTATTTATTCTGAGTATGACATGACCAGAAATCCCATTTTCTTTCTTTCTTTTTCTTTCTTTCTTTCTTTCTTTTTCTTTTCTTTCTTTCTTTCTTTCTTTCTTTCATTCTTTCTTTCTTTCTTTCTTTCTTTTTCTTTCTTTCTTTCTCTCTCTCTCTCTCTCTTTCTTTTTCTTTCTTTCTCTCTCTCTCTCTCTCTCCTTCCTTCCTCCCTCCCTCCCTGCCTTCCTTCCTTTCTTTCTTCTTTTTTTTTTTTGAGACAGAGTCTTGCTCTGTCACCTGGGCTGGAGTACAATGGCGCGATCTCGGCTCACCGCAACTTCCACCTCCCGGGTTCCAGTGATTCTCCTGCCTCAGCCTCCTGAGCAGCTGGGATTACAGGCACCTGCCACTACACCCAGCTAATTTTTTGTATTTTTAGTAGAGATGGGGTTTCACTATGTTGGCTGGGTGGTCCTGAACTCCTGACCTTGTGATTCGCCCGCCTCGGCCTCCCAAAGTGCTGGGATTATAGGCGTGAGCCACCGCGCCCGGCCCAGAAGTCCCATTTTCTTTGCTTCTACCTGTCTAGGTGCTACGGTCAGCAGAGATGACTATGAAAAGCATGTTTTTTCCCAGAGTCAAAGCACCTTGGTTTTCATATACTCAGTTTCCATGCCTGCTGGGTCTCTTCTGGCCTCTCCGTTTAGGGCAGTTCCATCCATTCCTCTGCAATCGTTTTGATTACAACAGCTGGAATTTCTCTAGGGCAAGATCCATCTCAATTTTCTTTTTCATAGATTTCTTGATTACTTTAGACATATATTTTGTTACATGAATTTAAGATAATTTTAGCTAAATCAAACACACATACATGCATAGACGTTGGAATTCCATTTGGAATTACTTCAGAGTTTGCTGTTAATTTGTGGAGAATTGATATGTTTTCATAGGTTGTGCAAAAGTAACTGTAGTTTTGCTGTTACTTTTATTTTGTCTTTCCATCCAAGATCCAAATATTCCTTTGCAAACATTCAGATCTTGATTTCCACCTTCCAGCATTTCATGACTCTTCAATGGATTTTTTGCAGGCTCAGTCCCCAGGCCTGCCTCCAGCTCCCAGGCCCTCTTCTCTCCAGTGAGGGCTCATTCCTGTGCCGTGTTTACAGGGCAAGGCAGGTGCCACGGTGCCCCTTGGCCTGGCATCTGTCTTGGCACAGGCCAGCCTTTCCCTTGAGGTGACCCTTATTCCTGGCAGAGCCTGCCCATGGGAGACTTGGCTCATTTGCCCAAGCAGCCCTCACCCCTCTCTTTCAAGTCCCCACGGAACCGTGAGGCTGGGCTAGGCCTGTGCCCAGTGCTGGGGGCAAAGAGGTGGTAGACAGGTCCTTTCCTTCAAATAGTTGAACATTCAGGCAGGGACAAAGATGAAGAAATGGATGCTTCCACTGCATTTAATGCACATTTATGAAGTCACTTCTACAGGTCGGGCCTCGCCGGGGCACTGGGGACAGAAGTGAGTGACGTTGTTCTACTGAGCACGGTGAGCTGTGTCTGGGCACAGCCACGCAGTCAGTGATCTCAGCCTGGAGGCAAAGACAAGGAAACAGACCAGGAGGGCTGTGAGTCAGAGGCAGCTATAGGTGGTCCCAAGAGCATGGAGAGGAGGGTTCCAGAAACCTCCCTGTGAGAACATCAGGGGAAAGAGGGTTTGGAAGGGTTAATCAGGTGGAGGATACTGCTCCTGCAGGGTACAGCCTGGTGTAGTCCACCTGTGGGGGCATTTGCATCCCCACAGGGAAAGAAGAAACCAGCCTCAGAAGACATCTGGAAAAGGATTTAGACTACCAGCTTGACCCCAAATCATATCTGAGGACAGAGTTCTGGAATCTCAACTCAGGGGTCCTCTCTGCCAGCTGACCTGCGGGCTTTTCCTGTGAAGGGAAATCGGACACCCGCTGAGAGTGAGCAGGTGCACGTGGACCTGGGACCTCGTCTCTCCATCTCTGTGGAGGCCTCAACCGACCTCAGCACCAGGCCAAGGGAAGGGAGGCCCAACTGGGAGACAGCACATCCGCCTTCAGGCAGCACATGCGGTTCAGAGGGGCGGAGAAAAATGAGACGCAGAGAGCTCAGTCCACGTCCCCCACTGCCCTGTGCACAGACGGAGAGGCTATCAGCCGGGATTGATAATTAAGCCGTGCATCTGCCTCCTGAAAGATAAATTCCAGCATCACTGGGGTTTTCTATTTCACTTAACTAAAGCTGAGAACGAAGAAGGAACAATTAAATGCAACCCGAGGCAACCCAAAATATTATCCATCAAATGCATCACGTCCAATCCTCTCAGCACATTCATCAAATTGTCAGTTATCCCAAATACGGTTTCATCTTATTAATGCTAATTTCTTTCATGGAAAGACTGGCGATTTTACCTTTCAGTGGTTATCAGGGAGCTGGGAGAAATGCTTTGCATTTTAATTCAGCAGGTCGCCTTGTTTATCATCAGCTTATTTACAGCCAGCTGCTGATTTCCTAAATTCTCGGCTGTGGGATCCCTTTCCTGAGACTAGGCCAGGATGACAAGCCGTGAAGTGGCAGTCAGGGACAGTCAGCTCAAGATTGTTCTGCCCTCCCCTTCCCTGCCTTAGTGCAGAAACCTAGGGAACAGTTGGTTCTTTTTTGCATAGCACTCACGGCCCCAGGGAGGCACCTCCACTCCTGCAAAGCGTACCAGGTACGTGGGGCGATGGGGCAGAGTTGGGGCCAGAGTGCACGTAGCTTGGCCACCAGCCTCCCAGATGGCATGGGTGGGAGTCAGGACCAGTCGGGGCCACCCCCACACCCTCCCTCTGCCCGAAATAAACTCCTCCTTGCAGACGCTCAGGCTTCAGGCAGTTGGTTCTCAGTAACACATTTGGAAATGATTTGAAGAGTCAGAAATCAAGAGCCTCTTTGGCAGAAATGCACAATGAACGGCCAGTCAGCAGATCTGGAGGAAATATGGTCGATAAAGAGACAAATAATGGATGAACAGTGAGAGATGAAATAGATGCGAGTACCGGGAGGTAGGGCAGGACGAGGAGCGGAGGCGTGTTTATGTTTTCGTGCCACTAAATAGTTTCCAGTGATCATCACATCAAAACGTTAACACGTTTACCATGGGTTGATTGTCTCTTCTTCACTCTACAAGCTCCGTGGAGACACGCTCCTTACATTCCCGTGATTTATGCTACACCCGTGTCATACTCTCTCCGGCCGAGACATGTGCTCCAGCGTGAGCCTCAGGTCTTAACCAGGTCTGACGAAGACCCGCTCCGTGATTGGCCTGGGTTGGACTGGTGTGGGAAGGGCAAACAACGCTTGTGACCAGAGATGACTGCAGCTTAAAGGGCAAGGGTGCCAGGTCCCAGGTGCTCAGGTGGACCCCTGGCAGCAGGGACATAAAAGCTAGTCCTGCTGTTTAATGGTTAGCAGGTGCCAAGCAGGCACAGCTGCAAAGAGCCAGTGAGCCTGTATCTAGAGGTCCGTGGACAACCTGAGATTGAAGGTTATATTGTCTGATGAACAGAACAGGAGAAAGTCACTTTCCATTGGGAAAAGCACAAGAAAAGAGTTGTAAGAAACCAGGAGAAAGAAGGAAAGACACATTGGGCTGAGAATGAAGCTAAACAAATTGTTCAACACATTGTAGAGCTGGGAGGGTTTCCATCTTTTCAGAAAAAGAAGTCTTGATTTTTTTCCAGGGTGAGTGAATTTTAACATTTATTTGGTATTTTATATTGTTATAAATTGATGGATCATTGCATATCATTAATAAAATCAATGTATATGCATTTTCTATTTCATTCTTCTTTCTTCTTGTAAACTATTTCAAACATAAAAAATAGAGAACAGTGTACACTCTTCACTTACTATTTTTTAATAAAATTTCAAAATTGTCCATACTTGTTTCTGATTTCTTTTTGAAAAATAAACTTCCGTACAAGTGAAAACCCTCCCGCCCCTCCAGCATTTCAGATGCTCCCCTCCCCATAGGTAACCATGGGGCAGGGCCTGGCTTCTGCCCAAGCCATTACCCCTTCCTCTTCAGCAACAAAACCTGGAGTTTACTCTGAGCAAAAGCACTCTCCACTCACAGAGCATTGGCTCAGTCACCCTTGCAGCCAGGTTTGGCCTTGAGAGATGGAGATGTAAGCCACCCTGTGGGGATTTTGGGGAATGCTCCTGAAAGCGAAACGAGCATCCTTTCATCCTCTTTCACTTCCTTCAGCTATTGGCCTGGAATAGAGCTGAGATTGCAGGAATGCCAGCAGCCACCCTGGAACATGAGGTAACCGTGAGAACAGCAGTTGTTCAGAAAGGATGCAGCATGGGAAAGCAGCAGAAAGGGGGGAAGCTCACAGTTCTCACATCGCCACAGAGCCACACACCAGCCCAGGTTTAGACCTCATTTTTTTTTTTGAGACTGATTTTTACTCTTGTTGCCCACACTGGAGTGCAGCGATCTCAGCTCGCTGCAACCTCCACCTCCTGGGTTCAAGCAATTCTCCATGCCGCAGCCTCCCCAGTAGCTGGGATTACAGGCAAGTGCCACCATGCCTGGCTAATTTTTGTATTTTTAGTAGAGACAGGGTTTTGCCACATTGGCCAGGCTGGTCTCAAACTCCTGACCTCAGGTGATCCACCCACCTCAGCCTCCCAAAGTGCTAGGATTACAGGCATGAGCCACCACACCTGGCCTAGACCTCATAATTTTATGAGAACAAAGTCATTTGCCGTTTTGTTTTACTTGCTTTTACATAAGCTTCTTCTGTGCCATGCCATTGAGGCTACTCCTAACGGCAGTGGCCACTCTCCCAAATCAGGTTCCCATCAAACTTTCCCACCTTTCATATCAGCCTTCCATGTGGACATATGTCCCTGCACAGCACTTAATACCATCCTTCACATTTTACACTTTATAAAGTCGTGTTTTGTAGGACAAATCATTCTGTGCCTTCTCGTTCAACATGGCTTTCGAAGCTTACCCGTGTTAATAGACTCAGCTCTTCCTAATTCATTTTCACTAGTAATATTCTCAACTCATACTGATGAACATTTAGGTCATTTCAAAACCTTCTGTGTCATTAAAAGCCATGCTTCGTTTGACATTCTTTCCGGCTTTTTCTTTCTGTGCCTGGCCAAAACCTTCGTTTAAGGCTAGGAGAAAGATTCCTAGGTCACAGGACACATGCCTTTATTTGCAGGAGCTCTTGTGAATGGCTGACTTCCTGGTCCCTGTCCCCCAGCAGTGATCCCCATGGCGATCCCCTGTGTCTCTTGTGTCCCCACGGTGTCCATCCTCACCAGCCTTGCTGTGCTCAGCTGTTTAAGATTTTGATAACTGGATGCATGTGATTGTATATGATATTGCCTGAATGTTTATTTTTCCTGATTACTATTATGTTCAGAATTGTTAACCTGTCATTGGTCATGACTTTTGCCCCTTTCTGTGAAATGTTTGTTCATATCTTTTGTGTAGACTTTTGTTAAGTTGCTTGTCTTTATTATACTTCCTTGTAGGGGTTTTAAAATATACCCGGAATATCACAGCATTATCCATCCATGCATTGCAAGATCTTCTGCAGGTCTTCAGCTCGTCTTTTCAGCCTTTATGATGGCTTTTATTTCACAGAAATTTAAAATTTAATGTGGTTGAATTAATCAATCATTTCCTTTATGACCTGGGCTTTTGGGTCTTGCTGAAGACATCTTTTCTAACTCAAGGTCATAAAGATATAATCCCATATTTTATTCAAAGTGCCTTAAAATTTTACTTTTAAAAAACTAGTCTTCAACTCACTTGGGATTTACCTTCCTATTTGGTGTAAGTTAGAGATCAATCTGAGTGTTTTTCTATTTGAAAAACCAATGGTCCCAGCACCATTTACTGCAGCCCGGCCCGTTCTTCCCCTGGGCTCTGGGATGTGCCCCTCTCCTGCTTGATTATTTTATGTGTCATGGCTTCACTTTCATGCTTCCTGTCCTTAAGGCTTCT
This sequence comes from Homo sapiens, assembly GCF_000001405.40. Taxonomy (NCBI): domain Eukaryota; kingdom Metazoa; phylum Chordata; class Mammalia; order Primates; family Hominidae; genus Homo; species Homo sapiens. Next base: position 48,977,863 of record NC_000022.11, on the reverse strand, counting down.
CGTCATCCTTCAGTGGTGGTTTGTACTTTCTTTTTCCCAAAAAGGATGTCGCGTATCTTCTTTCATATCTTGCGTGGGGAGCTAACAGATCCTTGCCACAGGAAAGGGGGTTTCTCTGCTGCATTTTCCCACTGGGCATCACGGGTGTCGAGAGCTATTAAAATGGATTAAAATGGGGACAGGCCTGAGGAAGCCTGAGTGGACAAAGCCAGGCAGACCTCATGAGTGACCTCAGCCTTGCTTGATTTGAAAACGTGAGCGAAGCTTCACTAAGCTCTTCCTTGTAAATGCCTGCATTAAAGAAAAACAGGAGGGAACAGACGCCGGTGTCCATGGTGGAAGGGCAGGGGCTGCCTCCCACCTCCCTGACTCCCCCTTTCTCTGAGTCCTGGGTCTGCATCCCATGTTGGACCCGAGGTCTCTCCAGCACCAGAACACATTCTCAGCGCACCCACTTCCAGTGCTGAAGCAGAGGCTTGGACAGGTGGCTGTGACCTGCGCCCACCTTCAAGGGTCCCTGGGGGCTGCCCGGTGCTCTGGCAGGCGCCACAGTGTCCCACTCGTAGATGTGATTTAGCAGAGGGTGAACATTGCTGCACCAAGAGAGGATGGCCTGTGGCTGGAGAGGAAGACTCCATCACCACACAGGGGAGGCAGCTCCGGAGCATGTGGGAGGCTCCCGGGCTGCCACTGTGTCAACACTCCCTGCTGGAGGGAACAGGGCACACAGATCATGGAGCAGAGAAACACACCTGACCTGCTGCCTGAAAGAAGGCCTTGTCACAGGCTGGAGTGTCAGCTTCTTCCCTGCCCTGGGTGTATGTGCTTGAACAAGGCCACTTAGTCCTCACAGGCCAGGGTTTCAGCATCTGTAGGACACAGTGACGCCTGCCCCTGGCAGGAGGTGAAACGAAGGGGCTGGATGAGGCCACCCACCAGAGAGGCTGGCCCTGTCCAGTGCCATCCGAGCCACCCGACAGTCGGGATCCCCAGCGACAGACCTCCAATGCCCCACCAGACTCCGGGGTCCCACTTTACTGCCTTGGATTTCCCCTTCAGCTCTGCCTCCTCCAGATCTCCCTCAGCCATCTTCCCACGGACTCCCCTCACCCATCGGACCCAGGAGAGGACCTCACTGCCGCTGGGATTCTCACTTCCAGAGCCTCGTCCCAGGCATCTGTGCTGGATCTCCCAGCTAAACTCCTACCACCTGCTCTGGTTGGGACTTTTCTGGAGAAGCCTGATGTGGGGTGAGCAGGGAAACGGGGGCTTCTCCCCTAGCCTCTCCCAGAGCTGCCCCTCTCCCCAGGAACAAGCGGGTGTAACCCCAACATATACGGTCTCCCTGCAGCAGCTTCTAACTCATCATGTTGTGTACTCTTTTTTCCAAATTGTCCTAATTATTTTCCTAATTATAAAAACCAGCTTTTGGGAGGTTCCCAAGAGAGTTTACAAGTGTGCCTGGTTTTCCTGGGTTGAGGCACGTGGAGGCCCTCAACTCTCAAGGTTGCAGCCTGAATGTGAATTCTCAGAGGGGTTAAGAATGAAATTGCAGTCTTGCTAAAATGGCAGGAAATCCAGTCTTTTCCTGTTTCTCTTTCTTCTTCTTCTTCTTTTTTTAATATTTAGGGAGGGAAAATATCCATGTGCTTTGAGCATATGTTCTTCCTACTGTCCCCGTGGAAGGGCAGGGGGAAGTACTTAAAATAATAGTCCTCACTCTTTTCTAATCATGGGAAATTAACCTACTGGGGAAAATGAAATTTGAATTTCCTGAAGAAGCATCTCAAATGCTGACAATCTGCCAATTTTGTGAGCGTGAGGACCTCTGGGGATGAGAGGAAGGTTTGATGGAGCCCCTCAGTGCTGTGTCTTCATAAAAGGGTCTGACTTGTTCTAATTGGTTTGCTCAATAAAATAAGCAATTTTATGCTTTCTCTCAAAATATGTTTCAGACATTTAGTCTGAACGCTAAGATGTAATAGGCCTGGCTATCAATGTGTACATATTGGCTCTTGTAAAGACAATAATGAGATTTAGCTGGTAGGATATTAAGGGTAAATTACTTGCCATCAAGTTCACTGAGCAGCTTGGGACGAAAAGCTACCACAGCCCAGGTCCCGAGGCCTTAGATGCTCCTCACCTGGGGGCTCAGCTCGTGGGGGCCACACCTTGCTGGAGGCGGAGGGAACGTTCAAAAGAGGAGTCCGGGCCTGGATCCCGGGCTGGGGACACAGACTCGCACAGCCTCTGTGGGGATCCCGGGCAGGCTCTGATGTTGCCCAGAGAGAGAGACGGATGGTCTGAGTGGGGCAGAGGAAGAGTTTCTCACTTGAAGATGAGAAGGAGGAAGTGAGTGCTGCAGGCTGCCTGCATGGCCGGGGGTGCATTCCAGGAGGGGCAGTGTTGCCTTGGCAATAGGGCTATCCCTGTGAGCATGGCTTGGGCAAGATGGACTGAGGAGCCGACCTTGGCACAGACGTGGAGCCTGGAAGCTGGGGGGACACGTGGCGAGGGGGTGGGACCCAGATCACAGAGGCTGCCTGACATTATCGCTCGCAGCCTTCCACCCGGGGGGCTCCTCAGACCATAGGTCGGCAGAGGGTGACCAGTCTCTGCACCAGCCACCAGCGACAGAGCAAGGGGGTTCCAGCAGCTTCTGCACAGCCCCTGGCTGGACCAAGGTGCCAGGGCCTCTCTTGGTAGGCCCCTCATGGGCTGCAGGTGGCCTGGGACATTTTTTGTTCAGGGCGTGAACCCTTATCTTGAGCCTTTGTCACCAACCACTGGCCACACATTCAGGATGCTTGCCTGGGGCTTAGAATATGCCTGACAGCAAGTGCCACACCCAGGGGACCCTTTGTCTCTGGGCAGCCGCAAGAGGGGGTGTTTCCTGACCAGGGAAGCTGGAAGGGGGCCGCTCAGCCACTGGAGCCTTGGGCTGAGGCCCTGCTGGGGTGGGGCCCCTGCAGGAGGAATTATGCAAAAAGACAAAAAGAGGCCCTGGCCCTGTGTATACAATGAGGATCATTCTGAGACCCACAACTCTGTGAAGGAGCTGTTGGGAGGAGCGCAGCCCTGGGCAGGGGCCTCAGCCAGAAGGGTCAGGAGGGACCCAGAGAACGCTGGGTCAGGGGTCAAGGTGATGGGGGTGAAGCCGACTCAGGGTCAGGCTCCCAGCCCTGGAGGAGTGGAATGAGGGCAGGGTTCTGGGCAGGAGGCCTGCAACGTGGGGCCTGCACCCTGACCTGGACAGTGTCCCCTCACCTGTCTGTCCTCTCCTCCCTGAGCCCCCTCACCTGTCTGTCCTCCCCTCCCTGGGCTGCACTCTCCTGGTGGCTGTCATTTGCCCACAGCTGGCTCCCCACATGTCCTCCCTGGCTTCCAGACCTAGAGCATGAGCTGCCTCAGAGACGCTTCTATTGGTTTCAAGAAGGAGTTAGTGAAGGAGCAGAGGCACCTGGATCGTCAGGTAACACTGTCATCCCCAGCAAATCAACAACCTCCACAGCATGCGGTGAACAGTAAAATAAAACTGTGGAGCCCAAAACAGCTCAAAGGAACTCCTGCGTTCAGAGGCAGGTCACCCAAGCCTCCCTGCGAACTTGGTGGAAGCAACTCCCCTAAAACCGCGTCTTCCTCCCAGCCAGGTGGGCAGCTCACCCGTGTGCTCCTCGGGGTGGTTTTTTTTCCTTGAGATGAGAATTATTTGACTGTCAAGTTTTAATTTACTTTTCTGTGGGGGAGAATCCCGTGGTTGTTTGTGTGCAATGAGTACATGATTTTCCTTGCAGCACGTTTACAGCTGCAAATGTCTTCCAAATGTTTTAGGCAGAAAGGAGCATCCCAGCTCAGGAGCTGCAGGGCCGGGGTGGAGGGCAGGAGAGTGGAGGCACAGCGGGATCCACAAGATTGCTGGATGCTGGAGATGTGGAGCTGCTCCAGGACCCACGTGCCAACTGCTGGAAGAGCAGTAGGAGGGAGGGTGAGGAAGAGCAGGGAAGGTATCCCACTCCCTTTGGTAAAGCCGTCCCCACTCTGCTCCTGCTGGGCACGACTCAGCTCCTGGGGAGGCCCTGGTGCTGGGAGAGCCCCCTCAGCATGTCTGCCCCGGGGGTGCAAGTCGATGGGACGGCCAAGAGAGGCTGCAGAGGTCTGTCCACAGAGGCTTCCAATACACCAGCTGCCAACTGTGGATAGGACCCAGCACAGCTAGAGAGAGGGCCTCTGTGAGCCACTGAACACCTTTTAGCTAAGAACAGAGAGAAACTTGCATCTGAATAGAATCTCCTGCCACGCAAAGATGGGTTCAGCAATGAGACCATCAGCCCAGGAGGCAGCAAGACCCCAGAGTGTTGGAAAGTGAGTTGAAACCAAGCGCCAGCCCCCGGGCAGGTGCTTCGAAGGTAGTAAGTCCTGTGAGATGTTCTGTTCCTGGGGCTTGTCCTGGCCGCACAGCCCCCGGGCAGGTGCTTCAGAGGTCATAAGTCCTGTGAGATGTTCTGTTCCTGGGGCTTGTCCTGGCCACACAGCCCCCGGGAAGGTGCTTCGAAGGTCATAAGTCCTGTGAGATGTTCTGTTCCCTGGGCACAATTGTCCTGTGGCATCCCACTGCCTCCCTTGCCCAGGTACCCATCTCCCTGGCCAGCCCCATGAGATCCAGGTTCGAGTCAGGCACCTGGGGCAGGGACAGGGGAGGCTCACCAGGCCAGGAATCCCACACCCACCTGCTCAGTGGCTACTGGTCTCGCAAGGCTTTCAGGGGTGGTAGGTCCTGTCCGGGCTTTCCCCACAAAGACAGACAAGCTGGAGGAGATGCCATGGCCTGTGAGGGGGCAGGTGATACTGCTGGTTTAATCAAAACAAGAATCTTCTCGGTTATCAGTAAAAATACGCATACATTTAACTTTAATGTTCTTGCTTTGGTGAACACTGGATATTCACAGGCTATAAAAATGGTTAACAGGAAAACAACTTGGAATGATGGTTGGCTTTGCCTATTGCCATGTTCTTATGAGTAATCTAGATAAACTGCAACAAAAGAATAAATTGAGTAAACATAAGTGAAACAAATGTTTGTAGGTAAAACATCTGTGTAGCTTAAAATATTTTCTGCTGATTTTTTAAAATTGATTTTTATTTTGATAAGTTTTAGGGGGAACAAGTGGTGTTTGGTTACTTGGATGTGTCCTTTAGTGGTGGTTTCTGAGATTCTGGTCCACGTATCACCCAGGCAGTGGACGCTGTACTCAATGTGTAGTGTTTTATCCCTCACCCCGCTCCCACCCTTTCCCTCGAGTCCCCAAAGTCCATTGTATCATTCTTAGGCCTTTGTGTCCTAATAGCTTAGCTCCCACTTATGAGTGAGAATTTATGATGTTTGATTTTTCCATTCTTGAGTTACTTCACTTAGAATAATAGCCTCCAATTCCCTGCAGGTTGCTGAGAATGCCGTTAATTCATTCCTTTTTATGGCTGAGTAGCATGTCATGGTATGTGTATATACACCATGGTGTGTGTGTGTGTGTGTATATATACACATATATATACACACACATATATAATAATATATATTTTATATAATATATATAATATGTATATTATGTATAATATATATTATGTATTATATATATTATATATAATACATATCTAATATATATTAGATCTAATATATAATATATAATATATATATTAGATATTAGATATTAGATCTAATATATAATATATAATATATATTAGATCTAATATCTAATATATACTATATATTAGATCTAATATATACTATATATTAGATATAATAAAATGTAATATATATAATATGTAATATATATACCACATTTTCTTTATACACTTGTTGATGGATGGGCATTTGGGCTGGTTCCATATTTTTGCAATTGTGAATTGTGTTGCTATAAACATGTGGGGCAAGTATGACTTCTTATCCTTTGGGTAAATGCCCAGTAGTGGGATTGCTGAATCAAAGGGTAGATCTACTTTTAGTTTTTAAAGGAATCTCCACACTGTTTTCCACAGTGATTGTGCTAGTTTACATCCCCACCAGCAGTGTAAAAGTTTTCCTCTTTCACCACATCCATGCCAACATCTCTTTTGCTTTTTGATGTTTTGATTATGGCCATTCTTTCAGGAGTAAGGTGGTATTACATTGTGGTTTTGATTTGTATTTCCCTGATAATTAGTGATGTTGAGCATTTTTTCATGTTTGCCATTTGTGTATCTTCTTTTGAGAATTGTCTATTCACGTCCTTAGCCCACTTTTTGATGAGATTGTTTTTTTTCGTGCTGATTGGTTTGAGTTTCTTGTAGATTCGGGATATTAGTTCTTTGTTGGATGAACAGTATGAGAAGATTTTCTCCCACTCTGTGGGTTGTCTATTTACCCTGTTGATTATTTCTTTTGCTGTGCAGAAGCTTTTTAGTTTAATTAAGTCCCATCTATGTATCTCTGTTTTTGTTGCATTTGCTTTTGGGTTCTTGGTCATGAAGTCTTTGTCTAAGCCAATTCTAAAAGAGTTTTTCTGATGTTATCCTCTAGGATTTTTACAGTTTCTGGTCTTAGATTTAAGTGTTTGATCCATCTTGAGTTGATTTTTGTATAAGGTGAGAGATGAGGATCTAATTTCATTCTTCTATATGTGGCTTGCCAATTATCCCAGCACCATTTGTTGAACAAGGTGTACTTTCCCCACTTTGTGTTTTTGTTTGCTTTGTCAAAGATCAATTGGCTGTAAGTATTTGGCTTTATTTCTGGGTTCTCTATTCTGTTCCATTTGTCTATGTGCCTATTTTCATACCAGTACCATGCTGCTTAGGTGACCATAGCCTTATAATATAGTTTGAAGTCAGCTAATGTGATGACTCCAGATTTGTTCTTTTTGCTTAGTCTTGCTTTGGCTATGTGTGCTCTTTTTTGGTTCCATATGAATTTTAAGATTGTTTTTTCTAGCTCTGTGAAGAATGATCATGGTATTTTAATGGGAATTGCATTGAATTTGTAGACTGCTTTTGGCAGTATGGTCATTTTCACAATATTGATTCTACCTATCCATGAGCATGGGATTTGTCTGTATCATCTGTGATTTCTTTCAATAGTGTTTTGTAGTTTTCCTTACAGAGGTCTTTCACCTCCTTAGTTAGGTATATTCCTATATATTTTATTTTTTTGCAGTTGTTATAAAAGCAGTTGAGTTCTTGACTTGATTATCAGCTTGTTGCTGTTGGTGTATAGCAGTGCTACTGATCTGTGTACGTTAGTTTTGTATCCTGCAACTTTACTGAATTCACTTGCCAGTTCTAGGAGCTTTTTGGATGAGTCTTTAGGATTTTTTAGGTATATAATCATAATGACAGTTTGACTTCCCCTTTTCTGATTTGGTCGCCCTTTATTTCTTTCTCTTGTCTGATTATATAGCTTAAAATCTTAAAATTATTTCAGGTACTCATTGAATGTCTGGGTCATTTCCAATTTAAGAAGGGTTATAATGTGTCTGGAATCTTTGGCAGACCTCAGTGAGCTGGATGAAAGCAAGGACCAGGTCCAGAAAGTAATCAAGGAACAAAAAGAGGATGGGCCACATGGGTGGCTGTACACTTGCCCCAGCCCAGGCAGACAGTGAATGTGAGACAATACTCCTGCTGGGGGACACTCTGAAACTACCCAAACAATTCAGGAATTACATGAAGTACAAATAGGCCTCCCACAGCCCCCACAACAGCCCTGTGTGGCCTGCAAAGAAGCCAGATGGCTCCTGGAGAATGAATGTGGACTACCATGTGCTGAACAAGGTGACACCACCTTACATGCAGCTGTGCCCAATATCCTCAACTGCTGGGACAAGAGCTCTTTAATCTGGGAGGTGTCCCTGCTGTGATTGACTTGGCTATTGCATCCTCCAGTATCCTTTAGCAGAAGATGCAAAGGACCAGTTTGCCTTCACTCAGGAGGACCTTCCAGGTGCTACCACAAGGAACCTGCACAGCCCCATCAGTCACCGTCTGGTTGCACAGGACCTGTCTAAACTCTTGGCCTGCCTAAGTCTCCTGGTTTCACCAGATAAATGATAACATGCTAACCTCAGAGTATCTTACCAATTTGGAGACTACCCTAGAAACCGTCTTGGATGGCCTAAAGGACAGGAGACGGAAAATCAATCCCAAAAAGATACAGGGGCCTGGCATAGCCGTCAAACTTCTGAGAGTTACCTGGTCGGGTAAGGTGCAAAACAGACCCAGAGCTCTTATCAGTAAGCTAGCACAGTGGCCTATTCCCCAGACAACAAAGCAACTCCAGGTTTCCCTAGGCTTACTGGGCTGCTGGAGAATACTGATTCTTCACATGGCCCAAACCCTCTACCCATTATACACCCTAATAAGGAAAAAAAAAATGGGCATGAGCACACATGGTCTGAGAGGCGCCTGACAAATCAAGAATGTTTGTGAGATGAGCCCAGGCACTCAGGGCCCCACGGCCATAGCACCCTTTTGTATTAGAAGCCACTAGAGATGTTATGGGGATGAGCTGGGGTTTATGATCAAAGCCACCAACCCGAATGGTACCTGCAGGGTTTCAGTCTCAATTATGGATAGGGGCAGAATCCCATGACCACATCCTGGAGAAACAGGTACTGGCCATGTATCAGGTACTGCAGCAAATTGGAGGCTGTCTCCAGAAAGCTACCATCACTGTGAAGACTGCCTACCCATAAAAGAGTGGGCAGGAGGCCTCCTGGCCAAGCTTACCTTCATGGTGGCACAATCACACACCCTAGAGTGATGGCACACATTTGTCAACAACAGAGGGGTGTCTTGTCCACTAGTGCTTTGTCTGCCACTACGAGAGGTGCTCAGACCCATCCACTTTGAACAAGAGGAGGGGGCCGACATGGCAGTGGAACCACTTACTAAGCCAGCCACCATATATGAGGGGACCCTGCTGATACTGCTAGGACCTTACACTGGTGGGTCTAGCAAAAGCACCCAACCCTAATACTCAGCAACTGCGGTGCAACTAGACACCAACACCATACGGATAGGATGGGGATCAGGACAGTGCAGTCTATGGCTGAGCTTCGGGCAGTTTGGATGTGTGTCACCCACGAGCCCTGGCCACCAGCCTCTTCTACAGGTAGTTGAGCCTTTTCCATGTGGATCAACCAAGGGACCATAGACAGTGGGCACGTTTGGAGCAGGCCCCTTTGGGAATGTCCAGGTGGCAGGAAGTCCACATCAGGTTACAAGAGAAGGATGCCTGCCTTACAGGGCATCTCTGGGATGCACACAGCTCCAAGTTGCCTCTGGGAAGTCAGGAGGCAGACGACTTTAGTCAGGTTCCAGCAGTTTACCCACGCCCTTTGGAGGAGGCTGTCATATGGGTACACATCCTAAGAGTGGCCACTGGGGGCCAGTCGTGAGGTGGGCCATTGTCAAGGCACGGGTATACCTGTCTCTGCAGGTGTTCTGGCAGCATTCAGAACTGAGACCTGTTCATGACTGTGACCTAGAAAGGTTCCCTCCACACCAGGTCCCATACCACCTGTGTTGGACTGGCAAGTCGGTTATATGGGCCCCCCGCCCCAGAGTGCAGGGAAAAGGTATTCCTCAACCCATGTGGACACAATTTCTTTTTATTGCTGAGTGTTTTTTCATGACATGGATGTACTGCAGTTGGTTTAATCATTACCCCCACTGAAGGGCGCCTGGGTTGTGCCCACTGTTTGGTTGTTATAAATAAAGCGGCCATGCCTATTGAGTGTACATTTCTACATGCCACATGCTTATAGGTCTAATTGCTGGAGTGTTTGGTCATTGCATATTTAGTGTTTAAGAAATCACCACGCCAGCCATACACGAGCGATCGCCCGCCTGTGGTGTCAGGACTTTGTTAATTGAGCTATTCTGGTAGGCGTCAAGTGATATCTCACTGTGGTTGTAATTTGTATTTCCTTCATGGCTAATGATATTGAACATCTTTTCATCAATGCTTATTTGCCATTTGTAAGTGCTTTTCAGTGAAACTTTTGTTCATGTCTTGTGCCCATTTTCTAATGGAATCATCTGTTGCTTATGTTAGATTTTGAGAGTTCCTTATATATTGTAGATACTAGGGTTTTTTCACATAGGTAGCTCGCAAATATTTTCTGCATGTAGCTTGTAGTTCATAGCTCATCTTTTCATCTCCTTCACATAGATTCTCAAGGAGGAAAAACTTTAATTCTCATGAGGTCCAATTTACCAATTGTTTCTTTGTAGATAGTGCGTTTTAATGTCGAGTCTGAGGAATTGCCTAGATATAGATCCTGAAGATTTTCTACCTTTTTTTTTTTTTCAAATTTTCTAGAAGAGTTATACTTTGATCATTTACACTTAAACCTCTAATCCATTTTGAGTTAATTTTGGAAGGTTTGAGTTTTAAGTGGAGATTTGTTATTTTTGCATATGATGTGCATTTGCTCAAGAACCGTTGGTGGAAACGCTGTCCTACCTCAACTGAATTTCTCTTGCGCCTTGGTCAAAAATCATCCCAGCATACTCGTATGGGTCTCTTTCTTCGCTCCTTTTTTATTCTGTTGATCTGTATGTTGCTAATATGATATAGTTTTATTTACTGAAGCTATATAGTAAGCCACAATATTGCTTCTATTAGTCTTTGTCAATATTGTCTTAGCTATTCTAGGGCCTGAGCCTTTCCATATAAATTGAAGAATTTCAATTTATATGAAAATGTCTATGTACAAAAGACACTTTATGGAATTTTGATAGAAATTGAATTAAACCTAAAGATCAATTGGGGGCTCATGGGAATTAACATATTTACTAGAGGAAGTATTCCAATTCATGCATATAGTATATCTCTTCATTTATTTAGGCCTTCTTTGAATACTTTCATCAGCACTTTATAGAATTTTCAGCATATAGATCCTGTTTGGTGTATATCAAAGTGTAATATTTCATTTTCTTTTGAGTGATTACAAATGGCATTGTGGTTTTTAGATTTCAGTTTGCTCATGCTCTTTGTTAGTATATAGATTTGCAGATACTTTTTGTGTTGATCTTGTATCCTACCACTTTGACAAACTCATTAGTTCTAGGAATTTATGTGAGAATTTCTTGGGATTTTCTATTTAGAGGCAATCGTGTCATCTGTAAGTAGATATACTTTTATTTCCAATCTGTATTTGTTTTCTTTCTTTTTTCTTGCCTTATTTCAGTGGTTAGAACTTTCAATACTATGTTGAATAGAAGTGGTGAGAGTGCCAGATACTTGGGAGGCTGAGGCAGAAGAGTTGCTTAAACCTGGGAGGCAGAGGTTGCAGTGAGCCAAGATTGGGCCACTGCACTCCAGCCTGGGCAATAGAGCAAGACTCCACCTCAAAAAGAAAAAGTAGTGAGAGTGGGCATCTTTGCTTTGTTCTCCATCTTAGAGAAAACAGATCCCATCTTTCGTCATTGAATACAATACTAGCTATCAGCTTTTTGTACATGCTCTTTATCAAGAAGTAATCTCTCTCACTATTCCTAACTTGCTGAGTTTTTCTTATAAATGGGTATTGTATTTTGCCAAATGCTTTAACTGCATCAATTGATTTAATCATGTGATCTTTTTCAATAGCTTGTTAATATGTTGGATTATATCAATTGATTTTCAGATGTCTCATACCCGGAATAAATTATACTTGGTCATAATGTAAAACTATATTTATATGTTTTTAAATTCAATTTGCTGTTTTGTTGAGTATTTTACATCTATGTTTATAAGATATGTTGCCCCATGGTTTTCTTTTTCTTTTTTTCTTTTTTGGAGGGGGAAGGTAAGAAGGTAATCCTGACCTCATGTTGTTTTGGGAAGTATACCCTTTTTGGCTATTTTCTGGAAGATATTGTGTAAAATTAGCATTAATTTTTCAAGTCCTTGGTAAAATTCTCCTGTGAAACTGTTTAAGCCTGAATATTTTGTTTTTGAAGATTTTCTATTACAAATTCAATTTATTTAATTATTATAGGACTAGTTTGACTATTTCATCTGATTGAATTCTGGTAGTTTAAAGTTTTTAAAACTTAGTCTTCTACATTGTCCATTGTATGAGAATTAAATTGTTTGTAGTATTTCTGAATTACATTTTTAAAAGCTACAGGATCTGTGGTGATATGCTCATTGCACTTATGATATTAGTAATATTTTCTTCACTCCTTTTTTGTCAATTCTAGTAGAACATTATCAATTGATTGACTTTTTAAAAGAAACAACTTTTTGTTTTATAGATTTTGTCTGATGTTTTTCCATTTTCAATTTAATGGATGTTTGCTCTTTACTTGATTATTTCTTTCCTTCTGCTTGTTTTGGGTTTATTTTGCTCTTTATTTTCCCTAGGTCCTTGAGGTGAAAACTTAGATTACTGATTTGAGAGCTTTTATCATTTCTTATGTAAGCATTTAGTATTATAAATATCATTCTCAGCACTAATTCAATAGCATCCCACAAATTTTGGTATTGTATTTTGTTTTGAAATGATACAAAACAAACTCTCTCTCTCTCTCTCTCTCTCTATATATATATATACACGTATACACATAGATATTTATATATGTGTATATATAAATATATATGTATATACATGTATATATACATATCTGTATATCTGTATATACACATGTATATATACATATCTGTATATCTGTGTATACACATGTATATATGTATATATACATATACACAGATATGTATACGTATATACATATACGTATATGTGTATATGTATGTATATGTATATAAAACATTTGAAACTTCCTCTTTAACCTATGATCTATTTAAAAATATGTTGTTTAATTTCCATGTGTTTACAGTGTTTTTATTATTTTTTTTATTTCTAGGTATTTTTGTTATTTCTAGTTTGACACCTTCATGGTCAGAGAACACAGTCTGTATGATATTAATACTTCTAAATTTTTTGAGGTTTATGACCCAAGATATGCCCTATCTTGGTGCATGTTCCTTGAGTACTTGAAAAATAATGCATGTTCTGTAGTCATTGTATAGTGTTCTGTGTATGTTAATTAGATCCTGCATTTTGATTATATATTTCAGCTTTTCTATAACCTTGTTGATTTTCATACAGCTCTCTCAGTTGCTGAGAGGACAATAGTAAAGCCCCCCAACTATATTTATGAATTGATCTTTTCTCTTTTAAGCTCCATCAGTTTTTGTTTTATGTATTTTGAGGCTTTATTGTTGGTTGTGCACACATTTAGGATTAGCATGTCTTATAAGAGATTGATCCTTTATCATTATATAAGGTCTCTCACTGTCTCTAGTAATTCTCTTGGCATTGAGTGTATTTTATCAGATATTAACATAGCCATTACTTTTTAATTTTGTATTAATGACTGTATAGTGTATGGCATATCTTTTTCTATCCTTTTATTTTCAGTTGATTATACGATTGATTATAAAATGAGTTTCTTGTAAGCAGCATATAATTGGATTGTGTGTGTGTGTGTGTGTGTGTCCACATTCACTCTGCAAATCCCTGTGTGATTGCTTGTTGCATTTATGTATTTAAACCATCTACATTTCAGTTGATTATTGATAGGTTGGTACTTGCCTTCCATCTTGTTTTCTATTTATTTCTTTTTGTCAGATTTTTATTTCCCTTTTCTTTCCTTCCTCTGAGTTACTTTATCATATTTGAGGATTTTGTCTTGACTTACATATAGTGCTTTTAGTATATCCTTTGGTATTGTTTTAGTAGTAGTTGCTCTGGGTATTCTAATATATATCAGTGACTAGTAACAGTCTACTGGTTTCAGCATTTTACCATGTCAAGTAAAGTGTGAAAAGCTTTCTTCTATTTAGTTCCTTTTGTCTTCCTCATTTTAAAATATCATTATCTTGGGTAGTAGAGGGTATTATTTTTGTTTTAATCATCAAATGTGGTTTGTGAAATTAATCAGGAAAATGCCTCTACCCATATTTTTGCTCTTTCCCTTGTTCCTTAGTCCTTCCTGATGCCTACGTTTCCTTCATTTATCTTTTCCTTTCTGTCTGAAGTACTTACTTGGCCAAGCTTTGAGGGTAGATCTAGTTAGTGACAGATTCTTTTAGCTTTTCTTTATTTGATAACATTTCCATTTGTACTTCGTTCCTGAAGGATAGTTTTGCCAGATACAGAATTCACAGTTTAACAATTATTTCAGCAATTGAAAAGTGTTGTGCCATTTTCTTCTGGTCTCCATGGTGACAGATGAGCAAATTGTCATTCAAATTGGTGTTCTCCTATGGTGATGTGTCACTTCTCACTGGCTGATTTAAATTTTTTTCTTTAGTTTTCAGAATCTTACTTATGATGTCTCTTGGTATGAATTTATTTTGGTTTAGTCTGTTTCTGCTTTGACTCACATTCTTGGATCTATATGTTTGTATCTTTTGCCAAATTTTGGAAGCTCTCAACCATAATTTCTTCAAATGCTCTTCTAGCCCCACTCTTTTTCTCCTTTTCTCTGGGATTGTGATGATATCAACCTGGCTCTGTTGCTTACTTTACCACAGATCACAGAGGCTGTGTCCACTTCTGTTTTCAGTCTATTTTCTCTCTTGTTCAGATTAGGGGAATTCTATTGTTATGTCCTCCAGATCGTTGGTTTTGTTCTCTGTTATCTCTATTCTATTACTCTATTATTAAGCCCATCCAGCACGTATTTTTGTTTTCTGTATTTTCAGTTTAATATTTCTTGTTTCTTTCTTAAACTTCTATTTCTTTGCTGATATTTTTCTTTATTCTTTCAAGAGCATTTGTGATAGAAGGTTGAAGCATTTTTTTTATGCCTGCTTTAAAGTCCTTGTCAGACAACTCCAACATCTGATTTATCTTGGAATTGCTATCAGTTGACTGTCTTCTCTCATTCAAATTGAGATTGTGTTGGTGATTAGTAGGATGGGTGATTTTCCATTGTATTCCTGACATTTTGTCTGTAATGAGAGGACACTCTGGGTTCCACTTAAATCGTTTACGTTAGCAGGCAGTCATCTGTTTATGTTTCCTGTGCAGACCCTGGCAGACTTCCTTGTGCTGTGATTCCAATCGCAGGTGAACTGTCCAGAGTACCTGCCGTGTTGTTTTGGTGTTCTTGGTTTATCTGGTTCCATTGAGGCTCACATTGGTTCTTGCTGCTGTCACCTTAGAGGCAAGAAGGAGTTTCCCTTGGCCCCTGGGTGTCTACCTGTGGGAAAGTTATGGTGAGGCACCCCCACTGGTACTGCTCTTGCCTTAGTCTCAGTGTGGGGAGGGGAGTCTTGGGAATGTGGGAAGAAAGAAACTTCCCAGGCTAGGGCTTTCCTTGCAGCTGGGTCTCCTCTGCCAGCTTTGCTGATTAATCTCTGTCTTTCAGTGGAATAAGGGATCTCAGGCCCAGCAAGGAAAGGAAGGGCCTCCCCCATCCACCCTGCTGCTTGTTTCCTTCAGGGACCAAAATCAATCCCCTTACAGGTGGTGTCAGCCTTGCCTGGTGTTGTCAGAGGTACTTCTGCAGAGTCCAAAGGAGGAAAGGGCCTAGGTTGGCCACCCTGTGTTGCTAAGTGAGGGTTATGGAATCTCTGGGTCTTGGTTTCCTTCTCTTGGTTAGGGGGAACATGAGAGACCCTGATGCTGTGCTGTTCCTTCAGCCTTGGAGCGCCAAACCAGCTTGCCTCTTCTTACCATCTTCCAGGGTTGTCTTATTTGTCTCTTGCGTGATTTCTGGAATTTATAGCTATGCTTAGCAAAGAAGAAAGAGCAGGGAGAATTGGGGCTATCCCATCTGGTCTGGAGCAGATGTCTCCACAGATGATATGGCTTGGCTCTGTGTCCCCACCCAAATCTCATGTTGAATTGTAATTCCCAGTGTTGGAGGAGGGGCCTGGTGGGAGGTAATTGAATCATGGGAGTGGACCTCCCCCATGCTGGTCTCCTGATAGAGATCTCATGAGATCTGGTTGTTTGAAAGTATGTAGCGTTTCCCCCTTCCCTCTCTCTCTCTCCTGCTGGCCATGTGAATATATGCCTACTTCCCCTTCGCTTTCTGTGATGATTGTAAGTTTCCTGAGGCCTCCCCAGAAGCAGAAGGCTGTATGGCCCACACACCTATGAGCCAATTAAACCTCTTTTCTTTATAAATTACCTAGTCTCAGGTATATCTTTAGCAGTGTGAGAACAAACTAATACAACGTTCTTTTATTGAAGTTGAGATATAATGTACATAGCATAAAATTCACATTTAAAAATATACAATTCAACAGTTTTCAGTATATTCACAGTATTGTGTGACCATTATCATTAATTCCAGAATATTTTTTTCACACTGAGAAAGAAATGCCTCACTTCTTAGTCACTCCCAACTCGCTGAGCTCAGCCTCTGAGCTGCGTGCTGAGGTCACAGCATAAGAAAAGATACTGTGCTACTAGGAATTCACGACTGAGTTGGGGGCTGGGAAAGAGAGATTGAACAACTTTCCACTGAACACTGCATAATTAAATGAGATTGTAAAAGGTGAACCCCAGAAGTGTGTGAGCACTGGCTGCCAGGATAGGAAATGAGTGCCTCCCAGCCCGGCTGACGCCAGCAAGACAGGGATCCCCTGCAATCCTTTGCCAAGGCTAAAGGGAGGCGGGGGAGGTGCCCAAGGGGCAGAGTGCATGCAGGTGCCCATCCTCCAGGGTGTAAACTGAGAGTGAGGATACCCTTACAGCTTTGCCTCTAGGTGCCTCCCTTACCTCTATGCCCAGCACTGCCTGTGACCTGGACAAACGGAGACTCCCTTCTCACCCCAGGCTTTCATCTTCACGTTTCAGACAATAGTCATTGAGTGCCATGTCATCCACATTTATGGCCCAGTGACAATGACTGGAGGAAACAACAAGGACGACAATGAAAACAAAGTCTGTTGAGGGGGAGAAACTGTAACCACTTAAGGAAGTGGGGACTACCGGGCTTTTCACTTACATCATAGCCAGCAGAATGGCACGCACAGCAATCAGGTCTGCAGGGAGGGGCTCCGGACTCCAGGCCCCAGGGACAGGAGGTCCGAGAAGAGACAGGTGAGTGAGCTCGGGGACGTGAACATCCCAAATCAGGTCTGCAGGGAGGGGCTCCGGACTCCAGGCGCAGGGACAGGAGGTCCAAGATGAGACAGCTGAGTGGGCTCAAGGACGTGAACATCCCAAATCAGGTCTGCAGGGAGGGGCTCCGGACTCCAGGCTCCAGGGACAGTAGGTCCGAGAAGACACAGGTGAGTGGGCTCGGGGACGTGAACAACCCAAATCAGGTCTGCAGGGAGGGGCTCTGGACTCCTGGCGCAGGGACAGGAGGTCTAAGAAGAGACAGGTGAGTGGGCTCAAGGTCGTGAACATCCGAAATCAGGTCTGCAGGGAGGGGCTCCGGACTCCAGGCCCCAGGGACAGGAGGTCCGAGAAGAGACAGGTGAGTGGGCTCGGGGATGTGAACATCCCAAATCAGGTCTGCAGTCAGGGGCTCCGGACTCCAGACCACAGGGACAGGAGGTCTGAGATGGGACAGGTGAGTGGGCTTAAGGACGTGAACATCCCAAATCAGGTCTGCAGGGAGGGGCTCCGGACTCCAGACCCCAGGGACAGGAGGTCCGAGCAGAGACACGTGCGTGGGCTCAAGGACGTGAACATCCCAAATCAGGTCTGCAGGGAGGGGCTCCGGACTCCAGGCCCCAGGGACAGGAGGTCCGAGAAGAGACAGGTGAGTGGGCTCGGGGACGTGAACATCCCAAATCAGGTCTGCAGGGAGGGGCTGCGGACTCCTGGCCCCAGGGACAGGAGTTCCGAGAAGAGACAGGTGAGTGGGCTCGGGGACGTGAACATCCCAAATCAGGTCTGCAGGGAGGGGCTCCGGACTCCAGGCCCCAGGGACAGGAGGTCCAAGATGAGACAGGTGAGTGGGCTTGGGGACGTGAACATCCCAAATCAGGTCTGCAGGGAGGGGCTCCAGACTCCAGACCGCAGGGACAGGAGGTCTGAGAAGAGACAGGTGAGTGGGCTCGGGGACATGAACATCCCAAATCAGGCCTGCAGGGAGAGGCTCCCGACTCCAGGCCCCAGGCTCCAGGGACACCAGGTCCGAGAAGAGAGAGGTGAGTGGGCTTAAGGACGTGAACATCCCAAATCAGGTCTGCAGGGAGGGGCTCTGGACTCCAGGCCCCAGGGACAGGAGGTTCAATAAGAGACAGGTGAGTGGGCTCAGGGACATGAACATCCCAAGTATGGACTATGAAATTATCCCGGGATGGAAACACTCCACCGGCCCTCACCCTCAACCCTGTCTCCTGTGGCCAGAGGAGATGGTGAGAGAGACGTGCCCATGGCTGCGCTCCTGGGCCTGCCTTCTGCTCTCCTGCAGGTACTTCAGGTCCAAATAAGAAATGGGATGCAATGATTAGAAGTAAATGCTTTTGAGGAGTACAAGGAAGCCGTTTATCATTTCAAACACTTCCCTTGAGGTACATACGCGTTTTACAGCATTTATCTTTATTCTCCTGCTCTGTAGCAGCCAATCAAAGAGTCAGCTAATCTTCCTGACTACAAAACCATCTACTAAAACATTTTTATACAATGCAAATGCTCAATATTTATCATCTCCTGTACCCATAACTTAGAATACATTAGGCTGGTGTTATCAATTTTAATAATAGGCTTCCTAGCTAAAATTTGGATCGTCACTGGGTTTTTAAAAATTTCATTACTAGACTCACTGAAAACACAATATCCCATCATGAAAGCATATTTCTCTTGTCAAAACTAGTAATAGCAGCGCTGATAGCAGGCTGGGATTTTCTTTTCTCCCTCTTATAGTTGTTATATCATCTCAGCTCATTTCACCTCATTGTCCTATACTTCCTTGTGCCTGTACCCGTGGATTTCAATGGCTTTTCCGGGCTTCTATATTGTAAGTTAATCTACTAATATCTTTCATATCTTTTCTTATAATTCTCAGGAAAAGAAGTCTTCATTTTCAAAGAGACTTGTAGCATCTGCCTTCACCAAAAGATATTTATGAAAACCCACCCTTCCAACTTTCTTTTAAGAGGCTTCTTCTGAGACATGACCTTGACCATGCATGACCTCCTCCTGGTCGGTCTGGAGAAGCCTGAAGAAAGCCTGCAGGTCAGGTTTTTGCTGCAAAGACCAGAAAGCAGCTAAGAGCTCTCATCTTTTCCAAATCTTCTGCGAATCAGCCTGGATCCATCAGCCTGCCCAGCAGCCAGAGGAGGGAGGCCAGTCCTGGACTCCCCTCAACCCTGGGATTCCAACACTCAGATCACCCTGGCCTGGACAATGGGACAGTGGGAGGAGCCACATTCTCCTTGGAAGGCACGTGTTGTAAATACCTTAATAGGGTAGATAATGACCTTAGTTCATCTTTGTGAATGGCAGCATCATTCAATTGTGGATTACTGACGCTTGTGTGCCCAAAACTGAAACCCATGTCTCATTGCACAGGTCCCTCTCGGTCTAACAAGGACACCCGGCACACAAACAGCAAGGCTTCTCACTCCCCAAAGGTCACAGGTAGCACGTTCCCGCCATAGACAAAGGTTGGAAGAGATTAATAATGAATCAATCATCTCTCCCTTTGCAGCTAGTGTCTAAAAGTGCTCAACTGTGGGGTGGAAAGAGATCGTTGGGGGTGGTGGTGGGAGTGGAGAGCAGTGGGAATGACCTCGAGTTCTGTGGGGTCCCAACAGGGAGGGTCAGGCTGTGGTTCCCCAGGGCCATCTGCCCCATCCCTCCCGGTGCTAAGGCCAGCCTTGGACTTGGAGGGCCAAGTTCTGGCCCTGAATGTTTTTTCTTTCTGGCAGAGGATGTAAAGCACAGGCCCCAATGTCATCTTACGTGGCAGAATGCATGCAGGGCAGGAGCCAGCTCAGCGGTGCCTCTCTAGAACCCAGTCTGGGCCAGGCCCTGTCAGAGCTGGAGGTTCCCCGATGACTTCTGCAAGGCATCTTTGAGAAACCTGCAGTCTTTTTGGGCCCCAGGTGTGCACATGGGGTGAATGTGGTGGCTGCAGTGCTGGGTGTGTGTCGGGGATCATGGAGGAGAGACCGAGACACAGTCACCGTGGTGCAAGGAGAGTACACAGCTGAGTCGGGTCTGAAGGCTGCTGTGGGCCCAGGAGGGCTGGAGCACCTCAGCCAGGTCCCGGGAGTGGGAGGAGGACAGATGGCCTCTGCCTGGAGTCAGGGGTCTCTGCCCAGGCCTGTCCCTGCGGCTCCCGCTTTCTGGATCTCATGGCACGGCTGCTTCTTGCGGACCTTGTGTTGGGAACTCCTGAGGTTCAGGAGGCGGCCAGGCACCGTGGGGGATGCTCCTCGCACGGGGCTGGCTGGAGGTGAGCCTCGGATGCCGTCACTCAAGAGCCAGGAGCAGGGCCTTCCACCAAGGCCTTCTCTGCCAAGGGTCTGGCGGCGGGGCAAGGCACTCCCTCCACACTGACCCTCACAGTGGCCTGGGGCCCAACACTGAAGGATGTGTGTCCTCGGGACGCCCAGGTTGGCCTGCACTCGTGTTGGAGGCTGTGTAGACAGCAGTCAAAGGAAGGAGTGTGTTGGGGGGTGCTGTGTGTGTGTTGTGATGGCTGTGTGTGCCTGTGTGTATGTGAGTGTGTATGTTTTGATGCCTGTGTGTGTCGGTGTGTGTGTGAGTGTGTGTGTGCCTGTGTGTGAGTGTGGTGCCTGTGTGTGGTGAGCTACATGCCTGAGTGTGGGTGGGTGTAGTGAGTGGTGTGTGGTATGGTATGTGTGTGGTTTATGGTACATGGTTGTGGTGTGTGTGTGTATGTGGTATGTGGCTGTAGGGTGTTTGGTGTATGTGTGTGGTGTGTGGTTTGTGTGTGGTTGTAGGGTGTGTGCATGTGTGTGTGATGTGTGTGGGGGTATGTGGTGTTGGGATGGGTTGTGTGGTGTGTGTGTGTGGTGTGTGTGTGGGGGGGTTGTGTGGTTTTGGTTGGTGGTGTGTGTGGTGTGTGGTGCGTGGTTTGTGGTGTGTTGTGAGAGGTGTGTGCTGTGTGTGGTATGTGGTGGTTGTTGTGTGTGGGTGTGGTGTGAATGTGGTTGTGGTGTGTGTGTATGTTTATGCTGTAGTTTGTGTCTGTGTATGCTGTGTGTGTGTGGTATGTGGTGGTTGTTGTGTGTGGGTGTGGTGTGAATGTGGTTGTGGCGTGTGTGTATGTTTATGGTGTAGTGTGTGTCTGTGTATGCTGTGTGTGGTTGTGTTGTGTATGTGATGTGTGTATGTGTGTGTGTGGTTGCGATGTGACTTTGTGTGTGTGGTAAGTGTATGTGATGTGTGTGGTGGATGTGTGTGTGTGGTGTGTATGGTTGTGGTGTGTGTATGGTTGTGGTGTGGTGTGTATGGTTGTGGTGTGGTGTGTATGTGTGTGATGTGTGTGTATGTGTGTGATGTGTGTGTATGATTATGGTGTGGGATGTGTGTGTGTGGTGTGCATGTGTGTGTGGTCGGGCCCCTGCAACATCTGGGCCTTCTGGGAGCTGGGTTAGGCTGACCCTGTCTGGGAGGAGCCTCTGGGGTGGACGCCTGGCTCCCAGGATCGTGGGTGGTGCACAGCTGCCTGTCTCTCCCCTTTTCGTTCTCATCAGGGCCTGGGGCTGGGCTGTGTCCACAGGTGCAGAGCTGCACACAGGTGAGGGGCGAGCCGCGGGGACAGCTGTACTGGAGTTAGGAAGGCATCATCGTAGGAATGGAAGCAGGAGCTGGCCCCCCGAACCTCAGCTTGGCCTCTGCGGGCAGGTGAGCAGTGAGGGCACCTCAAGGGAAGGCCACAAGGATGCTCCCAGGAATCTCTGCAGGTGGCCCGGAGCCTCACCTGTGGGTTTCCTTCTGCGTGTCCCTGGGCAGCACTGACTCTGCAGTCTCACCAAGGTGAGAAGTACCAAGTCACCAGGAATGTGACCATAGGCCCGCCGGCCTTGGCCTGCACACTCCTGGCGCTAAAGGCCCCAGGCATCCCACTGAGAGGTGCCGTCGTGGGGCACAGCGGGGCAGGTGGTCACACAGTCCTGTCTCCTTGTCCATGAGCAGCCTTTGCTCAGCTCCAGCCGGGATGAGTGTCCCAGCCTCCAGCCCGAGACATCGGCAGATGCTCACACACACGGCCCGCACATGCTTCCAGTGCTGCTTCCCTGCGTGAGGACGGAGGAGAAGCCTCCATTTTCGCAGATCTTAAAACCGTAGGTGCAGTGCACTGTGTTCAAAACCTAAAGCGACAGAGTGAAAGAAACTCCTGGGAGGGCTCGGCGCCGCGGCCTCCTCCGTGAGCGCGTGAATGAATGAGTGTGGCTGCTTTTATGAAGCCAGGTCATTTCCCGAGCCCTGGTGGCTGTGTGTCTTGATGAGTAAGTGTTTCTGGGGCTCTTCTCTCAGCACTGTGCTCATATATAATCGTTTTAAATGGTCCCAGGAGACCCACCTGGAGCCTGGAGCCCTCCCGATGCTGCGAGATTAAATTGGAACATCATTCTCACTCGTTTCAAAGATGCGTGCTGGTCAGAACCCTTAGCCCAAGAAAATAACAAGACAAGTATTAGGCTGTGGCAGCAGTGGGGAAACCCTGAATTCTGCGGCTTGTGACAAGGAACGCCACACCCCACGGGGCCGGCTTAAAAGTCAGCCGAGAGGAGCCGAAGAAGACGGGAAAGTCCTGCTTGGGTTTGTCCACATGTGGGCTTGGCCAGTCTCCAGGTCTCTGGGATTGTTAAGGAAACAGGGAGCCCTGGCCCCCCGGAGGCCACCACGCGGTTCTCACAGGTACTTTATTCTTCCATTTTGCCAAGCAGCAAAGAACAGACCTTGTGAGTCAAAATTCCATCTTCCTCAAGCTGCTCTGGCCAGGGCCCAGCTTGGGGGATGAGGACAGGAGGCCCCAGGGGCAGGGGGACCTGATGGGGCCAGCATGGTGGGAGGGAAGCAGATGGCTGTGAGGAGTTAGGGGAAGCCCCAGCCTCCAGGGCTGGCTGCGTGTCTGGACGGCGGCCCCTCTGAGCCACGTGTGCACAAGGAGAAAGACGTGCCAGTGTAGCCCAAAGGGGGCTCCCTAACGAAGGTGTCACCTTCCCGCCGCATGTTCATGGAAGGATGAGAAAGCACCTCACACTCTGGAAGCCATAGCGTCACAGAAGTTCCTTAGGGAACGTGGGGGCAGAGATAGCTCCAACGCTATCTTTTCTTTTTTTTATTTTTTATTTTTATTATTTTTGAGACAGTCTTGCTCTTGTCGCCCAGGCTGGGGTGCAGTGGTGCAATCTCCGCTCACTGCAAGCTCCACCTCCCGAGTTCACGCCATTCTCCTGCCTCAGCCTCCTGAGTAGCTGGGACTACAGGCACCTGCCACCATGCCCAGCTAATTTTTTTCTATTTTTAGTAGAGACGGGGTTTCACCGTGTTAGCCAGGATGGTCTTGATCTCCTGACCTCGTGATCCGCCCGCCTCGGCCTCCCAAAGTGCTGACATTACAAGTGTGAGCTCCGCCCCCAGCCGGAGCTATCTTTTCTTAAAACACAGCTAGTAATCTTTCCACGACAGCAGCCTTCGTCTTTTTTTTTTTTTTTTTTAATTGATTGGAAATATGAAGCTGATCCTCTCTGGAAATGCTCTGGGCATGGGGGGGGGGGGTCCATCTGTTTATCTAATCACTTAGAAGCAAAAATAGAGTAAAGTAACCCAAACAGGATTCTGAGAAGCTCCGTTCGGAAATGTGTCCGCTTGCGTGCTGGGACCTCGCTGGCGGCACAGAGCCCTGTTGACTGGTACCTGCTCCGCTGGGCACCCCTGGAGGAAACCTGGCTTATTCCTATCTGGATGGCTGATGACCCCAGCGCCCCTCTGTCTTCAGATGACGTGTCTTATTTGCAGAGGTTCAGACCCAAAAGCAAAACGTCTAATTCGATTTGTGGCTTGTAGATCTGAAGCAGTCACTTTTTATCCAAAATGATTTCTTATCATAGACAACAAAATGGTCTTCTCAGGGGCATCGTACTGCTTAGAAAATCTCATCTATTCGCTGTGAAATTTTGAACATAATGGAAGGAAAGCATGTTGCGCCCAGGGATGAGGATGTTGGCTCCCTCTCCCTGTGGAGCTGCTGCCCATGGAGGGGTCACAGATTTAGGCTTGGGAATGACAGTGTCCCATCTTACAGGAGTTGCTGAAACTCTCTGGGCCTCAGTTTCCTCCTCTGTAACATGGGGGAAATGCTAGCTCTGTTCTAAGATTCTTGCGCTGATCATAAGAGGTTGTGAGTACAAACTGCTGAAGCCTGGGTGTGACGCTGCCGCTGAGCTCAGCCTGGGCTGCTGCTGGATGTTCTCATGGACATGTGCCCCTCACTGCATTATTATGGGGCGGAAGTGCTCCTCTGTGGAACAGGCTGGGCCAAGAAAGGGAGGAGGAAGGAATGCTGACCATCATCTGTCCACAAATTGAGAGTTTACAAAGTTCCCCTTTTGTCTTTTGACGGAGGTGGAGAGGGTGCTGCTGTTATTTATCATGCCCATTTCGCAGATGAGATCAATGAAAATTCTGTCCAAGTTTATTTACAGATGGCAGAGCAAGGAACTCAACACCCAACCTTCGGGGCCCTGGCCCAAGTGCTCTGCCACGCAGGAGCAGAACCCTCCACCCCACATTAAACAACGCAGCCACGTGGCTTCACGGCCACCACACTAAATGGCCCTGGAGGCCCCTTGAGAGGTTGGGGGCAACGCCTGAGCAGAAGGGGAGGAGAAGGGGTCCCGGCTCCCCAGCATAACCTTTCTGTCCTTGAGACTTGATCTGCAGCAGCCCTAGGAGCTGCTGTGGGTCACGGCAGCCGTGTGTCCAGTGCAAGGGGGTCCAGGGCTGGGGAAGCCTTGGCCCTGCAAGGCCCCTCCGTTAGCTACAGCAGGTGGCCCTTGGTATTCTGAGCCTGGTTGTGGGGTCTGACGTGGTGCTTGCTTCTGTGTCTGTTGGCTGGTGTTTCACTCAGTTTGGCTGCTTAAAGCTCCACTCTGCCCCACAAATTCCATCTGTATCATGAGAAGTGCTTCCGATCCACCATCCGTGAGATGCCGTTCCTCGTGGGAGAGGGAGGTCCACCCTTTCCATGGGCTCCTCTGCAGAAGAGGAAACCCGGCTTGGAGTGACACACTTCCCACTGGCATGAGCAGAGGCTGCCCCTGGGTATTTGAACCTGAGCTTCAGAGCCCCCACCCAAGCCGAGTGCCTGGGTCATGATGCCTCTGTCTCCCTGTGCCTCCTATCCTGCAGGCCATCGGGAGCGGCTGGCAGGTGCTCTTCTGCCTGCTTCCCGAGTGGGGGCTGGGCCAGGTGCCCTCTCATCTCATCCTGTGCACCTCTCGGCCAGTGTGGCCTCATCCCGGGCTGTACCAGACCATGCCATTGGGCACAGCTTCGTCTTCAAGATGAAGTGAAGCTGGGGTTAGCACCGGGCTGTCCTCCTAGGCCCTTGCAGCTCCCTGAAGTCTGGTATTAAGTGCATCCCATGTACTGGGCAGGCAGCAGAAGGCTGGGCTCCTCATAGCTGCTGCTCATGGCACAGAAGTCAAGAGCTGCTCTGAGGGGCAGCTCACCCCACCCCAGGACCCATACCATGTCTCTCCCTCCCCTGTTCCACATGACCTCTACATCCCATAAGGTCGATTCCATATAGCTCCTCAAAGCCTCAGCCCCAAGAGGAGCCCCGTATAGCTCATCTGCAGACTCAGCCCTCAGATAGAGAAGGGGTACCAGAAATGCAGGAACAAGCCAGCTCGGGGAGGCCGTGCCCTGCCACCAAGGCAGAGCCCAGCACCCAGCAGGAGCCTTCAGTTGCTGCTGGACAGCTGATCTTTTCACAGGTGTCCCTTTGCCAGTCCTTCCAGAGGACACCTCACTGCACGAGCCACCTGCCATCAGCCCACCGGAGCAGCTCTCCTACAGTGTCTCTAAGGGAGGATCCTTCCTGCCTCTTCCAGCTTCTGGTGATGCCCGGTATTGGTTGGCTTGTGGCCCCATCCCTCCAACTCCAATCTCTGCCTTTGTCTTGGTGTGACCTTTTCTGTGTCTCTCCTTTTCTTCTTTCATTCTTCCTTCCTTTCTTTTTTTTTTTTTTTTTTTGACAAGGTCTTGCCCTGTTGCTGCGGCTAGAGTGCAGTGGTGCAATCATGGCTCACTAAAGCCTCAACCTTTTGGGCCCTAGTGGTTGAACCTCCCACCTCAGCCTCCCGAGTAGCTGGGACCAGAGGCATGCATCACTGTGCCTGGCTACATTTGTTTTTTTTTTTTTGTAATTTTTTTGTAGAGACCGGGTCTCTCTATGTTGCCCAGGCTGGTCTTGAAGCCCTGGGCTCAAGTGATCCTCCAGCCTCAGCCTCCCAAAATGCTGGGATGACAGGCATGAGCCACTGTACCTGGCCTCCTTCTGTCTCATAAGGACACCTGTCATTGCATTTAGGGCCTATCCTAAGTTCAGAATGATCTCAAGGTCCTTCAGAGACATTGGCAAAGGCAGTATTTCCAGCTGGGGTCCCATTCACAGGTTCCAGGTGTGCGTGAATTTGGGGGGACATTATTCCACCCACTGCAATGCAGAATTCCAGCAAATTTTCCAGGAAATTTTCCAGCAAATTTTCAGGCAACGGTCATGGGCATAGGCAGCCGGCATGGAGGAATGGCCCCAACATTAGCAGTGTCTCCCTGAGAACCTGCTCTTGACGCTCCCTGGGAGGACCAGTTACAGGATGTTCTGTGAAATGCATTTCAAGGAAAGGTCAGACTTTACACACGAATACCCTGAATTTGTGTTTCAAATTCATGTGCTGTGTTCCCTGCAGTAAAACTTTCAGCTGAGCAGAAAATATTTTTCCAATGAACCATTTCCTAAAACAAGCCCGTAAGTGTAGTCTAAATGCCTCTGCAACGGCCACTGTGGCCATCAGTGGTGATTTAACTCTCGCATTGCAGATGGTCACTGATGGCCACACTGACAAATGGCCAGAAAGGCACCTGCAGGGGAGGGCAAGACTCTCCGCGGATGGTCGCGGAGGAGCCAGCACAGGTCGCAGAGGCCGCAGACGATGCCCGTCCCGGAGGCAGCTCATTGACACCCGCAGCCTTCACATCTGCTCCTCACGGGCATCACCCCTGCTCTGGGCTCAGGGGAGAGGCTTAGGCTGGCAATTGCCCACCTCCTCAGCAAAGGTTATGGGTATAAGAATTGCTGGGGTCCTGGTTGAGACTTCTTTACAGGCGACACTTCACCCCACAGTCTCTGCTCTTGCAACACTGGCCTGACAGTGTCTCCCGGGGACAGGCCAAGGCTCCCGGTAGGGCATCTGCCTGGAGAGGCCCCTCCCAGGGACTCTGCAGTGTGGAGCCGGGCAGAGCAGTGACGATGGGACCCACGGACGGGAGGTCAGCGCAGACTCGGGAGGCGGAGCTTTGACCACAGTGCTGCATCACTGCACAGCCTGTCTTTTGAGTCTCAAGGGAGCCGTGGTCAGGGGAGCTCAGTGCCCAGAACTGCACGAGGCCTTGGGGGACCTATTTCAGCCCCAGGCCAGGGAACGGAAATCATGACTCAGCTCTCCACTGTCCTATGTGCCCCCAGGAGGTGCCTCTGCTCCCACCCCCCACCCTAGAGTTGACTAATTAGTCGAAGCAGGAGCGGGGTCCTCTACCATCACTTTAGTACGACGTGGGCGTCTGCGTTTCTGAGGTCTGTTGCATCTACAGTCTGTAAATGCTGGGTGTCGGGAACAAAACCTACAATTCCCTCAAAGTGGTGAGTTTGGTGCCAACACATAGAGGAATGCAATCTGGAAGCTTCTTTCCAGTGCTGGGGACGGCTTTCATGACCAAGATGCCAAAAAACCTCAAGAGGAAGAGGTCCCTGGGGGAGGCCCCATGGAGAAAACCTCCTGTGTTGTGGTTTTCATTGTGTCTCCCCAAAGATGCTAAAGGCAGAACCCCAGGGCCTGTGAGTGTGACCTCATTTGGGAGGAGCGTCTCTGCAGATGATCAGGTTTGGACGAGGTCAGCAGGTGGGTCCTAAGCCAGTTACTGTTATCCTCATTAAAACTTTGGCAAAACAGACAGACGTGCATGGAGGAACAGTGATGAGAAGAGACACAGGGAGAAGACAACCATCTACAAGCCAAGGAGCACCCAAGGCCACCAGAGGCTGAAAAGGTGCAGAGAACAGATTGTCACTCACAGCCTATAAGGAAGCAGCCCGGCCCACGCTGTGATCTTGGATTTCCAGCCTCCAGAACCAAGAGAAAAAATTTCCGCTGTTTAAGCTGCCTGGACGGTGCGGTTTTGTTATGGCAGCCCCAGGTCACTCACGCCCATGTCTCGCTCTCAATAGCCTGGAGGTTGGAAAAGAGGTGAGGCTGGAGGAGGGGGTGAGGCTGGAGGAAGGTGTGAGGGTAGAGGAGGGGTGAGGCTGGAGGAGGAGTGAGGCTGGAAGAGAGGGTGAGGTTGGAGGAGGGAGTGAGGCTGGAGGAGGGAGTGAGGCTGGAGGAGGGAGTGAGGCTGGAGGAGGGGATGAGGTTGAAGGATGGGTGAGGCTGGAGGAGGTAGTGAGGTTGGAGGAGGGAGTGAGGCTGGAGGAGGGGGGGATGCTGGAGTGGGAGTTGAGGCTGGAGGAGGGAGTGAGGCTGGAATGGGGGGGGAGGCTGGAGTAGGGGGAGGCTGGAGTGGGAGTGAGGCTGGAGAGGGAAGTGAGGCTGGAGAGGGAGGTGAGGCTGGAGGAGGGAGTGAGTCTGGAGTGGAGGGGAGGCTGGAGTGGGAGTGAGTCGAGTAGGGGGAAGGCTGGAGTGGGAGTGAGGTTGGAGTGGGGAGGTGAGGCTGGAGGAGGGAGTGAGTCTGGAGGGGAGGCTGGAGTGGGAGTGAGGCTGGAGTGGGGGGAGGCTGGAGAGGGAGGTGAGGCTGGAGGAGGGAGTGAGGCTGGAGTGGGGGACAAACATCCTAGCTGGGTGCAGCGTCAGGTGCCGTTGCCCCTTGCATTCATTGTGATTCAGGGTCCACTCTTTGTGGCGGGTTCCACAAGTGGCAACAGGGACCTGGGTATCTAACACCGGCATCATGAGGCCCAGGCTTGGGATCTGTGCTGAGGCTCCAGGTATTATTTGGAGCTGTTGAGGGGCGAAGGAGATCAACTTGTACCCAGCAGCTCTCCCCTCCTCCTCATCTCTGCAGGTCAGTGCAATGATCAATTGTCTGGCAGTTCCACCCACTAAAGTCATAAAAGGTTAAAAAGTCATTAAGCATTTGCTATGTGTCCCTATCAAAGTCATCTTAATTTTGCCAAGACATGTAAGGTTCTCTCTGGGGAGACATGCTCTCAGGATTTGAGTGCCATCCCTCAGCAGAATAGCAGGTGCAAAGTTGTGTGTCAAAGCCCTGAGCAATGGGCTACGAATCGGCTCATCCCCCAGCTGGAGACTTTAAATTCCTGCCTTTGGAAGGTGGGCTCCCTCCAGGCAATAAGTGTGTCAGCTGTCACTCAGCATTATGTAATCTCCCTGCCAGGGGACATCCATGGGCATTGTGGATTGATGCTGTGTGCACCAGCGTGCCCACTGGAGATGCCCGATAATGCTCCTCATTTCTGCCCATTATGTCACTTACAGTTTGAGAAACAGGAGCTCAATATTGTTGGGATATTGATATTTTCCTGCATTGGCCAATCACACCTTCCATGGCTGCTAAAGACCTTTCTCTTCCTTTTTATACATCTGCTGAAAGCAAAGTCTTCAGCAATAAAGTGTTAATGTAACCCAGCGTCCTCTCCGGGTGACAGAGCGGAGCAGAGGACAGTTTCTAAACTCTCTGAATGAGCGTGCCCCTCATTCAGAGGGGCACAATATCTCCGTCCTCACCCTGGAGGTTCTGGTCATAATCTGGGGACACCATCTCTTCCCAGGCCTTTGCCAACACTTGTTCATCTGGTCTACCCACCTCCAGACTTTTCCCCTTTGAGGGAGATGGCCATGGTGGGGAGCCTGGTGAGGGGGCTACACAAGGAACAGGATGAGTGGCTTTGGTTTCTCCCTTAGGATGGGGGTGCTGACTCCTAGGAGAGAAGTGCAGGGGTCAGAACTCTCCACAGTTCAGCTGAAATATGCTCCTGGGCAAGTCCTTTGTCCTCCTCTCAGCTCTTCCTCTTCACCTGTTAGGAATTCTGTTGGAATATACATATATATATATATATAATATATATATATTTTTTTAAGATAGAGTTTCGCTATTGTTGCCCATGCTGGAGTGCAATGGCACGATCTCAGCTCACTGCAACCTCTGCCTCCCGGGTTCAAGCGATTCTCCTGCCTCAGCCTCCCAAGTAGCTGGGATTACAAGTGCCCACCACCAAGCCTGGCTATTTTATTATTTTTAGTAGAGACGGAGTTTTTCCCCATGTTGGCCAGGCTGGTCTTGAACTCCTGACCTCAGGTGATCCGCCTGCCTCCCAAAGTGCTGGGATTACAGGCTTGAGCCACTGGGCCCAGCCAAAAACCTTTAATAGTGTGAATTTGACCATCGTTCCCCCAGCACACACACCAGTTGCACTCGCAGAGGTAAGACCACTTCATTCTTGGGCGGAATCACTGCAGTTCTACAATTCATGTTTCGTGGCACGTGCATGTGTGTGCGTTTTGCTCTCAGCAAAGCACTGGAGACCTCGCACAAAACAAACAACTATTTTTATTTCACTTAGTATCATGAACACAATATCAGGAGTAAAAAACAGGTGCAATCGGGTCCCTGTGCCATTTATGCTTGTTGGAACACGGGCTTCTTTCTGTTCTGAGTTCGAAGTGGCTTCTGGTTTGATTGTAAAGCGTGGCCTTCAATGGCCCTAATGAGTTGGTGTTCCATTGATGTGCAGCCTCACGGAACACCCACCCATTGTGGGCCTATGAGACGTCTGCGCTCCTGAGGCATCACAAATTCTGTCTGCAAATGAAGCACTGAGGGGCCTGGGCGTGTGTATTTCATGGATCTCCTCTGCTCACTCCTTTGTCCCATTGGACCTCAATATTGTTAATTATTAAGAATTGCAGGACAGGCTGGGCACAGTGGCTCATGCCTGTAATCCCAGCACTTTGGGAGGCCAAGGCGGGTGGATCACCTGAGGTCAGGCAAAACCCTGTCTCTACTAAAAATACAAAAATTAGCTGGGCGTGGTGGCGGGCACCTGTAATCCCAGCTACTCAGGAGGCTGAGGCAGGAGAATTGCTTGAACCCAGGAGGTGGAGGTTGCAGTGAGCTGAGATCATGCCATTGCACTCCAGCCTGGGTGACAGAGCGAGACTCTGTCTCAAAAAAACCGAATTGCAGGTCAAGGACAGCGAGCCTCAGACCAAGCGCGGGGGCTTCTGAGGATTGGACAGATTCCACGCCTGTGCCGCCAGCCCAAGCCCCCACAGCGGAGGTTTGCACCACGAGGGCAAGGAGTTGGTGGGGCCTCTGCACATCCTGGTGCCCACACTTCCAAGAGAGCCTGAAGAGGGACCGGACATCCACTTTTCCCTGAAACAGTGATGTCCTCTCCCCAGGCCCCAAGCTCTGTGGGTCCGTCTTGTCTCCTGTCCTGTTCTCTCCTGTGATATCATTGATCCTTATGCTCAAGCCTCCCTCCCTCCGTATGCCCTGCTGCAAGAACCCCACCCCACCTCATGGCAGCCAGGTCTGGTCTGGGGGTGAAGCTCAGGATACACAGAACCTGGGCTATAGAATCTTGCCTGAGCCCACCCAGAGACTCGGAGCTGCCACACCAAGGGTGCCCAGAGACTCCCACAGGGAATACCTGGAGACCACGCCTCCTCCAGCACTGGGGCAGCACAGCCCAAAGTTCAGAGCCAGACAGGTCTGTTTGGGCAGGGCCAGCTATCCTGGGCCGGCCTCAGTGTGGGGCAAGGTTCAGAGGCAGAGATGCTCAGTGCTGGGCACATGGGCTTGGGGTCAGCCTGTCCGGGCCAGGACCAGCACCATCCCCACCGCTGGGAGGCCTCACACACACACCTCCACGTGCCCATCTGTGCCTGCCTCGTGCAGATGTTGTGAGGATCACAGGGAGCGTGGATGGAAGGACTTAGGCCAGCACCAGGTACATCACGCACACTCACGGCCCGAGGGCTGTCAGGAGGATCTTAGGGACAACCATCCCTCATACGGGGCAGACAGGGCAGAAGGAGCATCCAGACACAGGTCAGGAGCCTCTGGCAGCGGCACTGGTTATGAGGCAGCGTCACCGGGGAAGTCAGAGAAGGACCCAGCTCTGGGCCCCATCCAAGCCCCCAGGACCGGAAAGAGCAGTGGAAGCCCCCACGCTCCCGGAGATTCTGATGCAGCCCTCGGCCTCCTGTCCCTGCTCCACCTGCTCAGACCTGCCCCCTCCAGACGGAGCCCTGGGCCGCTGCCTCAGTCTGCTGGGGCTCCGTGGTCAGCCGCCAGCTGGGTCCCACCTGTCTGAGCCGCAATGGCACCCTTGAAGACAAAGCCGCCTGGGCTGATGTACCTGGTGCTGTCCTGGGTCCTTCCACCCCTGCTCCCTGTGATCCTCACAATGTCCGCACGAGGCAGGCACAGATGGGTGCATGGAGGCGCGTGTGTGAGGCCTCCCAGCCGCCAGCTGGGTCCTGCCTGCCTGAGCTGCAGTGGTGCCCGCTGGACACGAACCCTCCCTCTCAGCTCCTGCCGTGCCTCCTGCTCTGGCCCTCCAGTAGAACCTGCTCAAGACGCGGGAAGCGTATTCTGCCCCTCAGAGCCTGGCAACCCATCTTTCTGCTGCACGACAACTCCTTGCCCCAGTTTCTCGGCTCTGGGGACACCCATGGCCATTAAGAAGGGGGACAGTATAGGGGGAGCCGAGCTGTTTGGAGCAGCCGGGCAGCCGTTCACTCCGGCGGGAGACACCCTCCGTTGGCGTCCGTGGAGCCGGGCTGTGCTTCTGAGCTGGGCTGATGGCCTCACGCTCTGATTGCTGATGGATTCTATTTAAAACGGGACTGGAGGAGGGAAGTGGGAAGACGGATTGGGCCAGATGCTTGGGAGGGACCCAGCTCTGAAAGCAGAGAATGGGGTTTCCTTCTGAGTGGGTCCCTCCAGCCAGGGCCCAGCTGGCCTCTAGCAAGGGCGTCTGCAGCATCCCAGGCTGATGGCAAAGGGGACAGGGCACACCCAGGGTGCAATTAGGGCCCTTGGAGAAACTTCCCACAGGCATCTGGGTGGCTGCAGTGCCAAAAATGTACACTTTAGGAAGAGCCGTGGGATTCCGGGGGAGGAAACAGCCCGGGGTCAGCCTCCCGTGGCTGCTGGGAAAGTTAACACAAACTCAGTGGCTTAAAACAGCAGAAAGGTGTTGTCTTACAGTTCTGGAGGCTGGAACTCGGGGAAAAGGTGTCGGCAGGGTGGGTTCCTCCGGAGGGCTCTGCGGGAGAGTCCATCCAGGCTGCCGTCCACCCCTGGAGGCCGCCATCCTTGGGGTCCCTCGTCTCTGCCTCCATCGTGGTTGCAGTGTGGCCCTCCCAGGGCATCTGCCTCTGTCTCTCTCCTCTTCTGAGGACACCAGGCGTTTCACGCTTAGGGCCCACTGGATTCCAGTGTGACTGCATCTTAACTACTTCACCTACGAAGACCTTATTTCCAAATAAGCTCAGCCTGAGGTTCCAGGGATGAGAACTTCAGCAACACAGTTCAGTCTCCAACAGGGCCCTCCCACCAGGCCACAGCCTGTGGAAGGAGGGTTTCCTGGCCTGGTGGAGGGGAGCCCCAGGCTGCTCAGCTGAGCCGGGGAGGCTCACGGGCCCCGCCTGCTGGACAGTGTGTAGGGAAGCAGCGGATGCTTCTCTCCCTGCCCAGAGGATGACCAGTGAAAACGCAGGTGCCAGCACCCTCTGTGCCGTAACGGACTGGTCCACTCCCCTCACTTCCCTGTGCTGGTTACCCCATGACGGATGTTTGCCGAGAGCTTTGTCTGGCCCCTGTGACGGACGTTTACTGAGAGCTTTGTCTGGCTGGACCTTGAACTGGCTTCATTCCACGCTCAGTTTTGATCCCAGAAAACTCTGCTTGTCCCAGAATGCACACTGCTCTCAGCTCTAAGTAATGCTGCTTCCAGAGATCGGTGCATTTTTAGGGTGAGCTGTGTGAGTAATGGTGTGATTTCAGGTGCAGCAGTTCACATACAAGGGACACATTCTGGAGTGTGTGGCTCTGCTACAGCCTCTCAAATCATCTCTCTGACCTGTGAGGAAAACCAGGCTGGGCTTTAGATGCCTGGACACAAGTTGGCAAGATTAGGAGCCACTGAGTTTCTAAGCTGGGAGCGTTATCGGGCATCACCTCGACCATCTCTTGTTATTCACTCATTTACATTCATCCTTGTGTCCAATCACAGATACTCACTCATTCATCCTTGTGTCCAATCACAGATAGTCACTCAGTCATCCTTGTGTCCAATCACAAATATCGACGAGGGCTTACTCTGTGTTAGCACCAGGCTGTGCATGGGGGATGCTGTGGTGCCAGGCTGGTGAAGCGCCTCCATCACGGTGCCCATGGCCCCAAGAGAAAGGGCCTTGACTCACAGCTTCGAGTCCGAGGGTGGGGCAGAGCCAGGCAGGCTGTGTGAGAGCTCAGCTGGACGGGAACAGAAGGCCGCCCACGCTGGAGCCCTGAGCAAGGCCTGAAGGAGGAAGCAATCACTTTCACACATGGCATAGGCAGGGCTGGATCCTCACAGAACATTCCAGAACACACCTCCCGGGCCCCAGACCCATTTCCAGGGGCCCCAGTCTCTGCTCTTCGAAGGCCGACATCGGCATGTGTGTCTTCGTGTCCAGAGCCCAGTGCCCTGTGACCATAAACGTGGGCAAGCAACTGCTGTCCTGGGTGCTGACTCTGCGCCCAGCTCTCCTCATCACTGTGCACCACCCGGCATTCTAGCAATTAATTACTGAACCAGGAGGATGGAAGAGGCAGGAATTGGACTAAGCTAAGGGGAGGGACCTGGTGATGAGGACCAGGAGGGATGGAGGGGAGGCCCTCCAAGCCTGCAGGACGGCCCCCTGTGTTTATAGGCAGCACCTATTCAACAGGATGCTGACTCTCCTGCACTCTCTTCAGAAATCTCTGTGGCGAGGGTGATGATCTAGCCCCAACAGGCAGGGCTGGAGGCTGGATGGAGTTTCACTTTCTAGTGAGTGAGCCCTGAGATCAGATTGGGGGGACAGCTGCCCCTGCTTTGGATGTAGACGAGAGCCCCCTCTTTCTGAAATCTCAGACGTAGAGCTGTGTGCATGTAGAGGGCAAAGTGCACCCACAGCAGTGATCCAGGCCCCAGGCCCAGGCCCTCCACTTCCAGTGGCTTTTCATGTTAGGTCTGGGGCCTCCTGTCTGCAGCCAGGCCTGGCTTGCCCAGCAATTCAGAGAAGGCAGAGCAGGGCCCTGCCAAACCCCCTGGGATCTGCAGAGTCTGGAAGCTGGGCCTTGTGGGAGGAGGTGTGGCCTGGGGAGTGCTGCAGTGTCCTGAGGGTGGGGTCTGAGTTGGGGTGGGCCGGGCCATGACAGGGTCTCTCTGAGGCTGCCCAGGTCAGCTCTGTGGTGCCTGATGTCGGCGTCGGCCCCACATTGCCCACTGCAGTCCAGCTGTCTCCCGTAAAACTCCAAGCCCAGCACCTGTTCCTCCCACCTGCTCCTCTGGGAGCCTCTTTCTGTCTCCTGTGGCCTTTCACCCTGCCGCCCCAGGCTGGTGCTCTCCGGCTAGAAACA
This sequence comes from Homo sapiens, assembly GCF_000001405.40. Taxonomy (NCBI): domain Eukaryota; kingdom Metazoa; phylum Chordata; class Mammalia; order Primates; family Hominidae; genus Homo; species Homo sapiens. Next base: position 48,942,023 of record NC_000022.11, on the reverse strand, counting down.
GAGAACTCCGGCTCCAAACTGACTTTCCCGGGAGGCCTTGGAGAACTGATGCCTCTCACCGCTGATATCAGCTCTGGAGGCAGAGAGAGGCCATCCTGAGAGGCACTGTACACCCTCCTGGGTCCTGTCCCCGTAAAGGGAACTTCCCTAGAAGCTGCTGATTTACAGGGATGGGGACCTGGGAGGGCGTAAGGCGCCCCTCGGAATGGCCGCAAACAGCCCCCCAAAGCCACCTGCACGATGGCCCTCACCCCACAGTCAGGACAGGATCCTGACCCCAGTAGTCAGCCCAGCCTGCAGTGCCCAGGATGAGCCAGTGGTGTTCCAGGGAGGAGAAAATCCATCTGAGGAACCTCCCAACCCAACTTTTAAAGGCCTCACCGAGCACTTCCTTCTCCCTCTTCCCAAATTGGAAAGCATCGGTGCAGGATGACCAACCCTCCTGATGATAGTTCGGAGAAAAATAAGATCCCAGCCCCAAAGGACAGCAAGTCCCCCGCGAGGCCGTTGCCTGTGGTGGGCGGTGGCAGGAATGCTGCACCTGCTTTAAAGAAGGGCCAGCCACCTGTTCAACCCCAGATCCCAGGAATTAGTGCCGCTGCATGGATCCGCATGGATTCCCCAGGCCTCTCCCACATCTGAGGCTCCCGGGTGGGTGAGTACACGCCCAGAAAGCCCCGTCATTCCTACAAACCCCCCGCCCCCCACCCACTGCCCCCAGGAGCAAAGAAGAGAGACCAAGATCCAGGGCACGGCTGCAGGACCTGAGCCCCTCTTTCAAGATGTAGAGATACCTGTGGGATATGAGGCAGGCAGGACCCTGTGCCACTTCTACCTGGGAGCACCATGCAGTGAGTCCAGGTCCTGGGAAGGGTGACAGGGTCATGCCCATACCGCAGGACACCCAGAGCACCCCTCCAGTGTGGCTGGCATCGGAGCCTGGGCCCAGCACGGTTTTCTCCCTGGCTCCTACTGTGAGCCCTGACTCAGGCCTCGGTCTGCAGAGTGTGAGCCTGAAGCTGGTGCCCAGAGGGCTGAGTACCTGACCCGAGTTGCACAGCTGGCTCTGGCAGACCAGGTGGGCCATTTCTGCCCCGTACATTTCCCTTCCCCCACCCGTCAAACACGTAACAGGGACACGCCACGGGACTGGGAGTCCACAGATAGACGAGGGTCTTGCAAACCAGAGTGTGCCAGCCAGAGTGAGGAAGTCTCATGACACGCGCATGGTGCTCTAGTTTTCTCATCTTCCCTGAAAAACTGCACCATGGGGATCTCTGACTTGGGATCCAATCTTAGTGCCACCTACACAGTAAGCCCGAAATTACTTAGACCAGCATGGCACAGCGGAGGCGCTACTGGCGGTAAGAGGCCTGACCTACTCTGGGACTCTGGGCGTCCTCTGGTGAGCTGGACCCTCTGAAGGACTCCAACCATGTGCCTGAGCACCAGGAGAGTTGTGGCAGGGAGCCCTTCTCATGGCAGGGCCCCCTCTGTGTGTCTGCTTCCCCCAGTTCTTCCCTGGAGGGACTCATCCTCAGCTAGGCTGCCACCTCCTCCAGGCAGGCTTCCCTGACCACCCTGCCTCAGGCTGTGCTTCCTGGGCCTCGGGGCTTCCTGGATGTCACTGCCTGGCTTCTGCCTGCCTCCCCCACCAGACAGTGGCTCCCTTAGAGCAGCACACAGAGGCCGTCTTCTCCTGCGCAGCTCAATGCTTTGTCCTGGACCGAACCCTCACTCACTGCGTGCCTCCCTTCCGTGAACTTTTGACAGGTGAACCCTTATTTGCTGGTCACTGTATGCTCAGCAGTGAGTGCTGTGCACAGTTGGTAATAAGCTCTAGGTAACCTGGGAGTGAATGAATGAGCAGGGGGATGAGTGGGACGGCCTCTAGAGAGGCACGCTGAGCCCTGGGGACGGTGCCTTGCGGGCGCCTTCTGGACAGGGACCTCCAGGGCCAGGGCGGGGGCTGGGAGAGGCTGCCCCACCCCGAACACTGCGCCGCATTCCTTCCCTCCCCAGTAAATAAGACGTTCGCTCCCACTCAGAGTGCTGCTTCCCAACTTGATTTATTGCCTTCTTATTACAAAGTCCTTCTAGAGGTATGGATTTTTTTTAATACAATTTACATTTTGGGGAAATGTTTCACTCTCCGGCCGCCTCCCCCTGAGTCTGAATGAGAGCTGCCCGTGGCTGCTCAGTCTCCCCCGCACCTGTGGCCAGGCAGGGAAAACCCGGCCTCGGGGGGCGGGGGCGCCCACTAGGCTGAGACACACACGGTGAGAGCTCACAGGCCAGGCCTACTCCCGCCAAGGCATCTGAGCCTCCCAGGGCAGGGTGTCCCGCTGGCTGGGCCTCTGGAGGCCCGGCCTGTGGGGGCTGAGCTACTCCTGCTGGGGCCAGGCTGGTCCCTGCCTTCCGCTGGGCCCCTGCCGCATGGGGTACCTCTGCCATCCCTGGAGCGGAGGGGAGCTCCGAGGAGGGCACGCTGTTGTCTGAATTCTCTCAGGTATCCCATCCCAGGCAGCGGGAAACTCATCACCGCCCTGGGAGAGGCTGGCAGGTATCGATCCCCATTTGCTAATAGAAAACACAGCTCAGAGGCGGAAAGTGACTCTCCAAAGTCCCCCAGTTCATAAAGGCTGGAATTAATAAGGCCAGATAGATAAAGGAACACTTAGAGGAGATCCCGGAGGTGCAGTTGCTCTGTAACCTGCAAAGCCCTTACCGACATTTAATTTTTATTAGTTGTATTAATATATGAGATACCGAAGGAAGACCTTTGTAAATTAGGTGCAGAACTAAAGTATTAGTTATGAATATACATGATAATAACAGAAATAGATGAGTTCACAGAGCTGTGAGCTGGGGGTCAAAGCCCAGGCCCTGGTCACTCAGCCTGCTCAAACCTTTTGGTGGCCTCAGCCACTGGCCCTTCCTTTTTCCTCCTGGGCCTTAGTGGACTGACTTTTTCCAGCTTGCTTTGCAGATCTTACTTGGCTGGTGAATGCGAACAAGGAGTCAGTGCCATCCCCAACCCTGACCCCTAAGTCTCACCAGGAGCTTTCAGCTCCGTCTCTTTCCATCTGCTGGCTGAGCCCCGAGAACTCCAGGGATGGCGAGGAGCCCGGGCTGCATGGGAAGGAGGTTGGCCCTCGGGATGACCAACCAGGGGTGGACGACACTGCCCCTGCAGTGATCCAACATGGTCAGAAGCCTGTGCTTTGTTAAAGCTCTTGAAATCTGGGGCTGGCTGATGGATCCGGGTGCTTACTCTGATTATAGAGATTATGACCTTGAAGTTCAGGGCTGCTGTGCAAATAAAGAAAAACAGAAAAGCAACAACAAAACAAATACATACGGCATTGACTTTGGCAGGAGAAGTGAGGGAAGGAGGAAGGAGAGGCCAGACAGCGCCCTGATGCCCTGGAGGTCAGTTTCTGGCTGTTACAACAAATTACTCCAGATGTGGTGGCTTAAAACCTCAGAAAATGTATTCTCTTACAGTTCTGGAAGAGAGAAACCCAAAATTAGTCCTATGGGGCTGAAATCCAGGCATCGGCAGTGCTGGCTCCTTCCGGAGCCTCCAGGAGGATCTGTGCCTCACATCTCACAGTCTCTGTGCCTGCTACCATTCCTGGGCTCCTGGCCGCATCGCCTGCATCTCTGCCTCCATCTATGCATTTGAGATTCCACCTAAAGAGAGTCTGTGCAGTGTTTGTCTTTCTGCATCTGCTTATTTCACTCAGCATAATGTCCCCCAGGTTCATTTATGTTGTTGCAAATAGCAGATTTTCCTTCTTTTCTCTTTTTTTCTCTTTCTTTCCTCTTTTTTTTTTTTTTATAGCGTTTTACTTTGTCACCCAGGCTGGAATGCAGTGGCATGATCTCAGCTTACTTCAACCTCCGCCTCCGAGGTTCAAGTGATTCTCCTGCCTCAGCCTCCTGAGTAGTTGGGATTACAGGCACCTGCCACCACACCCAGCTCATTTTTGTATTTTTAGTAGAGACGGGGTTTCACCATGTTGTCCAGGCTGGTCTCAAACTCCTGACCTCAGGTGATCCGCCTGCTTCAGCCTCTCAAAGTGCTGGGATTACAGGCGTGAGCCACTGCGCTTGGCTAATTTTTGTATTTTTAGTAGAGACAGGGTTTCACCATGTTGGTCAGGCTGATCTTCAACTCCTGACCTCAGGTGATCCACCCATCTCAGCCTTCCAAAGTGCTGGGATTACTTGCGTGAGCCACTGTGCCTGGCCTTTCCTTCTATTTTTAAGACTGAAAAGTACTCCACTGTGCATCTATAACACAGTTTTTAAGTCCACCTGTCAGCAGACACTTAGGCTGTTTCCACGTGTATTATTTTTAATAGCACAGCGATGCATACGGGCCTGCAGGTGTGTCTTAGAGGCATTCGTTAAACATCAGCAACCCTTGGCTTCCAACCTTGCACTGAGGAGTGTGTGAAGACTTTCCAGTCCCGGGACTCTGAGTGTGTATGAGAGGACAAGGTAAGAAGAGGAAATTCCCAGGAGTGAAGCAGGGTGCAGCAATCACCCACAGGGCGGCTCCGGTCACACAGCAGGACGGGGCTCCTCTCAGAGCTGCTCACCCAGGTCGGGAGCTGTGGCAGTCCACCCGGCAGGATTCTAGGACTGCCTGGAGCCCGTGGGTGTTGCGTGTCTCTCCCTCGGTCCTCCAGTGAGTGGTGCTTTCTGTGTGCTTTGTTGGTGATGTATGTCTTTTATTGTTGCTAAACATAAGGGACATAGTTTACCCAGGGGCCCCAGCATGACAAGCATTGTACTAGTGGCTTGTGTTTTCTCATTGAAACCTGATACTTTTTTTATCCTTACTTTCTTGGAGTTGAAACTCAAGTATAAAGATGCTAAGTATGCTGTCCACACAGTACTTGGCTAAGTCAGCACAGAACAAAAACGTGGAACCCATTTTCCTGACTTCAGACTAACTCTTTTTCTTCTGTATCCTGTTCTTCTCCACCCCAAGCCAGCCATGGTTATCATTGGAAAATTCTTCTTCTTTTAAAATAGTGATCAGAGTACATTTCTGCTGTAACACAATGGATCAGAGAGATTTCTATTCCATTTCCAAGTAAAGCCAAATACAAACAACAAAAGGAATAAAACATAAAGAGGAAAAAAAGCACATCCAATGAGACCAGAGACAACCGTAACCATAAACCTTGGATTGTGATGAAAAGTGTCCAACACAATGGTATCTGGGCAAAGTGTGAAAGGCGGTGAGAAATACCTGCAAAATGTTATGGATCTCAGCAAAGAGACCAAACTCTCCAAGAGCTCAGAGAAGTCTCGCCCATGACCTCTTGGCCAGGACAATGTCCTTGCATGCTGCTCTGGATCAGAGTGAAGGCCACCCAGGCAAACGGCACAGACATGCACCTGTGCAGGTGGGTCACAGTGGGGTGTGCAGTGGCCACATCCCTTTGTCACAGCTGAGCAGAGTCACAAAGGAGAGAGATTCAGGCCAAAAGCAAGAAGCGAAGGCTAAGGCAGAGTTGTAACTGCCTGAACAGGTATTGAAGTCATATCCCATTCCACAGAGAGCTGCTCAGCAAAGCCTGGAAGACCTATTGCTTTAACTCTTTCCTGTCTGCACTGAGAATACTCACCAGTGGTGCTTGTGGCTGCAGTGTTTACCTTAAGACAACTTTGCCACAAAATAATGTTGCTTTCATGATTGTTTCTGCATTGCTGTAGTATATCGACTTTGGAAACAAAAGACATCATTCTATGTATATCATTCTGTTTTTAGTAGTGGTATTTTCATTTACAAAATGTAGTAATTCTCGATCACTGAAAATGTCAAATCCTAGAAAATGTAGTATTCCTATGTGTGACATTAGTATCGTTCTCAAACAGTTGTTCACAGAAGAGTCATTTGATGCATCTGATTTTTTTTTCAAAATAGAGGATTCTGATGACTCAGATAATTCTGATGGTAGTTCTGTTTAGAAATAACTCCAAGAACGGTTTTTATATTTTATTTTCACATTGCAAATCAGTCAGATTTACTTCAGCCTCAAAGAGCGTGTTTATGTAAAATTAAATGAGCACTGGCAGAGAGCTGCACATTTGTTTTCTAAATGGGAAAAGGGTTAAGATTTTTAAGGTTAGACTGTCCACTCAGTAACTGATTTTTTTTTTTTTTTTCTGAGACGGAGTCTTGCTTTGTCTGCCAGGCTGGAGTGCAATGGTGCCGTCTCTGCTCACTGCAACCTCCATCTCCCAGGCTCTAGCAATTCTCCTGCCTCAGCCGCCCAAGTAGCTGGGATTACAGGCACCCACCACCACACCCGGTTAATTGTTGCATTTTTAGTAGAAACGGGGTTTCACCATATTGGCCAGGCTGGTTTTGAACTCCTGACCTCAAATGATCTGCCCACCTTGGCCTCCCAAAGTGCTGGGATTACAGGTGTGAGCCACTGTGCTGGCCTCAGTAACTGAATTCTAAATGAATTGAACAGAAACTTAAGTGGCTACAAACAACAGAGAATACAGAGTTTTCAAAATTAGTCCAGAAAATTACTCAACAAGGAGCACCACTGAAAATAACAACAAATAATAATAACAAACTCTAGGAAAGAGTTGGAATCTGATTTCCAGACATGCCAAATAATATTTTTTAAAATGCCCATCTTTCAACAATAACTTGAGATATGCAAAGAAACAGAAAAAGATGCTTCTCTGCAATAATAAAAGCATTAACTAGAAACTGTCCCTGAGGAATCCAGATGTTGAATTTATTAGGCAATGACTTTAAATAAGACAATTCAAATATCTTCGATGAACTAAACAAAACTGTGTCTAAAGAAGTAAATTATGAGGACAATGTTTCACTCAATAGATAATATCAATAAAGGGAAATAATTTATAAAAGAGAGATAAGAATTTGTAATTGAAAGTACAATAACTCAGAGAAAACATTTACTAGAGGGGCTTAACTGTGGGTTTGAGTTAACAGAAAAAAGAGTAAGTGAACTTACAGATAGGTCGTTTTTATTACTTAACCTGAGAAACAGGAAAAAATGGGAGTGGACAAAAATGAACAGAGCCTCAGACACCTATGCAACAACATCAGACATACTGGTGTATGCATGATAAGCTTCGTAGCAAAGGAGCAGAGAGTAGAACAGAAAAATGTTTAAAATAATAGCTGCCAAAACTCCCCAAATTTGAAAAAGATTTGTCTATGCATTCAAAAGCTCAATGAACTCTAAGTAGGATAAACTCAAAGAAATCCACAGCTAGACACATCATAGTCAAATGGTTGAAAGAGACAAAAAGAGAACTTTGAAAGCAGCAAGAGAAGAATGAGTCATTGTGTTTGAGGAAGCCGTCTAAGATGTACAGCTGACTTCTCATCAGAAGCAATGGAGGCCAGAGGCAGTGACACAACATATTCATAAGGCTGAAAGAAAAAGACTGTCAATCAAGGATTCTATATTGAGCAAAGCTATTCTTCAGAAATGAAGGAGAAATAAAGGCTCCACAAGCAAGGACTGGAAGGAAGTTCCCTCAACCTTAGATAAAAGGCTTCTATGAGAAAACCACAGTTAACATCATACTTAATGGTGAATGAGTGGATGTTTTCTTTATATGATAAGCAACAGAACAACAAAGACGTCCACTCTCTTTGCATGTGTTCAGTGTTGTACTGGAAGATCTATCCAGAGAAACTAGGCAAGAATAAGAAATAAATGATATCCAAATTTGAAAAGAGAGGTAAACATATCTCTGTTTGAAGATGGTGTAATTTTTTATGTAAAAATTATAAATAATCTACTAAACACCTATTACAATTTATAAGGGAGTTCAGCAAGTTGCAGGATATAAGATTAATATACAAAACAATTATATGTTTAAATATTAGCAATAAACAAACCAAAAATAAAGTGAAGAAAGCAATTACATTTATAAAAGCATCAAAAATAAGTAAAGCTTACAAAAGAACTATAAGACTTCAACACTAAAACCAGAAAACATTATTGGAAGAAATTATTGAAGGGAATTTTATGTGAGAAGCTGATTGTAAATTTTATATTGACATGTGTGTGACCCAAGATAGCCAAAACATTTTTGAGAATAGAGCATAACTTCTCCAATTTTAAAACTTACTATAAAGCTACAGTAATCAAGACAGTGAGGTGCTGGCATGAGGACGTTGTCTGTAGATAAATTAAATAAACTTGACAGTATAAAAATAAATTCTTACATTTTTGGTCAATTGATTTTCAACAAAGTTGCCAAGGATAGTCAATGTGAAATGATTAATCTTTTCAACAAATTTTTCTGGGTCAACTGGATATCCACATGCAAAAGAATGAAGCTGAATCCCTACCTCACACACCATATACAAACATTAACTCAAAATAAATTCTAGACCTATGGTCGGGCGTGGTGACTCATGCCTGTAATCCCAGCACTTTGGGAGACCAAGGCAGGTGGATCACAAGAGGTCAGGAGTTCAAGACCAGCCTGGCCAACATGGTGAAACCCTGACTCTACTAAAAATAAAAAAAATTAGCTAGGCATGGTAGTGTGCACCTATAGTACCAGCTACTCAGGAGGCTGAGGCATAAGAATCAACTGAACCCAGAAGGTGGAGGTTGCAGTGAGCTGAGATCAGGCCACTGCACTCCAGCCTGGGCAACAGAGTGAGACTCCATCTAAAAAAAAATAAAAAGTAAAAAATAAATAAATAAATTATAGACCTAAACTTAAGTACTAAAACTTACATTGTAGAACTCTTAGAAGAAAATATAGAAGTAAGGCTTTGTGACTTTGGGTTGCACAGTTGGTTCATAGAAACCTCACCCAAGCCTCCAAAGAGAAAAAAACCAATAGATAAATTGGACATCATTAAAATTAACAACTTTTGTGCTTCCAAGAACAGTATAAAAAATGTGGAGATAATCCACAGCATCAGAGAAAATATTTGAAATTCATATGTGTGATAAAAGACTTACATTCGGAATAAAGAATTCTTATAACTCAACACAATAAGACAGATAACACAAATAAGCAGGGATTTCAATTAATTTATCCAAAGAAGATATAAAAATGGTAAATAAGCACATGAAAAGCTACTGAAAATCTTAATAATTAGAGGACGACAAGTCGAAACGTAATAAGGTATTATTTCAGACCCGATAGGATGGTTAAAATAAAAACAGAGACAATAATGAGTGTTGATACAAACATGAAGGAACTGGAACTTGAATGTGTTATTGTTTGGAATATAAAATGGTACTGACCTTCTGGAATACAGTTTGGCAGTTTTCTAACACAGAGTTACCATAGCCTGGTGGTTCCTCTCCTCGGGAGATGCTCAAGAGAAATGAAAACCTACGTCTACACAAACCTTTGTTCGTGAATGTTTCTAGCAGCTTTATTCATAGTAGCCAAAAAGCAGAGACAACCCGGATACCCATCACGTGAAAATAGTGAGGCCTATCCCCACGATGGAATAGTATTCGGCAATAAAAAATGAATACAGTACGGTGGTGGCCAATTCTGTGTTTCAAGCTGAGTGGGCCGAGGGATGCCCAGGTGTCAGGTTAAGCCATGTTTCTGTTCTCACTTACAAGTGGGAGCTGAATGATGAGAACACATGGACACACAGAGGGAACAACAGATATTGGGGCCTGTTGGAGGGGGGAGGGTAGGAGGAGGGAGAGGATCAGGAAAAGTCACTAATGGGTACTAGGCTTAGTGCTGGAGTGATGAAATAATCTGTACAACAAACCCCCATGACACAAGTTTACCTACGTAACAAACCTGGACTTGTCCTTCTGAACTTAAAAGTTAAAAAGATAGGCCGGGTGCAGTGGCTCACGCCTGTAATCCCAGCACTTTGGGAGGCTGAGGTGGGTCGATCACGAGGTCAAGTGTTCAAGACAGCCATGGCCAACATGGCAAAACCCTGTCTCTACTAAAAATACAAAAATTAGCTGGGCATGGTGGCATGCGCCTATAGTCCCAGCTACTCAGGAGGCTGAGGCAGGAGGATTGCTTGAACCTGAGAGACAGAGGTTGCAGTGAACCGAGATCGCGCCACTGGACTCCAGCCTGGAGACAAAATGAGACTCTCAAAAGAAAAAAAGTTAAAAAAATAGATAAATAAACAGTATTTCTAAGCATGTCTGTGAGGGCATTTGCAGGAGAGATTAGCGTTTGAACTGGTGCACTGGGTAAGGCAGATGGATCCCCTCCGTGTGGGTGCCATCCAATCTGTCGAGGGTCTGTCAGAGCAAAACAGGGAGGGGCGGTTGAGGTAGCTCTGCCTGACCCCCTGAGCTGAGGCATTGATCTTCTGCCCTCGGCACTGCTGGTTCTTTGGTCCTCAGACTTGGAGTGGAATCTGCGCCATCAGCTTTCCAGCCACCTCCAAATGGCCCTGTGGTGCTCTCCTGGGTCTACAGCTTGGAAGCAGCAGATGGTGGGACTTCTCAGCTTTCACAATTGCATGAGTTACTACTTCATGATAAGTCACACACAAACAAACAAACACACTTTTCCTATTTGTTCTGCTTCTCTGGACAACCTTGACTCACAAAAGTACTGACAGGCTCTGCTATGGATGAACTCAAAAATGTGATGCTGGCCAGGAGCAGTGGCTCATGCCTGCAATCTCAGCACAGGCCAAGGTGGGTGGATCACTTGAGTTCAGGAGTTCGAGACCAGCCTGGCCAACATGGTGAAACCCCATCTCTACTAAAAAATACAAAAAAATTAGCTGGATGTGGTGGCACGCAGCTGTAATCCCAGCTACTCAGGAGGCTGAGGCAGGATAATTGCTTGAACCAGTGAGCTGAGACTGTGCCATTGCACTGCAGCCTGGGTGACAGAGAGAGACTCTGTCCAAAAAAAAAAGAAAAAGAAGAAGAAAAAGAAAGAAAAGAAAGAAAGGAAGGAAGGAGAAAGGAAGAAAGAAAGGAAGAAAGAAAGAAGAAAGAGAAAGAAAGAAAGAAAGGAAGGAAGGAAGGAAGGAAGGAAGGAAAGAAAGAAAGAAAGAAAGAAAGAGAAAGAAAGAAAGAAAGAAAGAAAAGAAAGAAAGAAAAATGGATGCTAAGTGAGGGCCGCCAGTCACAAAGGTACCTGTATCACATGACTCCATCACACCCAGAGCAGACACATTCAGAGACCGAATGCAGATCAGTGGGTTCCAGCGGGAGGGGACCACAGGGAGTGACTGCAAATGGACATGGGATTTCCTTCCAGATGATGACAATGTTCTCAAATTAGATAGTTGTGATCTTTGCAAAGCTCCATGAATATACTACAAGCCCCCGAATTGTATACCTGAAAAGGGTAAAGTGTACAGCACGTGAATCACATCTCAATAAAGTTATTTTTTTTTTTTAATGGAGGGGCTGCTTTGAAAGGAGACTAGGGCAGAAGGCCCTGGCGAGGTAGCTGGCACACCCTGGTGCAGATGCAGCAGAACCGAGGGCTTTGGAACCAGGAAGCACAGGGAGAGAGGAAGGCCTGGCTGTGAGCGAGGAGGCCACTAACATGAATCTTAAGGCCAGGCCAGTGCAAACCCAGCCCTAAGCAGTGTCAATGTTATATTTAGATATACTGATGAATATAATAGACGACGCATATGAAAACTTTCACAAAGTTACATACATATACATATCACAGAGGGCAAGAGGTAGAAACAAATGTAACTGCCCTGACACATTTAACTTACAGCTAGGAGACTTTCAATAGTGCTTAAGTATAGAAGGCCACATTTTAGATTTTCACAGGTATAAAGGTAACCGTTATAAGTTCTGTGCAAACAAATGACCTGAAAAATCAGAAAATGGTGACAATATTTGGGAAACACTGAAATGAATTGATTTTCTCCTTCTACATAGCAGGGGTTAATTGTTAAGAGTTGATAAATGTGGAAATAGACTCTGAAAATGTTACTAAAAGCTATAAAGATGGCAACCACAAAAAATAAGCAGAAGAATTAACTTTCCAAATTTCCCAAAGGAAAACCATTCCCAAAGAAAAAGCAGACCAAGGAGCAGAAGGCCGAAAGCAATGGGAGTTTGGAAGTGGTGATATGACACAGGAGGACGTCAAGGGACTAGGGTCAGACGTGGATCACAGCAGCAAGTGCAGGTAAGAAACATCCACCAGTTAAAACAAGATTCTCAGAGTAAGAGTAAAACAACTAAAGCGCACATGTATGATCAGGTGATATTTACAGGACATTCGGAAATGTATAATCAACTAATCCAGGAACATGTGGCAAAGCCATCCAGACAAAGGCAAGCAAGAGGGAGCTGGGATGGCAACGTGAGTGTTGGAGAGGCTGTGACCCAGACGAAGAAGCCCCGAAGACGACGAGGAGCCACGTAAGGAGGAGACAGGATCTGAGCCCAGGCAAAGCTCTGCCACTTAAGCACCAAAAATGGAGACTTCCCCATGTCCAAAACCTAAGGAAATAATGCAGCAACTAGACCCATGCACCTGAGTCTAAACTGGACTCCCCTGCAGCAGGGCCAGGAGCAAGGTGTGGGACAGGAGAGCCTGGGAGGCAGGGAACGGGAGGGGTAAGTGGCCACCTGCAGTGAGCTGTTGAGTGGGCCACCTGTGTGGCATCGCTGCTCAGCCTCTCCAGCACTGAAGTTGTGCCTTTGAGGTGGGAGGCTGCAGCATTGGCGTCCAACCCCATTTTCCAGGGCTGGAGGGTTGCTCCCCACTCCTGCTTGCCAGGGTTTTGGAGAACGCCTCAGGCAGGAGGGCAGAGGCAGGAGTGTGGCTGCAGGCACCCGGAGACACCTGCTTTAAAGGGGAATCTCCCTGTCTCTTCTCACCCAGGAGGCCAAGTGAGCAGAAGCATGTGAGCCTGTGGAGGACAGAGTGACACGTTCTCAGGAGGATGTGCAGCTGCATAGCCCAACTCCACCCTGAAAACAAGAAACACAGCTTCTTCTCGCACCCTGTGAATTACCTACAGAAAATGACCGTGGGCTTAGACACAAAACACAGCTCAAGGTGTTCTCAGGAGGTCACCTGAGACTGCAGAAGTCCCGGAGGAAAGAGAACAGAAGCAAAAGTGTGGCGCTCTTCTAGCCACAGCATACTATCAGCACAAGGCTCAGAGCAAAATTATCCACCATCAGTGTCACAAATTCTCAACAAAAATAGTCAGTAAGTAAATTAATTATGAAATTAAAAAGCAGAAAAATGAAAACAAAATAAAGATGTGGAAAGCAGAAGGAGGGAAAGTATAAACTAATGACATGTAAAAGATTAAAAAGTCATGTTAGTTAATAATTTCCAGAGATGCTTCTTTACAAAAATCCTATGAAATATACAGTATCAAAGTTAATTACACGAGGCAGACACATAGGAGAAATATACAAACACAAAATGAGGAATTAAGAGAAGGAAATAAAAAATACAGACAGATTAAATATATTTTTCTCAGCACTATATAAATGCTCTGAAAAGCTAGAAGAAATAGCTGATTATGTAAGAATATAAACGTATATGTGTAGATGTGTGTGTGTATATATATGCCTACACACATATATGTACAGATCCAGAAGGAGACCCAAATTTTATTTGGATGCGATTGAAAATCTAAGTCAACCAATTGCCATATACAGAACTGAGAAAGTTGCCCATTGGTTACTTCTAAGTCACTATTGCCATACAAATGGCAAATTCTTTACTGAATTCTAGCAAAGCTTCAAAAAATAAATAATATGGAAGTTATTTAAACTTTCAGAAATTTTTCTCTTTCAAGTTTTCACCAAGTGTAAGCAAAATATTACATACACACACATAAAAATGTATCTCATTTTTGAATACAGGTGCAAAAATTCTACAGAATATATTAACAAATAGGCTCAAAAGTTCATGAAAAAATACACTATGCTAAGTGTGGTTCTTTCAAGGAACCAGAAATGATTCAATATTTGGAATGTAATTAACAAATTATACCTGTAAGTGTGAAAACAGCAATTTTTAATGATTTAAAATACATTCTTGATAAAACTGTATAAAAATATCCAAAACACCAACAACTGACCCTTGTGGAAAAATCAATGAAGAAGGTGGTTCTCAGCAAAGGAAACACAAGTCCCAATAAATAGAATACAAAGTGTTCAAACCACATGAAGTTAAATAAATGCACGTTACCAGGCCGATGATTCTCTCTGCCTCCGTGCGGCCGACCCACGGCGCGCTGGGCTGGTGAGGAGGAGCAGGAGCGAGCACCTTACGCACCTTTACTGACCGTGAGACTCTCTGTAACCTCTTTGGAGTGCGATTTGAGAGCATCTGTCACGTTTTAAAATGTCCTTACTGTTTGTCTCAGCACTCTACATGTAAAATCTGACTCTGCACAAATACATGCCTCCTAAGAGCAAATGTGTATTATAAAGATTTCCATTTTGTTATAATTACAAGTGCCTAGAACCAATCTAAGTATCTCTCATTATGGGAATGAGTAAATAATTTATGGAACATCATGGAGCTATCAAGAAAAACAATGGATTAGAATTATATCTCCAAAATATATTGCTAAATGAGAAAAGCAAAATGCTAAACACGGTGTATATAATGCTACTGCGAGTGCCTTTTAAAGGGTAATTTACATATAGAAACACGCAGAGAAATATTACACACATACATGCACACATATGTACGTCGACACACACATACACATGACGGTGTTACTGGGAGTGGGGATTGGGGGTTAGAAGTGCCAACTCCAGCCCCTGGGTTCAGACCCCAGCTGTGCCCTCTGACGTAGGTTGCTTATCCCTCTGTGCTTGAGTGTTCTCATCTCGAAAATGAGAAAATTAAAAAGCACCTGGCCTCCTAAGATTGTGCAAGGATCAAGTTAATACATTTCAGATGCTCGGGACAGTGTCTGGCTTGTAGTCATAGTTCAGGGGCAGCTGTTTTCACATTATTTTTGTTCTTGTTATTAACATTTGCCGGGTCCAGGTCTGATCTTCCCCTAGAGAGGAAGCTCCACGAAGCACCTATCCCCTTATTCCAGCTCCACAGCAGAGTGTCTGGTACACTGTAGGAAGATGGGAACGGCCTCATCATCCCACCAGGTGACACGCATTTGATAAATAACTGTTACACGGGTCTGACACGTCGCACATCCGGCCACACCCTAGCTAGACAGGGACAGGCAGGACAGTCAGGGATCCCGCCCGTCCAGAATATAGAACCCAGTGCTGGACACTGATGAGGGAATCTGTGAAAATGCTTCTGTGGCTGAACTACCTGGGAGCATGTGACCCAGCCTCGGGAGTTAGGAGAGTCTTCTGTTCATAGGAGGAAGGAAGGAAGGAAGGAAGGAAGGAAGGAAGGGAGGGAGGGAGGGAGGTAGGTGGGGAGGGGAGGGGAGGGGAGGGGAGGGGAGGGAGGAAGGCAGGCAGGCAGGCAAAACAAAGACATGCTTGTGGCCAGCTTATACCTGCCCACATAAAGATATAGGCACAGCATGAAGTATTATATATCTTTTCATGGTGTTGGTGCAGGAGCAAATGAATCCACCATGGGATAGGAGAGAGGGTCCATGAACATTTCCAAACACGGCTTGGCACAGATGCAGGTGTCATTACCAACAAGTGGAGGAGGGTGGGCTATTCCATCAGCGACGCAGGGACAACTGGATAGCCATATGGGAAGATAAAACTTTATCCCTTTCACAAACCACACACAAAAATGAATTCCAGATGGCAGCAAGAGCTCAATGTTCTTTAAGAAGACAAACTTTAAAATCTTAGAGGAAAATGTCTTTTGACATTCTTATTCTCACTTCTTAAATAAAACACTCAAGCACAAAACCTAAAGGAAATGAATGATATATTTCATTACCTCAAAATTTAAAATTCTATATAGCAAAGCCACCATAAATAATAAAGTGGAAGCTATTTTATCTGATAAAACCAATAATGACTTTCATGTAGAATATACAATTTCTGCAAATCAGTAAGAAAAGGAAAAAGACACTACATAAGAGATATCAATATGCAATTCAAAAACCTGGAAACTTAAATGCCCAAAAACACATAAGAAGAATTTAATCTCATTTATACTTAAAATAATAAGATAACCTTATTATCACATTTTTATCACACATCAATCAGATTTATAAAAATTGAAAAGGCAATACCAAACCTGAGTAAGGAGTAAAGAAAAGATAAGAAACCACACATTCCCAATGGGAGGGGAAATTGGCACAGCTGTACCTTTCTCCCCAAGACTGCACAATAATTAGCAAAGTTTGAATCACCTGTGATGCATGTCCTGGCCACTCATCCTCCGAATGCCCATGCCAGGGCAACGCTCACTATGCACTCATGGTGACATGCACAGGACTATCACACAGCATCACTAGTTACAGCAAGTGATGGAGGCCACGACTATGTCCATCAACAGGAGAACCACGGGGACAGTCACAGAAATGAAGATGAGAATTAGACCACTAGTGCTCCTGGGCCTCCAGCTTGCAGACAGCAGATCCCGGGACTTCTCAACCTCAATATTTATTGAGCCAACACCTACCTTCTCTCTCCTCTCTCTCTCCTCTCTCTCTCTCTCTCTCTCTCTCTCTCTTCCTGCACCATGTGAAGAAGGACATGTTTGCTTCTGCTTCTGCCATGACTCTAAGTTTCCTGAGGCCTCCCCATCCCTGTGGGACTGTGCGTCAATTAAACCTCTTTTCATTATAATTTACCCAGTCTCAAGCAGTTCTTTATAGCAGCGTGAGAATGGACTGGTACACATGAGGAGTTCAAAGTGGCCAGGTAGCAGGCTGAACCTCCAGTACAATCATATATATATGTGAATATATATATATAATGTGTGTGTGTGTATACATACATACATATACATGTGTGTGTATACATACATACATATATATGTGTGTGTGTGTATACATACATACATATATATGTGTGTGTGTGTGTGTGTGTATACATACATACATATATATATTTATATCTCCCCTTGGCCCTCTGTATTAGTCCGTTTTCATACTGCTATAAAGAACGGCCCAAGACTGGGTACTTTATAAAGAAAATACATTTAATTGAATCATAGTTCAGCATGGCTAAGGAGGCCTTAGGAAACTTACAACCATGTGAGAAGGTGAAGGGGAAGTAAGGCACCTTCTTCACAAGGCAGCAGGAAGGAGAAGTTCCAAGCAAAGAGGGGGAAGAGCCCCTTATAAAACCATCAGATCTCATGAGAACTCACTCATTATCATGAGAACAGCATGGGGGAACTGCCCCCACGATCCAATCACCTCCACCTGGTCTCTCCCTTGACACAGGGAATTATGGGGATTACAATTAAAGATGAGGTGTGGGTGGGGACACAAAGCCTAACCATAGCATTCTCTTTCTCTGGAAAACCCTGACTAGTACTAACAGACCCACCCACCCTGGGGAGGGCCACCTGCACCTGCTTCGCTCAGTCCACCACTTCTAATGCAAATATACACATTTTTGGGAGTGTGCTGGAATCCTTCCTTGCAGTGACCCAGCCTCCCACTCCTTCAGGAGTGCTGGGTCTGTAACTGGCTCTAGTCTGGGACAGATGTGACTGAGGAGCTGGGAATCTGTTTCCCAATTGAGGTTAGGCTTTAGTCCACTTTGCCCGGCCCCCAGTTGCTTACACAGACCGAGCAAGGACTGAGCGGGCTTCCCAGCTTCACACTCCGGGGACGTTGGCCAGCAATAGTAGGGGCTACCAGCCAGTGTGACTATATATCTTAATTTTCCACAAGTGTTTGAAAGTATCATGCACAGAGTCCCTTGGCTTCTTACTTCTGTAAGCATCTGCTGCAGATGCTTTGCATGTCTCTGTAAATTGTTCATGCCACGCTCTGCCAGTGTTCTCTTTGTTACTGCATCAGGAGTCAGCGGTGTCTTGACATCTGATCAGATTAGACAGCCCATTCCAGAAACCCCAGCCCAAATCAGAAAATCCGTCCTCAGCGTTCTGACCCTCTAAAACCACTCTTGGTACCCAAATCCGTATTAGTTATGTTTCTCCAGAGAAACAGAATAAACAGGGTCTATTTATAGATACATAGAAAGAGATTTATTATGAGAGATTTGCTCACACCATTATGAGGGCTGACATATCCCACAATCTGCTGTGTGCAAGCTGGAGGCCCAGGAAAACTGGAGGTGTCATTTCACTCCAAGCCCAGAGGCCTGAGACCCAGCGACACTGAAGTCCCAGGGCAGGAGATGAAAGGCCCAGCTTACGCAGAGAAAGGGCAAACTCCCTCCCTCCACCTTTCCATTCTACTCAAGCCCTCAATGGATTGGATGAGGTCCAACCAGACTGGGGAGGCCATCTGCTTGACTCCGTTCACTGATTCAAGTGCCAATGTCTTCCAGAAACACCGTCCCAGACACACCCAGAAATCACATTTTACCAGCTGCCTGGGCATCTCTTAGCCCAGTCAAGTTGATATAAAATTAACCATCACAGTGGGCATCAACTAAGCCACTGTCAGCCTGATGAGAACGCAGCAGTGGGGGAAGGTTGTGTTTGCTCTGTCTGCCTGTGTGAGCCGGGGCGTCCACCTTCTCCTCCCCTTGGACATTGGGGCTCCTGGTTCCCAGGTCTTGGAGCCACAGCACCAGCTTTGCTGGGCGTCTAGCCTCAGACGGCCGATGCCAGGACTTCCCAGGCTTTGGAGTTGTGTGAGCCAACTCCTTTCTGCGGATAAAGGAATATATGTATATATAATTGTTTCCGCTGGAGAACCCTAGCTAATAAAACTGGTACTTTTAAAAAAGCCAGATGTGGCCAGGCGCGGTGGCTCACACCTGTAATCCCAGCACTTTGGGAGGCCAAGGCGGGCGGATCACGAGGTCAGGAGATCGAGACCATCCTGGCTAACACGGTGAAACCCCATCTCTACTAAAAATACAAAAAATTAGCCAGGCGTGGTGGCGGGCACCTGTAATCCCAGCTACTCGGGAGGCTGAGGCAGGAGAATGGCGTGAACCCGGGAGGCGGAGCTTGCAGTGAGCCGAGATTGCGCCACTGCACTCCAGCCTGGGTGACAGAGCGAGACTCCATCTCAAAAAAACAAGCAACAACAACAAAAAAGCCATATGTGATGTACCTGTTAATAGGGACTGGAGTAAGTCGGTCTTTAGCATGAGGTTTTGTGCTAATCTGGCTAGTAGATATGTTCAGTGAGTGCTGGGGCTGCAGGCTCCGGGAACATTCTTTGCTTTGGTCTGTCCTCTCACTACCAGTTGCCTGGGCTTCACCTCCAGAGTGAGAGGGTGTAGCTTGCATCTTTTCTGCTGTAATCCTCTACCAATGTCTGGAAGCCCCATCAGCGGAGCAGTGAATTGCGGGGAGGTGAAGCTTTTGATAATCCTATGATTAAGTTTCACTTCCTTAGTGGGTCTGTGTCTTTGGCTTGTCCTCTACAAGCGTTTCCTACCTTTCTTCCCCTCTTCAGTGAGACAAGAACCCAGGGGGAGCTGGAGTGAGCCCGCACCCTGCCCCCAAGTGCACAGGCTTCGGTGCTTTCCTTCCTGACTGCTAAGTAGGCATCTGTTATGGAGAACACTGGGCAGGTTTCAGAAAGGCTCTGTGGCCCTCCTCCTGCCCAGACATTAGAAAGGCTTCCTGTGCTCTTCACTACAGGAACCTGGTGGGGTTCCTGGAGGTAGATCCCACACAAGTGTGGAGTCCCCCTTAACCTGTAGTCCCCAGGAGTTTCTCTCTCTCCAGCCAATCCACGCTTGGCCTTCACAAGTCATCAAAACGAGCGTGTGTGCGTTCCCGCTCGTGTGAGGCTGCAGTGGCTTCCGCCCAGGTGATCGGGCCTCAGCTGTGATTCTGCACATCCATCTGTCTTTCCAGATTGCAGGGAGGCAGTTTGTCCTGCCTCCTTAATTCTCAGACGGTGCAAGGAAAGTCATTGATTTTCAGTTTGTTCAGCCTTTTTCGTGTTGGCAGGATGGAAGTGATGACTTCTGAACTATTTACATGGCAAAGCTAAACCTGGAACTCCTCCTTCGGGGCTCCCGTGAGGAGGGGACTGTAGTCGACTCTGGTGCATCTGACATTCTTCAAGTTTGGGGCTTCTGCAATGAGCCCAGCATCCTGTAGACCAGCGTCCCTTCTCCACAACCCAGCGACTGCCACATAGCAACCGAGAGGTCTTTTCTTCTCCCAGCTTCTCAAAGCTCACCTGTAGCCTCCAATAAGGCCCACGGCTGCGGGCAGTCAGGTCTGAGTATTGCCTGCAAGGTGCCTGATGCACAGCCCTCGTCACTGAGTCCAGGGGAGGCGGTGGCTCTCACATGTCTTATGACACACGGGGCATTTCTGCAGAATCCAGCGTGTTCAGGGCTGCATACAAGCGTGCCCTGGATTTGAACCTCAATGTCTTTGTCTCTGGTCTCCACATGAATATTTATCATGGGGAAAGCAAAGCCGGCACACCAGCCCCCCATTCACAGAATTCATCAACAACGCCTTTGTGAAATTTGACTTAGGAGCTGCGGATTGAGCAGGAATGAATGCCTGTCATTTTCCTAATCACAAAGGCTGTTATGAACAATGTTAAATGGGCTTTTATTCTTTTATTTCTGTGTGACCCAGAACCTTGGGAGAGCAAAGTGATGGTGAATTTGTTACAAAATAAAATGCGAGCCAATCCACAAAGAGAGTCATAGGAGGTGGCTTCCACACTGCGTTCAGGAGACTGGTCCTCATCCTGAATTTGTTCTGGCACTGATTGTAGGAGGGCTCGCAGGCCCACTGGAAGAGCCTACCTGTCCCGAGCTGGGGCTCCGTGGTCCCCCTTCATTCCCACGGGTGGGTGACCAGCAGGCCCCGGCCAGCAGCATGGCTTGGAGAAGAAACTGAGTGCAGAGCCCTCCAGGATCTGGCAGGCCTCGTCTACACGCCCCCATCTGCTCTGTGTCAGAACGGCCGTAAAGCCAGCCAATCTGGGATGAGACACATTTCAGCCGCTTGTTTAATGTCCAGTAAGCAGCAGGTGGGTCAATAAATGTCTCCTTCCTGCCGGCCCCATGTCATCACCCACGTGCACCCCAGGGC
Source organism: Homo sapiens (assembly GCF_000001405.40). Taxonomy (NCBI): domain Eukaryota; kingdom Metazoa; phylum Chordata; class Mammalia; order Primates; family Hominidae; genus Homo; species Homo sapiens. Next base: position 48,920,900 of record NC_000022.11, on the reverse strand, counting down.
TCTGGGCCAGCTGCAGCGCCATGACTGTAGCCACCAGGAGTACTCAGAAGGCCCCCAGCCCATGCCCCCTCCTGGCACTGGCTTCAGATTTGCTGCCTCTTCTACCCACAGTGAAGGGACCCTCCCCACTTCCCACTCCCGGAGAACTGTTGTATGTGCAGGCAGAGCTGAGAGCAAAGTCTTTCTTTCCGGGACATCTTTTTCCTTGAAAAGTCCACTCTCAAGTTTTCCTCTGGACTCCCCCTTCCCCTGCACTCTTCCTTCCACAGGGCAGCCCTTCAGAGCAGAGAGTTTTAGTGGAACCCTCTCTGTCTCTCTCTCTTTCTCCTGGACACACACACAAATACACAACCCAGTTCTCTCTTAGGAAACTCCTCAACCTCAGTGCCTCTCCACTGAGATGGGTCCCAAGTGCCCCTGGGCCCAGGCACCCAGCCTGCCCTTGCCCCTCCTTGGATGAGGAGCTCCGGAGCTGAGCGCAGACCCTGCCCCAGAACCTCAGGCTGTGCGTGTCCCTGTGACCCCCTGACCACCTGTTCACAGAGTGAGTGCCTGCTGTGTGCCTGGCTGTCACTGTGCCAGCACAGCACCAGAGACCCTGGGTCCCTGCCCCTCCGAGGGGACCAGAAGCAAGCAGGAGTGTAACCAAGCCAGGAGGTGGCTTGCCCCGGGGGGGTGGAGAGCTACCAGAGCCGTTCCTAACCAGGAGGAGCACATTTCCTAGGGGTGAGAGAGGGCAGGCCCTATGAACGGCAATAGAGGGCAATCGTGTGGCCCCAGTGCCCCGTGGCCAGAGAGGTGCTTCCTCTGTGGGAAGGTGCCCGAGCCTGGAGGGCCTCGATGTCCAGCCTGCCCTGCATCCAAAGGGGCTTCATTACAGAAACTCACCGACCTCAAGTGTGAGGACCCATATCGCTGCCTGGAGTGAAACCACTTGTGTGTCCCCCGAATCTGTGAGCCAGGGGCACTCGATGTCCAGGGTCTGTCAGGACCTCGCATGAGCAGGGTCAGGGGGCAGGACCTGGCTCCAGGACGCAGGACACTTCTGAAACCTGATCCATCTTGAAAAGGAGGTTTATGGTGACTTAAATTCCACTGTGTTAAGATAACGTATTTCTCAAAAATTAGCTGGCCGGGGTGGTGCGTGCCTGTAATCGCAGCCACCTGGGAGGCTGAGGCAGGAGAATCACTTGAACCAGGGAGTCGGAGGTTGCAGTGAGCCGAGATCATGCCACTGCACTCCAGCCTGGCAACAGAGTGAGACTCCATCTCAAAAAAAAAAAAAAAGCAGCTGCCAGGCTCATGAAGGGATGAACAGGCCTCTACATGCCCCAGCCACTCTGCAGCTCGCGTGAACCGCCGCTTTAGAGATGAGTCTTTGGACCAGGGAAGCCGCTGACCTGCAGCTGGGAGATTCCTGCCGCCTTGGTCGGACGAGGGCAGCTGGTCCTGAAGCCATGGAAACCCAGGCCATTGTCCTTGCATCTGTGGTGGAGGCTCCTGTCGCGGGCCCCACCGTGCTCTGAATGGCAGCCCGCCCAAGGCTGGCTTCTTACCCCCAGCTGCGAGGGGCTCCCCGCTGCACCCTCGTCAGGAGGATCACTCTTCCGCAGTGGGAGCTGGCAGCCGGGAGATGCCTGGGAGTCACACACACACACACACACACACACACACACATGCACCTCCGAGGGATGCAAGTCCTCAAAAGCCTGGCCGCGGCCCCCAGGAAGTTTCTGCCTCACAGTTTCCTCAGAATCAGGCTGAGCCCAGCATCCTCATGTCAGTATCCAGACCCCTCAATGTCATACTCAAAGCCACAGGCTCATTTTACCCCTAAATGTCCTTCCCAGCATTTCCCATCTGGGCACCAGCACAGCTCCCCCAGCTGTCCTGACTCGTAGAGCCACCACTGCCTCAAATTTCTTTATGGATTTATTAGCCAAGTGCTTATTCCAAGACACAATAGCTTAGTCTTAACCAGTTTTGTTGTTTTGCTTGATAGACCCCTTAAGCCTCTTTCAATCAGCAGCTTACCCTCAGAGCCTCTTCTTTTCCTTTTGTAAACACCAGGTTTATCTTTTGTAAACACCAGGTTGTTTGAGCTGGAGGGTTTGCCACCGCCTGGATGTTGCTCATGGTGGAGGATGGGCCATCAGCAGCCAGACCTGGAGGCTTCCCCTGGCTCAGAGTCCACCTCTTGGGCACAACCCTGGGTGTCTCTCCCACGAAGAGGTGCTGTTTTCATTCTAGCAGTTATGGACGTTCCACACCGAGATGTTACAATTCACTGGAAAGTATCCTAATACTACTGTTTTATTTTCCTTTAACAGCTCAATACATTTTTGTTTTTGAGACAGAGTCTCACTTTGTTGCCCAGGCTGGATTACAGGCGCCTGCCAACACGCCCGGCTAATTTTTTTTTTTTTTTTTTTTTTTTTTCCCCAGTAGAGACGGGATTTCACCGAGTTAGCCAGGATGGTCTCGATCTCCTGATCTCGTGATCTGCCCACCTCAGCCTCAGAGTGCTGGGATTACAGGCGTGAGCCACCGTGCCCGGCCCTAATTTTTTTTATTTTTGATAGAGACAGGGTTTTGCCATGTTGCCCACTCTGGTCTCAACCTCATGGGCTCAAGCAACTCACCTACCTTGGCCTCCCAAAGTGCTAGCATTACAGGCATAAGCCACCATGTCCGGCCCGAAAAAGTTTTATAAGGAGACTCTTCCTTGCAGCCACATGCAGTTATTCTGTGATACAGGCCACAGAGTTGGTTCTCTGCAGATCAGTGCTGGATGATTCACTTGAGGTATCTAATTTTTAAGATAATGAATCTTTTTCTGTATCCACCAGGTGCTCTGTGCATTTTGTTCTAATGCCATGATTTGAATGATTCAAGCAGACATGATGGGTTTCAATCAACTGCAGTCCTCATCCTGGTTGGGGCATAAATCACATCATCATCGGCCAGTGGGGTCCCTTCGAGTTGGCTCCTGAGTCTTTGATGGCTTCCTCACTCTCTGGGCTGTCAGGAGGTTCTAGGCCTGTTCAACCCTCAGATCTCGGCAGGCAAGGCTGGCTTTGGGGTGTGCCTACCTTAGAGTTTTCCAAGTTCTCTTTAAGAATTCAGTGCTGGTGGGGTGCCCAGGCCCGGGCCAGGCTGTCCCTGGGTCTCTGCTCCCAGATGTGCCTTCTTCAATATTCGAAGCCTCCTTCCATTAAAAAAAAAAATCTAATTACTCTAATTTTGTGTAGGATGTGGGGAAAATGCTAAAACTATGCTGCTATTGCCAGTGCCACCTTTCCAGATATGAGGCTTTATTTTTTTTTTTCACATCTCATCATTAAAAGACTCACATGTTTCCTGGCTTTCGTCCCAATTAAAAGGAAAGTGTCACATGAGTAAGGACACGTTTTTCAGAGTACTTCCAGCGCTCGGCACATGATGACCTGCAATAAACATTTACTAAGTGAATGAGTGGGTGTCTACTGAGTATTTATCTTATGTAAATGACACATACATTCTCTCCTTTAATCTTTCCAGTGGCATAACAAAGTAGGTATTATCATTTTACCCTATTTTAGAAGTGAGGAAACTGGTGTTTAAAGAGGCAACAGCTGCCCAAGATAGAATATCCAGTGGTGAGGCCAGGGCACTGGCTCCAGAAATGCTCTTCAAACACAAGCAGATCAACACGCAATTCAACACCAAGGGGGAAGACAGGACGTTTGTCTGTAGACAGGGCATCATTCCAATGCAGCGGATCTAGGTACGTAGGGATCTAGGTACGCAGTGGATCTAGGTATGTAGGGATCTAGGTACGCAGTGGATCTAGGTACACGGGGATCTAGGTACGCAGTGAACCTAGGTATGTAGGGATCTAGGTATGCAGTGGATATAGGTACGCAGGGATCTAGATACACAGTGGGTCTAGGTTCACAGGGATCTAGGTACACAGGGCTCTAAGTATGCAGGGATCTAGGTACGCAGGGATCTAGGTATGCAGGGATCTAGGTACGCAGGGATCTAGGTACACAGGGATCTAGATACACAGTGGATCTAGGTTCACAGGGATCTAGGTACGCAGGGCTCTAAGTATGCAGGGATCTAGGTACGCAGGGATCTAGGTACGCAGGGATCTAGGTACGCAGGGATCTAGATACACAGTGGGTCTAGGTTCACAGGGATCTAGGTACGCAGGGATCTAAGTATGCAGGGATCTAGGTACGCAGGGATCTAGGTATGCAGGGATCTAGGTACACAGGGATCTAGATACACAGTGGATCTAGGTTCACAGGGATCTAGGTACGCAGGGCTCTAAGTACGCAGGGATCTAGGTACTCAGGGATCTAGGTATGCAGGGATCTAGGCACACAGGGATCTAGGTACACAGTGAACCTAGGTATATAGGGATCTAGGTATGCAGTGGATCTAGGTATGCAGGGATCTAGATACACAGTGGGTCTAGGTTCACAGGGATCTAGGTATGCAGGGCTCTAAGTATGCAGGGATCTAGGTACGCAGGGATCTAGGTACGCAGGGATCTAGGTACGCAGGGATCTAGGCACGCAGGGATCTAGATACACAGTGGATCTAGGTTCACAGGGATCTAGGTACGCAGGGCTCTAAGTACGCAGGGATCTAGGTACGCAGTGGATCTAGGTACGCAGGGTGTGGGGAATAGAGAAGTTCTTCCAAATTTCCTAAATCCATAAAAAGCGTATCATCCCCTGGTCAAAGGTTTGAATGTGCATATTCCAAGATGGCTCCAACTTGTTCCAGCCAGTTGAGATAAGGCTAAAGGACTTCCAATAGAAGTCCAGAAACTGACCCTAAGAAATATGGTCAATTGATTTTTGACAAAGGTGTCGATAATTTAATAGGAAAGCACAATATTTTGAACAAATAGTGCTGCAAATAATGTATATTCGTATGCAACATGGTGAACTACAACCCTGACTTCACACAATATGCACAAATTAACTTGAAATAGATAATAGAACCAAACGTTAAAACCACCAATATTTTGAATATAGAAGCATTTTAAGCAAGTATTTATTAATAAGCTATTAGAAACTTGAACTACAGAATTTTTAAAAAACAATAAGTGAGATTTCATCAAAATTAAAATGTTTGCTCTTCAAACCACCCAAGAAACTGAAAAGGCAAACCACAGACTGGTTTTTCACAAAATAGTTGAAAAAGCAAATATAAAAGCCTTGTATCCAGAATATTTGCAGAACTCTCACACTCAGTAATAAGATGTCAAACAAAACATTTAAGAAATGGGCAAAACATGTGAACAGATGCTATACTGAAGAAGGTAAACATGGGGTTAATAAGCATATGAAAAGATGCTCAACTTCATTCAACTTTAGAAGAATGCAAATTAAAACTACAATGAGATACCACTTCATGCCCATTAGAATGGTTGAAATTTAAAAGACTGAAGATACCAAGTATTACTAAGGATGTGAAGAAATTAGAATTTTCATACGTTGCTAGCAGAAATGCAAAGTGAGACAGGCAATTTGGAAAAGGGTTCAGCAGTTTTTTGTAAAGCTCAGGACACGTTGTCACATGACTTAATAATTTCCATCTTCGGTATTTATCTAAGAAAAGTGAAAACGTACACCCACATAAAGGCTTGCACATGAATATTCATGCAGCTTTATTCAAAATAGCTGTAAAAAATGCTCTTCAACTGATGCATACATACACACGTTGTGGTATATCTGTACTAAGGAATACTAGTCTGCAATAAAACAGAGTAACAATATTTACCAATGCCACACTACAGCATGGATAAATCTCTGTATCATTATGTTAAGTGAAGGAAGTCAGACACAAAACCAATACCAAATGAAAGAATTCTAGAAGGGTCAAAGCTAGAGAGCAAAAGGAGAACTGCGTGATGGGTGCTGTGGAGGGGGTGTGAAGTTACTGGAAGGCAAGAGTAACTTTTGGAGCTGTTACAAATGTCACATGTCCTGATTGTGATGGTAACAAAATTTATAGATTTATATACCTTGAAATGATGCATTTATTGCATATTAAACATATTGTAATGTAATGAAACTAAAATAAATGGTTATTTTTGGTTTGCCAGTGAAATTGGGCAACCAATGGAATCAAACAACAAAAATAAGTCAGTGGAAGAAGGAAAAGAGCAGTAAAATATAATCAATCAAGAATAAAGCGACAAAGATAGAACCAAGAACATATGGGATACATTGAAAACAAAAAGATAGTAGGCAAATCAAATCAAGTATAACTTTATGTATAAATGGTCTAAGTGCTCTAATTAAGTCGGCGACAGGATGGATGAAAAGAAAGACGTAATTGTATTCTGTTTATAAGACATACAATTTAAATACAAAGAGCCAGATAAATTAATAAAAAGTAAAAACGAGTCGAAGATGCACAATGAAAACACGAGTGGCTGCATTCAAAGCGGACTTTAAGACAAGAAGTAGTATCAGATAAAAGGAGGAACATTTTAAAATGAAAAATAAATTCATTCAAAAACAGTAGTTTTTAAAGTGCACGCAGAGAGAGAGAAAAAGTGCTTTAAATACCCGAAGCAAAAAAACAACAGAATTAAGAAAGAAAATAGATCCACAATTACAGAGGGAGGTTTTAATAGTCCTCTCTTGGAAATTAATAGATCAAAAATATGAAAATAACAGTAGAAAAATGAGTGAGGTAAAGAAGATGTGACTAGCTCTGTCAACCCACTTCGACTAATTGGCACTTGTGGAACACTGCAAACCCAAACTGTGGGATACGCACGATTTTAAGCGCTCACAGGATAAACTTCCAAATTCACCATAAGCTGAGCCTTGAAACATGTCTCAGTGAAGTTCAAAAGACTGAAATTGTACAAATTATATTTTCTAATCACAAGGGAATTGAAATAGAAATCAATAAAAAAATTGTTACATAAAACACTCATATATTTGAAAATTAAATAACTCACTTCTATGTAATTCATGGGTTAGAGAGGGGAACCACAAGGATTATTAGGAAAAAAAAATGATAATGAATACCAGACATATAAAATTGTAGAAGATACAGATAACAGTAGCTTAGAAGGAAATTTATAGATTTATATTTTAAGTTTAAAAAATAAGAGATTCATGATTTCAGTCATATATAATTCTGCCTTAAGGAGTTATGTGGTAAAGCGAATTAAACCAGGGGAAGTAGAAAAAAATGAAAATAAAAATGAAAATAAAAATAAAGCAAAATGTATTAAAACTGCATACAGAACTCCTATCAAAGGCATCAAAAATAATCTGGTAGGTAACTAGTAGGTAAGCTAATCAGTTTTTAGCCCAATGGTTGGGGAATATTGCTGGACCCAATAAGGTCAATCTTTGCAATAGCAGAATGTAAAGGCTGCGATTATATATTCTGTAAAACATCCCCACATTTGACTACTGTCAACGTGGACCTAGATGTGCAAAAGCATTGTTTACTAATGAACAAATGAATTACTGAATTAAAAAGAAAAGAATAAAGATTTCAGGAGAAATAGATAAAAGAGAAAATAGAAGAATATAAATATTCAGAAGGTGATTATTTGAAAAGATTATTACATGTGATAAACTTCTAACTAGATCAATAGATAACAAACAAAGAAAAAACAAATTATCAGGAACAAAGGGACTCAGCCATACATTAAAAGGATAACAAATAATAGAAACAACTTCATATCAATAATCTCACAACTTAGCTAAAGTGGAAAAATACATAAAAAGCCTAACTTAGCAAAATTCACAAAAGAAGAAATGAAAAATCTGGGGGGAAGACTTCAACCACAATGAAAGATTTCAGAATCTCGGGGGAGACTTCAACCACAGTGAAAGATTTCAGAACCTGGGGGGAGACTTCAACCACAATGAAAGATTTCAGAATCTGGGGCGGGGGAGGGGGGAGACTTCAACCACAGTGAAAGATTTCAGAATCTGGGTGGGGAGACTTCAACCACAATGAAAGATTTCAGAATCTGGGTGGGGAGACTTCAACCACAATGAAAGATTTGAGAACCTGGGTAGCGGGGGGAGACTTCAACCACAAAGAAAGATTTCAGAACCTCGGTGTGGCGGGGGGGGGAGATTTCAACCACAATGAAAGATTTCAGAATCTCAGGGGGAGACTTCAACCACAGTGAAAGATTTCAGAATCTGGGGGGAGACTTCAACCACAATTAAAGATTTCAGAATCTGGGGGGAGGGGGGAGACTTCAACCACAATGAAACATTTCAGAATCAAGGGCGGGGGAGGGGGGAGACTTCAACCACAGTGAAAGATTTCAGAATCTGGGGGGAGACTTCAACCTCAATGAAAGATTTCAGAATATGGGGGGAGACTTCAACCAGAATGAAAGATTTCAGAACCTGGGTAGCAGGGGGAGACTTCAAAGACAATGAAAGATTTCAGAACCTGGGTGTGGGGGGGGGAGACTTCAACCACAGTGAAAGATTTCAGAATCTCAGGGGGAGACTTCAACCACAATGAAAGATTTCAGAACCTGGGTAGCGGGGGGAGACTTTAATCACAATGAAAGATTTCAGAACCTGGGTGTGAGGGGGGGAGACTTCAATCACAATGAAAGACTTCAGAATCTCAGGGGGAGACTTCAACCACAATGAAAGATTTCCGAATCTGGGGGGAGACTTCAACCACAATGAAAGATTTCAGAACCTGGGTGGCGGGGGGAGACTTCAACCACAATGAAAGATTTCAGAATCTCAGGGGGAGACTTCAACCACAATGAAAGATTTCAGAATCTGGGGGGAGACTTCAATCACAAAGAAAGATTTCAGAATCTTGAGGGGGAGACTTCAGCCACAATGAAAGATTTCAGAATCTGGGGGGAGACTTCAACCACAATGAAAGATTTCAGAACCTGGGTAGCGGGGGGAGACTTCAACCACAATGAAAGATTTCAGAATCTTGCATGGGAGACTTCAACCACAATGAAAGATTTCAGAATCTGGGCGGGGGAGTGGGGAGACTTCAACCACAATGAAAGATTTCAGAATCTCAGGGGGAAACTTCAACCACAATGAAAGATTTCAGAACCTGGGTGTGGGCGGGGAGACTTCAACCACCATGAAAGATTTCAGAACCTGGGTAGCGGGGGGAGACTTCAACCAGAATGAAAGATTTCAGAATCTTGGGTGGGAGACTTCAACCACAATGAAAGATTTCAGAACCTGGGTAGCGGGGGGAGTCTTCAACCACAATGAAAGATTTCAGAACCTCGGTGTGGTGGGGGGAGACTTCAACCACAATGAAAGATTTCAGAATCTCAGGGGGAGACTTCAACCACAATGAAAGATTTCAGAATCTCAGGGGGAGACTTCAACCACAATGAAAGATTTCAGAATCTCAGGGGGAGACTTCAATCACAGTGAAAGATTTCAGAATCTGGGGGGAGACTTCAACCACAATGAAAAATTTCAGAACCTGGGTGTGGGGGGGGAGACTTCAACCACAATGAAAGATTTCAGAATCTTGCATGGGAGACTTCAACCACAATGAAAGATTTCAGAATCTGGGCGGGGGAGTGGGGAGACTTCAACCACAATGAAAGATTTCAGAATCTCAGGGGGAGACTTCAACCACAATGAAAGATTTCAGAACCTGGGTGTGGGCGGGGAGACTTCAACCACCTTGAAAGATTTCAGAACCTGGGTAGCGGGGGGAGACTTCAACCAGAATGAAAGATTTCAGAATCTTGGGTGGGAGACTTCAACCACAATGAAAGATTTCAGAACCTGGGTAGCGGGGGGAGTCTTCAACCACAATGAAAGATTTCAGAACCTCGGTGTGGTGGGGGGAGACTTCAACCACAATGAAAGATTTCAGAATCTCAGGGGGAGACTTCAACCACAATGAAAGATTTCAGAATCTCAGGGGGAGACTTCAACCACAATGAAAGATTTCAGAATCTCATGGGGAGACTTCAATCACAGTGAAAGATTTCAGAATCTGGGGGGAGACTTCAACCACAATGAAAAATTTCAGAACCTGGGTGTGGGGGGGGGAGACTTCAACCACAATGAAAGATTTCAGAATCTGGGTCGGGAGGGGAGACTTCAACCACAATGAAAGATTTCAGAATCTGGGGGGAGACTTCAACCACAATGAAAGATTTCAGAATCTCAGGGGGAGACTTCAAACACAATGAAAGATTTCAGAATCTCAGGGGGAGACTTCAACCACAATGAAAGATTTCAGAATCTCAGGGAGAGACTTCAACCACAGTGAAAGATTTCAGAATCTGGGGGGAAACTTCAACCACAATGGAAGATTTCAGAATCTGGGGCGGGTGAAGGGGGAGACTTCAATCACAATGAAAGATTTCAGAACCTGGGTAGCGGGGGGAGACTTCAACCACAATGAAAGATTTCAGAAAGTTATACTTTTTTGGGAATTTGGTCACAGATTTAAGGAAAAAAATACCAATCATAATCCCAGCAATTTGGGAGGCTGAGACGGGCGGATCACGAGGTCAGGAGTTGAAGACCGGCCTGACCAACATGGTGAAACCCCATCTCTACTAAAAAAAAATACAAAAATTAGCCAGGCATGGTGGCACATCCCTGCAATCCCAGCTACTCAGGAGGCCGAGGCAGGAGAATCGCTTGAACCCGGAAGGCGGAGGCTGGAGTGAGCCAAGATCGTGCCACTGGACTCCAGCCTGGGCGACAGAGTGAGACTTCCTCTAAAAAAAAAAAGAAAAAAGAAAAAAGAAATCTTTTCAAAGAATGAACAATTACACACTTCCTCATAGATTTAAGATTACACACTTAATCTATAAGGCCAGCACAATCCTGGTACCTAAACCTGGTGAAGATATTATAAGGAAATGAAGTTGGAGCAGCATCCCTAATGAACATAGATTAGAAAATGCTTAACAAAAATACTAGCAAATTAGATATTCCAATATTTATAAGAATAATACGTCATAACTAAGAACTTAAAAATCAATCAACACAATCACAACTGTAAGCAAATTTAGCAGCCTTACGAGTTACATTTATAAACACATTCAATCGTACTTCTATACATTAGGAAAAAGAATAAATGAAAATTTAAAAATATTATTTACATTTGAAAACGTAACATGCTTCAGAATACATTTAAAGAGAGATATGCAAGACCTCTACAATCAAAATGACAACATTATTAACAGTGAAAGAAGACACAAATAAAAGGAAAATACATCATGTTCATATTGGAAGACTCGATGTTTATAAGATGTTAGTTCCCCCCAAATAGATTTATAGCTTAAAATCAATCTCAACAGAAGTCCAAGCAGAATCTCTTTGGAGGAATTTACAAGCAGATTCATAAAAAAATGGAAATGACTTAGAACAGCCAAAGCAAACTTTCAAAGAAAGACAGAAGTTGCAGGACTTCAGTACCTTAGTCCAGGCTTACTATAAATCACCAGGAATCGAGACAGCGCAGTGTCAGTGTGCAGAAAGAAAAGCCAACGGGCAGAATAAGATGTCCAGAAATGGATACAGAACTTCTTGGTCAATAGATGTGAAACAAAGATCCTGGTGAAATTCAGTGGGGAAGGGAGATGGTGCTGGAGCAGGTGAGTTATCATTAGAAATATCTTATGCCTGCCTCACACTATACACAAAAAGTAATTCAAGATTCATCACAGACTTATGCATAAGCAGCAAAACCATTAAACTTCTAGAAGAGAACATAGAAGAATAATTCATCATCTTGAGATAGGCATATGTTTCTTAGATGAGACGCAGAAAGCCTAACCACAGAAAACTGATAAAATTGGTCTTTATCATAATTAAAGCATCTGCTCGACAAAAGACACCTCTAAGAAAATGAAAAAGCAAGACATGGGAAGAAAATATTCACAGTGCACATATCTGACAAAGGACACAGATCCAAAATAGATAGGAAAAAAATAGCTCCTACAATTCCAGAAGAAGAAAACAGTCCAAACAAATTGACAAAAATGTATAGAAACACTTCACAAAAGAAAATACACAAATAGCCAAAAGGCACATGCCAAGTTGCTGGCGTCATTAATCACGGGGGGACACACACATGCCAGGTGTTTCCCACTAGGATGGTTGAAATTGAAAAGACTGGCAGCGTGCAGCGTGGGCAAAATTACCGAGGAGCTGGAACAGGCACCCCTGCGTGGTTCCTGGCGCAATCACTTTGGAAGATGTTTTGTTGTTTCTCACAGTGTAACACACGTCTCTACTTCATGATTCTCAAATTCTACTCCTAGGTGTGGGCGGAGGATTACCTAGGTGCCAAGGCAAGAGACTGAGGCACAAACTGTTTCAGTATAATAAAGAAAATAATTAGAATAAGAATAGTCATAATACAAATTAGATATAGAGATGACCATGAAGAATTATCAATCATTATAAACATTATTAATCATTAGCTTTTAATATTACTCTTTGTTGCATCACTAATATAACCTAGGAATAACCGGCGGGTATAGGGTCAGGTGCTGAAGGGACATTGTGAGAAGTGACCTAGAAGGCAAGAGGTGAGCCTTCTGTCACGCCCGCATAAGGGCCGCTTGAGGGCTCCTTGGTCAAGCAGTAACTCAGTGCCTGGGAAGCCACCCTTTACTTAGCAGACTGCGAAAGGCAGTCTCCTTTCTTTGAAGGAGTCAGGGAACACTCTGCTCCACCAGCTTCTTGTGGAAGGCTGGATATTATCCAGGCCTGCCCGCAGTCATCCGGAGGCCTAACCCCCTCCCCGTGGTGCTTCAATGGTCACGCTCCTTGTCCACTTTCATGCTCCTCCCGTACTCCTGGTTCCTCTTTGAAGTTCGTAGTAGATAGCAGTAGAAGAAATAGTGAAAGTCTTAAAGTCTTTGATCTTTCTTATAAGTGCATAGAAGAAAACGCTGACGTATGCTGCCTTCTCTCTCTGCTTCGGCTACCTAAAAAGGAAGGGCCCCCTATCCTGTAATCACGTGACTTGCTTCACCTTGTCAATCACTCAGAAGATTCACCCTTCTTACCCTGCCCCCTTGTCTTGTATGCAATAAATATCAACGCGCCCAGCCCTTTGGGGCCACTACCAGTCTCCGCGTCTTGATGGTAGTGGTCCCCCGGGGCCCAGCTGTTTTCTCTTTATCTCTTTGTCTTGTGTCTTTATTACAGTCTCTCGTCTCCGCACACGGGGAGAACACCCACTAAGCCCCGTAGGGCTGGACCCTACACCTAGGTATGTATTTGGATAAAATGAAAGCAGGTTCACAGAAACATCGGCATAAAAATATTCATAGCAGCTTTTTCATAAGAGTCTCAGACTGGAAACAATTTAAACACTCAACAGGTGACTTTGTTTTATAAACAAACTGTGGACTCTTCATCCACGGGAATATCACTCAGCAATACAAATCCAGCCACTTAGACCTGATCACACAGAGGCGTCTCAGAAGCATTACACCGAGTAAAAGCAGCTACTGAAATCAAGCACACACCCTAACCCTGTTCCATTTCTATAAAGTTTCTGGACAGGCGAGGCCAGTCAATGGAGATGGGCAGCAGGGCAATGGGTACCGCAGGAGGTGGCACAAGGAAGCTTTCAGGGAGGTGACATCTTCCTGATTTTGGTTGTGACGTGTGCTACTGAGGTTCAGTTGTGTCAAAACTCACTGGATTGGACTTTTAAGAACTGTGCTCGTCACTATGAGAAACGAGCCCTCAGTTACGTAACTAATACAACTAACTGAAAAATTATGCATTAATGCTAAAACTCGATTCCTACCAACCCTTAAAAACAGGGCAGTGACTCTGCCTACACCTCTTGGCTTAGGTGTAGCTGCTGTCACCACGGTGGATACCACCTGCGCCATCACCCAGGCCAGGGAAGTGGGCATTAGACAGACAGGGATAGCACTAGGAATAGGGTTAGGGATAGAGATGGAGGTAAGGATAGGAATGGGAGGGAGACAATGATGGAGCTAGAGAAAAGGACAGGAATAAGGATAGAAAGAGACAGCGACATAGAGATAGAGGTATGGGGAGGTAGATAAAGAGATAAATAGACACAGAGAAAACAGAGTATTTATCCTGAGAACTGGCTGATGTGATTATGCATGTTGCGAACTCCCACACTCCGGCCTCTGTCAACTGGAGCTTCTGGAAGCATAGATGATGTCTAAGCCTCCTGTGAGGTTTAGAGATAATCTATGTTCATGCGAGCACCTCCCACACAGTCAGCATCCCACCGACGGCTTTATGCGCTCATGTCCCCCCAGGCCCAGGGACACCTCCGAACCCAGTGTCCTCACACATCAGAGGCCCTGTAATCAGGGCACTGACACAAACGCACTTTCAGAGGGAAGGTAAATGTGAAGATAGGCTCTGCTTCCTCCTGCACTGAAAATTAGGGGCACTGGCCTTGCGGGGAAGGCTGGGGGAAGCAACACCGCACAGCTGCCATGCCTGCTCTCATCCCCGCAGCCTGCTGTCCCCAAATGTGCTCGATTTCAGAGCATAATGGGCAGAAGGTGTTTCATTTTCCAGAACCCAAGGAAAAAATGTAATATTGAAACAGCGCCGGGGACGGGGTTAAGAAAGAGATCCCTCTGCCGCCACGTGGTGCTGGGTTTGATTTCATTTCCATATGAACTTGTGTCCTTCTCCCAACCTTATTTCCTGCTAATCGGAGGAGCCAGCAGGACCACCCTAGCTTTGCTGGGTTGTGCCGTTACTTTTAATGGCAATATATTCCTATCAGCCAGAAGTCAACTGGAGTTGGGAGGGCACGTCAGGCAAGTGACAAGGGATGGGAGAAGCGTGGGCCCTTCCCCTGCAGGTGGATGACTCCCCAGAAATGCTATTTTCTATTTTCTTTGACATCATTGTCCCCATCAGCTTCCCCCTCACCCATGGAAATTGCCAGTCTCAGGGATGGGCAGCAGCTCTGGGGGCGGCTCTTTGCTTATTCTGCAGGGCCTCAGGGTCAGCAGAGGAGGCATGATTGTCTTTAGAACACCTTAATGGGGTGATGGGAAAGAGATACTGGGCCCAGGACCCTGCGCATCCACCAGTGGCTGCCTCGGAGAGAGGAGGCTGGTTCCAGCCACAGGAGCCCACCAGCGTGTGGTCCTGCCTGTTGCAGACCCGCCCAGGAGGCCAGGAGCAGGCTGGCCAGGAGACCACTGTTTGAGGAAAGACCACTGCGGGGGAAAAGGTGCAAGCAACGCCTTTTGTCATCCAAAAGAAATAAGAGTGATGCTTCTCCCAGGCTCACGTCAGGATGCCTGGCTGTGGTCCTCACAGGCGTGGACACCATGGGACACTCATCCTTGGGGGCCCCCGAGGGAGGAGACACAAGTCAGCATCAGGTTTGTGTGGATGACTGGGACCAGGAGTGGGAGGGACACCTGAACGGGGTGGGGACAGTGTCCACCCTGCAGTGTCTCCTGGCCAGGACCACCTACTCAAGGGGCAGAGTGGGGCTGCTTAGACAGGGCCTGGCACTGCCTGGATTCACCCTCATCACCCACCTCTCTTGGCTACCGGCCAGATACCCTGGCCAGACCCAGCTGGAGCGAGTGCACGGCGGGCATGCACCAGGGTGGGCTTCTCCTGTGCCCCACCAGGTGCCACGCCATGGGAGGTGCCCACATCAGGGGAACCGAGAAAGTGGGAGGGATGCAGGTCTCATGTGCCACACCATGGGAGATGCCCACATCAGGGGAACCGAGAGGGTGAGAGGGATGCGGGTCTCATGTGCCACACCATGGGAGATGCCCACATCAGGGGAACCGAGAGGGTGAGAGGGATGCGGGTCTCATGTGCCATGCCATGGGAGGTGCCCACATCAGGGGAACGGAGAGGGTGAGAGGGATGCGGGTCTCATGTGCCATGCCATGGGAGGTGCCCACATCAGGGGAACGGAGAGGGTGAGAGGGGTGCAGGTCTCACGTGCCACACCATGGGAGGTGCCCACATCAGAGGAACTGAGAGGGTGAGGAGGATGCGGGGACTCTGTGTGCAGCTTTTCCCACTAAATTGTCCCAAATCAAAAGTTTATTTAAAACACGGAATGTAAGGAAAGAAAGCAAAGACAGTGAAGACAGTGGGGCTTGGAGCGCCGCTGTGAGTGGGGACAGAGAACCTGGAGCTAAAGGGGGTGTGCGGGGCCACGGGAGGGGCTTTGTCTCACAGGGTGGGTGGTATTCACTTATGATTCACTTACGAGTTTTCCATCATGATGGGAGTGAGGCAACAGAGAGCAGAGAGAGAAAAACAAACTAAAACACCCCTTCGCCATCTTCACTCTTGTCTGGGAGAGGCAGTTCTATAGGCTGAAAAACCCCAGATCAGAGAACGGCGAAAATGCAGTGGAAGGCTTCATGACCTGCAGGGATGGATGCGGCCTTGGCCTCCCACGACTAAAGGCAGGAGGTCAGCAGAATCATCTTGTTTATTAGTAACGGAATGTGACCTGCATTTCTAGCAGTACAATGTATTCATAAACTGTTCCATAGACTTAAATATATATAGTATTTTCTATACTCACTTTATATTACAAAAGCAAAATGTATTTAAAACAACAAACACAAGGTAACGTCTTCCCCCAGGGTCCCTCGGTTGTACCCAGGGGATGGGTGTCGAAGCCTGAGGAGGCTACCTCTCTGCTTCTATTATGGACTGAGTGCGTCCCCCAAATTCACATGTTGAAACCCTATCCACCAAGGCATGGAATAGGGAGCTGGGTCTGTTATGGACTGAGTGTCCCCCACATTTAAATGTTGAAACCCTACCCACCGAGGACATGGTATAGGGAGCTGGGCCTTTGGGAGGTGACAGGTCGTGAGGGTGGGTCCCCCACGCGTGGGATTCATGCCTGTCTCAGTCGGTTCGGGCGATTATAACAACATATCCCGGGCTGGGGAACTTAAGTGATAAACATTTATTTCTTACCGTTCTGGAGCCTCAGAAGTCCAAGATCAGGGTGCCAGCGTATCACAGTTCTTCAGAGAACCAGGGCCAGTGGGGCGTGTATAGAGATGTATAGAAGGAGATTTATCATAAGGAATTGGCTCACACAATTATGCAGAGTCTGACCTCTGCAAGTTGGAGAATCAGAAAAGGCGTGGGCCAGGAGCGCCAATGCTGAGCAGAAGACAGAGAGGAGGATTCTCCCTGCCTCTACCTTTGTGTTCTACTGGGGCCCTCAGAGCCTTGGAGGGTACCTGCCTACACGGGGGAAGGTGGGTCTTCACCCAGTCTATGGATTTAACTGCTAATCGTTTCCAGAAACAGCCTCACAGATACACCCAGAAATAATGTCTTACCAGCTGTCTGGGCACCCCGTGGCTAAGCCAGGTTGACACACAAAAGTGATCATCACAACCAGCACGTGGGTTCAGGTGAAAGTCCTCTTTTGGTTGCACGCAGATGATTTTCAGCCATCAAAGCCAGCGCGTGGGTTCAGGTGAAAGTCCTCTTTTGGTTGCACACAGCTGATTTCACCTTTGGTTGTTGCATTGTGAAAATGAGCAAGAGTTCTTTCTGGAGTCCCTTTGCTGAGGGCGCTAATCCCGTTTACACTGGAGGTTAGGATTTCAGCACCACAGAAATTTGGGGGTGACACGGCTCAGGGCTGCAGGCCAGGCCCCGGAAGCAGGGAGGAGGCTTGGTGGGAGCGTTTAGGAGCGCTGTTATCTCACGTGCTCGGCAGACTTTTGGAGGATGAGAGGCTGTCCCATCGTTGGGGGGAAGGCACTTCGTGGGTGGTCCTTTTCAGTGCGTGGCTCTCCGTGTGGCGCCACTCTGCAGACCCTCCAGAAAGCACCTGCCCAGCGGGAGGCTCCGCAGAAGGTGCCTCTGCTGTGAGGAGGCCAGAAACTCCCAGCACCGCGGTAGGGACGTCGTTGAATTGAACCTTTCTAGATGAGGCTGGTCCCTCAGCAAAAAGGTCCCATTTCAGCACAGTAGGTTTCCTTTTCCCATTTGGAAGCCTGAGATCAGAGGACTTGTGACAGAATAATTCCTGTGATGGAAAGTAGCATCTTCCTGACAGTGGGTCTGCCGGCACGGACGGGGCCCCCAGGACCGGGACTTCTGAAAAGTGAAGGCGGCCGGACAATACGGGCAGTGGCCACAGTGCACGGACACTGTGCTGCGTGCTTTCAAGACGCAGTGAAGTGCAGTGCGAGAGAGGCCCTGAGCCACGGTGCCAGCGATGGGCATGGACCCAGGGTGCACCCAGGCAGCAGGCCTGACCCGCAGCTCCGTGTCACACCTGGAAACGCCGTGAAGGGGCCAGAGGAGGCTGTCTGTGGCCCAAGCCCTTGTGGGCTCTCAGTTTCCCTCCATTTCCACCTCCTCCCCTCCCGAGACCCTGGCATTCACCCCAGCTCTCCACAGCAGGACACACAAAATCCGCTCTTGCCTTGTATACTCCAGCCAGAAAGTGACACAGGTCCTGCTCCTCATGGCCCATCAGTGGGATCAGTCAAAAGGCTCCCCTGCCACTCCCCAGCAATGTTCCTGTCCACACAGCCTGCCACTCCCCAGCAACGTTCCCCAACCAGCCCTGAGACCTCCTCCTGGCAGTCCCAGGGCACCTCCGCCCACCAAGCCCAAACAGGAGCTGGGCCTCTTCCTCCCGTGTATTCTGCACTCCATCCACATGGGCTTGGGCCACGGGCAGGCTCCTCTGGCCCCTTCACGGCGTTTCCAGGTGTGACACGGAGCTGCGGGTCAGGCCTGCTGCCTGGGTGCACCCTGGGTCCACGCCCATCGCCGGCACCGTGGCTCAAGGCCTCTCTCGCACTGGCCTTCACAGCGTCTTGAAAGCACGCAGCACAGTGTCCTTGCACTGTGGCCACTGCCCGTATTGTCCGGCCGCCTTCACTTTTCAGAAGTCCCGGTCCTGGGGGCCCCGTCCGTGCCGGCAGACCCACTGTCAGGAAGATGCTACTTTCCATCACAGGAATTATTCTGTCACAAGTCCTCTGATCTCAGGCTTCCAAATGGGAAAAGGAAACCTATTGTGCTGAAATGGGATCTTTTTGCTGAGGGACCAGCCTCATCTAGAAAGGTTCAATTCAACGACGTCCCTACCGCGGTGCTGGGAGTTTCTGGCCTCCTCACAGCAGAGGCACCTTCTGCGGAGCCTCCCGCTGGGCAGGTGCTTTCTGGAGGGTCTGCAGAGTGGTGCCACACGGAGAGCCACGCACTGAAAAGGACCACCCACGAAGTGCCTTCCCCCCAACGGTGGGACAGCCTCTCATCCTCCAAAGGTCTGCCGAGCACGTGAGATAACAGCGCTCCTAAACGCTCCCACCAAGCCTCCTCCCTGCTTCCAGGGCCTGGCCTGCAGCCCTGAGCCGTATCACCCCCAACCCAAGGCACCGGGGCAGTGCCCACCAAGGCTACCAGACGGAATCCCCACCTGGGATAATGGGTGAGGAATGTCCTCTGGGTCCTCCTTCTTCCTGAGGGAAAGGAGACCTGGATCAGTGGTTTTTTATCTGGAGATTGGGGATCCTGGGGAGCCCAGGAAAGTAGGCCGTGGGTCTCCACAGTCTCCTCCCACAACCTACAAGAGCACTTGGAAACCGAAGCTTTGGCCACGAGCAGAGGGCACAGGCACCAGCGCTGGGCGGTTTGCATGGGATTCTATTGCTCAGGGCTGGGTGTTTTGGGGGGATTCTATCAGCTCAGGGCTGGGTGTTTTGGGGGGATTCTATCAGCTCAGGGCTGGGTGTTTTGGGGGGATTCTATCAGCTCCAGCGCTGGGTGGTTTGCATGGAATTCCGTCAGCTCAGGGCTGGGTGTTTTGGGGGGATTCTGTCGGCTCAGAGCTGGGTGTTTTGGGGGGATTCTATCAGCTCAGGGCTGGGTGTTTTGGGGGGATTCTATCGGCTCAGGGCTGGGTGTTTTGGGGGGATTCTGTCGGCTCGGAGCTGGGTGTTTTGGGGGGATTCTATCAGCTCAGGGCTGGGTGTTTTGGGGGGATTCTATCGGCTCAGGGCTGGGTGTTTTGGGGGAATTCCATCAGCTCAGCGCTGCTGCACCAGGTTTGTCGGACTCTGCAGAGGGTGCGGCTCGGAGCTAGGTACATCTCCTCAGTAGACAAAAATTGAAGTTAATCATTACTAAATAATTCACGGAGGCTGTGTGGGTTTTTCTGTTTGTTAGTTCTGCTTTTGGTTTTTAAAATGGAGCCTGTGAGTAGAGACAACCACCCCACTGTGTCTACCTGGTGTGTAGCATGGGTGCCCATGGGGTCTGTGTGGCCTGTGGCGTGGGTATCAATATCCCCACAGACATTGACAGAAACTGCATCAGGAAAAGCAGTGCCTCCTCCAAGGTCCCACAGCTGCTACTTAGTGGAAGGTGGCCTCGAATACAGGCCCAGTTTCACCCAGAAGAGTAAACATCCCCACTGGTTTGCCTCAGGTCACACCTTGTGTGATGTGGGTTCGCCACAGCAGACACCTTCAGCTTGTATGGTAGCAAGTATTTGACTTATGCCACTGAATTAGGAAAACAGGTGGCAAGTGTGCTGTCCTCCAGGGCAGGTGACGCCCCTCTGGTCTGGGGCCAGTGCCCTCCCCGGTGTGGGCAGCAGCCGGGTGGTTCTCTCGATAGCACAGAGAGGGCTCGGCGGGGCCAGCAGAGAGAACTGGTGGAGGAACGCGTCTCCCTACGACGCACTTTATTAACTGGACGCTTGCTTCGTGCCAGCATGGAGGAGCACTTTTCGGGGAAGCAGAGGCGAGTTCATCGGGAAAGGAGAGCATTATCGGCGTAAAGGTCTTCTGTGGAGGACTAGTTAGTGGCAGGGCACTCAGCTCTTCCAGGAACAGCACGAGATTGCAGCTTGAAAAATGGCCACCGAGGAATGGGTGGTCCACTTAGGCCTCTGCGGAGCCGGGCACAATATTAATGACATCATTAACTTCACTGTGAATTTCCATACCCGGTAGGCCCTTGTGCACACTTATTAATACGGCTCCACTCGAGAAGGCCTCTGGGTGTTCCGTGTGCAGAATAACAATCGCTCAGGTGGCCAGGACGGGGTGCATGTCCAGGTGGAAGACACTGGACGGATGGAGCCGCCACTCCTGGGCAGGGCACCTGGCCGGGAGGAGACCCCGAGAGGCAGGCCCTGCTCTGGAAGCGTTTCCATTCCTCATGCCCACAGCAAGGCAGTGGACGGGAGCCAGCGCAGATCCGGGGCCTGAGAGGTGCCATGGGTTCGTCGGCCTCTGCCCCGTGACCGTGAGCAAGTGGGCATGTACCTCAGTTTCCCCTTAGCGTACGAGGAGTACAGGGTTATCCTGAGGTTCAAGGCTGCAGCCACAGCCTCGTCACACACCACTCACTCATGCCGGGAGCTACCACTGGGTGATTTAATGCTGGACACCCTGATGACCCTGTAGGGTAGGGAGGAAATTATTTTTCTTTTACAGTTAGGGAAACAGAGGCACGGGAAGATAAAGCCACTCACCCACAGAGACACAAGCATGGAACAGGGGACAAGATTCAAGCTTCCAGTGCAGAGTCACTGTCTGTGTCCCCCAGTGCCACACTGCACCATCTCCATGTATCAAGATGGGAACGTTTCCCAGAAAGTAAAACTCCAGCACTGGTGCCCCCCATAACCCAGGAGCCCACAGACAGTGGCCGGGAGCAGGTGCCCACCCAGGATGTCAGTGGCCCTGGGCAGGTCATCCAGCTTCTCTAAGCCCCAGGTTCCTTGTTTGTCAAGCACGGAGGGTGGTCCAGCTGCTGCTACAGGGTTCCTTCGGGAGGCAATGAGGTGAGGTCCATCCCCGGAAAGCACTCTGGGCACGCTCAACACTGAGGGCCCCTTTCACAAGGTGGCTGTAGGCGGGGCCACAGGACGAGAAGGCGGCCAGGCTGTGCTTGGGTGTGTTGATGATTCCGCACAGGTGGAGGGTGGATGTCCCCAGGCAGTGGCAAGGACTTGGGAGAGAAATTCATGTCCCAGATCAGGGGAGCCCCAACCAGGGGAGCCCCAACCAGAGGAGCCCAGCTTCGGGGCAGCACAGGGCTGTGCAGCCTCTGGAGCTGTGTGCCATCGTGGACCCTGTACCCAGAGCCTACCAGAGTAGGAGAGACCCCGGAAGCTCCCTAGGCACCCGGGGGGACTCTCATCCGATGATCCCTGTTTCTGAGAGCTTGGCCATTCACACATGGCGCCTGGCCCCTGGAGGTGCAGGCGTTGACGATGTCTGGGTCCTGTCTGGGCCACCTGGTGCTGCTCTGAGAGCCAAGACCCCTTCCACTGTGGGGCCCTTTGCTGTCCTCCAACGGGAGCCCCTCAGAAGGAACAGGCTTCATCGCGAGGGGAGACGGTGCACTGTGGAAGGCTAACTGATTCTAATGCTTTTCAGAACATGAAGGATTAAAATTCTAACACTGCCTGTAAAAAACCACGCGCCTCCAGTAGAAAATAACATCTCACAATTTCCATCTCAGGCCGAGGATGGTGCATTATAGGAAATGATACAAATTGAATTAATTTTCATTCTCATTACAGGGATGGGGTTACAAGCTGCCGTTCTTCTGGACACGGGGTCCTTGGGAGTCAAAGCGGCCCCAGCACAGAACTGTTTTCTCCCAGGACCCTGACGTCCATCTTGCAGGAGATCTGGGGGTGGGGGGCACCCAGGGAGGGGCAGAGCGGGTGGCAGGAACAAACCCACAGGGGGTCAAGGGGAGCGCCTGGCCTGGGACCCTGTTACCTGCAGACTGCTGGTAGAACTGGCTTCCCTGCGGGCCCAGCACAGGAGGGTGTAGGGATGGCCCTGGACCATCCGTCTGCAGACACAGACATGCAAGATGGACCTGCTGTTTCACTCCACTGACTGGAAGAGAAGATGAAGCACCAGCCCCAACCCAGCCATCACAAAAGTACCCCCAAGAGCTTGAAGGTTTGAACTGTGCTTGGGCAGGGGTGGAGGCCTCTGGGGCCTTGGAAGTTTGAATATCCCTTCTGTCACCTCTGGAGGCCCACATGTCACCAGGCCAGCCTAGACTCCACCATCAGCCGGTGGGGGGAGTGGACCACTTGCAGGGGATGGCCCAGCCCAGACTGGCTTCTGTTCCCCGTGGGCCCAGCAGGGCATCGGCTGTCCCCTGTTATCAGAGGAGGGTCAAAGCCAGGCAGGGCCCTCATGTCCCGGGGCGGCGTCTTCTGTCTGTGGAGCCTCCAAGGTCAGGAGGCTGGAGCCATCCTCTCCTCACCCAAAGTGGCCAGGACCCCAGGCAGCCCTGTGGGGCAGAAGCCGGGCAGGGCAGGTAATGGAGGGCCACGGCTGAGCCGGGAAAGCATCCTGAAGCCTTGCCTCAGACCCGGGAGCCCTGCTCCGGAGAAGGAGTCAGTGAGACTTGTTATACACGGTGACAGAGGCTGTTCAGGTCCTTCCTGATGGTACAGGGACCTGGTGATTTTCACCTTCTGCCTTTCGTGCTGGGGAAGAGGCTACAGGTTTGCTCTGGCCGAGGTGCGTCCACAGGCCTGAGAGTGCAACCACTGGAAGGCAGTGGAAGGCGCGGAGTGTGAAGGAACAGGCATCTGCAGGGGACTCTGGCTTCACCTGTGGGACTAATTTTTTTTAAATGCTGTTTATTGTTTGATTTGAAGCCAGCGCTGGTGGACGTGGGGTGCCAGCTCCTGAACACCTTCCAGCGGAGAGCGTCAGACCCAGATGGCGGCGGAGGAAGCTTTGGGGTTGACAAGCCCCTGCATGAAGTCGAAGGACTGTCCCCCCTCTCCCCGGGACAGCAGCCAAAGTGGCGTCTCCTCTTCTCCCGGGAGCCGCCGTGGGAGGCCGGCGCTGTCCTGGATGCAGCAGGCGGGGTGCAGGGGTCGTGCCGCTGCTGCCAGGACCTTTTGTGGCAGCATCGATTGCTCAGAGAGCGACCACACTTGGCTGCGGCCCAGGCAGCGTCTTAGGAAGGCATGTTCATTACATCAGATGGCCTCCTGCTCTGGGGAACCTTCCTCCTCCCCATCAGCCTCCACATCTTTTTGAAGCCAGTGGGAAAGGCTGAGGCTCCCTGGCTGACTCACACACTGGCTACAACGGAAATGAAATGAGAGGTTGCCCTGTGTGAGAACACCAGGATGCCGGCCTCACCCTTCGCCCCTCAGAGTTCCCACCACGCTCACCCCCTGCAATTTCAGTTCCTGGCTCCCATTCTCCCATAACGCTTCCCATAACGGATTATTTCAGTGTCTGCTCAAGCGTCCCCTCCAATCCCCTGCCCCGCACATCCTTTACCTGCTTTTCTCCAGTGCTTATATCTGCCACTGTCTCCAATAATGGTGTCCCATTCCCCCTCGCTCTGCCCCGACCCCCTCTGCTCCTGCCATGTCCCCCCTTGCCCTCCACCCCATCACCTCCCACCCCTGCCCTGTCCCCACATGCCCTCCACCCCCTGCCCACTGCCTCATGCCCTCTGCTCTCCACCCCATCCCCCCCGCCCTCGACCCCATCCCCCCTCTGTCCTCGACCCATCACCCCCTGCCCTCCGCCCCATCCCCACTCTGCCCTCCACCCCATTGCCCACTGCCCTTCACCCCATCACCCCTCTCTGCCCTTCACCCCATCGCCCCTTTCTGCCCTTCACTCACCCCTGCCCTCCACCATCCTCCCTCCTCCCTCACCCTCACCGTTTTCACTGACTTTGGATCCCACAGTTCCTCCTGAGCCTCACTCCCACACACTCACCCTCAAACACCCGGGTGCTGGAACCGGGCCTGTGTGTCTGGCAGAGGCTGAAGGAGCAACACACATCCCCAGTGGAACTGACAGCGTAGCGGAACTTCAGCCCCAGCTGGATTCCTCGTCCATGGTTGGCATCAATGGCATGGGCTGGAATTCACCTGGGTTGATTCTGGCCCATGTGGCGCAGGTGCACCTGTGCTCTTCTGCAGGCCTAAGGCCTCAGTGTATTCCCTGCCCACGGGCTTCATTCACTTGTCAGCATAGATGCAGCTTCGCAAACTGATCCCAAAGCTAATTTCTAGAAATATCGATTCTTTCAGCGACCTCTCCACTACAGCCTAAGGTATCTCACAGGGAGGGAAGTCTGTCTAGAAGTTTCGTCTTGTGGGAGGTTCCTGAAATACTGTGGACCCCTGTCCTGGCCGTGTGTCCACATTGCCCGTGATAACCAACACTCTTATCCCCTTCCCGCCTCCAGCACGCCCACACCACCTGTCCCTCTCTCCTCTCCCAGGTCTGAGAAGTGTCTAGAAGCCAGGCCGTGTGCCTGCCACATCCTGACCTGTGTCCCATCTGCCTGTCGTGGGCCTGTCCGGGGTGCAGTCAGGAAGGGTCTCCTGAGCCCTCCTGGA
This sequence comes from Homo sapiens, assembly GCF_000001405.40. NCBI lineage: Eukaryota > Metazoa > Chordata > Mammalia > Primates > Hominidae > Homo > Homo sapiens. The sequence goes on along the minus strand of NC_000022.11, from coordinate 48,895,514 downwards.
TGTCCAGGCTCCTCAGCGGTGTTTCCCACATCCACACTTTGAGGGGTGTGACTGGGCAGGACAAACCCCTGTGCTTTGAAACCAAGCAACCCAGGTTCAAACCCAACTGAAGGGCTGTGGGGTCAGGTGCCTTTCTGAGCCTGTTATCTGTAAGGGTCGGGGTGGTGGGAGTATCCCTCCTGCCTCCTACACAGAAGTGGCCAGGGCAGCTGAGATGGGAGATGTGCTGTTCCGAGTGAGGCTCTGAGAAGGAGCTGGGTGAGGAGTGACGCAGTGAATGTATGGCTGATGTCACCTTGCTGCATCTGCACACACGGCCTGGGGTCCACACCACCGCCCCCGTGGCCAGGAGTCTGAAGCCTGAGGGTGCACATGGCAGCTGCCCAGGTGGAAGGCGCCGGGGCCTGTGAGTGGGACCCCCCCAATCCTGACTGCTTCCTGGGGTCCAGAGCACAGAGAGTAGGGTCTGGTGCAGCTCACAGGGTGGGTGGGTGTCCAGCAGCCAGCTCGCCTGGTCCCCACACTTACCCAGCCTTCATGTCCATGTCCCCATGTGGCCACCTCCCAATGCCCAGCGTCTGGGGCCACCTGAAAGGGAGTGAGGAACGCATCCAGGCGGGATCGCCCTCCCTGGGATCTTCTTGGAGGGAGGAAGGAGTGTGGCCGTGTTACCGGAAGGGGACTCAGCCTGGGGAGCCGGTGGCTCCATCCCTCGATCTGTGGCATTGATTTCTGTCACAGGAATGCCGTGCCTACTGCTGTGGTCCCAGGGGAGTCTCTCTGTCAGCAAATGCAACACAAACAGGATTTGTTAACAAGCTGCTATTATACCTGGAGATTGCGGCTCCAATGGGGTTTAGAATGAGGAAGAAAAGCCTGGGTGCTTGTCCGGGTGCTACCTTTGTCCCTGGCAGCTTGTCACACGGAGCACAGGGAGCTGGTGTGCTGCTGATTTCAGACAGGGGGCGCCACGCCCAGAATGGCCGCCCACAGGAAGGGCACCCTACGGGGCTCAACACAGAGCGGGGACTCCACGTGGCTTCCTCAATGCTCCTGCAGTCCACGGTTCCTCATTTTGATGGAGGAGAGGATGAGGCCCAGAGAAACAGGACTTCAGCAGTTCAGATGCGAGGCGGCCAGAGGCCACATGGAAAGGAACAGGGAGGATGTGAGAGATTGTCCCCGGAGGGAGGCAGGAGGCATCGTCCTGCAAACGTCCTGCAGTCAGGGCCTGAGGCCGGACGCTGCCCAGGCAGAGGGGCCTCTGGGAGCAGCGGTTCAGCCCCTCACTGAACAGACAGGGCTGAGGCTCAGAGATGGTGTGAGGGAGACACTGCCCAGGGAAGAAGCGGAGGCCAGGCCGGTGGTGACCGTTCCTGAGGATGGGCTCTGCCCTCGTAGGGAGGCCACCGAGCACCTGTAATGACTACAGCCCTACATCGGCCCCTGCAGGGTCCCAGCCCTGGCCTGCCCCGGGCTCAGCTCCCTGTGCCTTGGGTCTGGGCTGCCCCATCGCAGCTCCTGCTTGCCAGGGTCTGTTACAGTAGAAGCTTCTTACACTCAGAAGAGAGTGCAGCCATGGTGAAGGCCTGAAGGGTGCAGGCTATCACCCTTCCTTGCTGCTTGGAAGAGCAGGGGCTTCCTCTGCCTCCCCATACCCTCTAGAGAAAGCACTGCTCATGTCGCCAGCAGGAGTGGACCTCACTCCTGGGACACATGGGCTGGCCCAGCGGGGGTGGACCTCACTCCTGGGACACATGGGCTGGCCCAGCGGGGGTGGACCTCACTCCTGGGACACATGGGCTGGCCCAGCGGGAGTGGACCTCACTCCTGGGACACATGGGCTGGCCCAGGAGACCCCTCTATCTGCCACCCTGCCGACACCACCCAGCACAGTAGAGCAATGGGGGCCTCCAGCAGAGGAAGGACGCAGCTTGCCCGAGATGCATCTCTTACTACAGAGGGGTGTTCTCCCTCTCGCCCTCCCTCGCTCCCTCCTGTTTCCTCTCCTCTGCCTTCTTGCTCTCCCTTCTCTTCCTCCCCATGACAGAAGAACATGTCCACACCCAGGTCTCTGTCCACACCCGGGTCTCTCTGTCCACACCCGGGTCTCTCTGTCCACACCTGGGTCTCTCTGCAGTGCTCTGTCCACACCCGGGTCTCTCCGTCCACACCCAGGTCTCTCTGCCGTGCTCCTTCCTGGATTTTGCTGGGAGTTCTTCACTCCCTCCTATGATACCTGATCCTGTGTACATGCTCAGTGCCCTCGTCCTGTGTGTGGTCAGCACCCTCACCCTGTGTGTGGTCAGTTTCCTCGTCCCTGTTTGTGGTCAGTGCCCTCATCCCTCTGGTCAGCACCCTCGTCCCATGTGTGGTCAGTACCTGGCACTGTTTTCTCCCTGGATTCCAGGTCGTTGGTCTCACTTGGCCTTGAGCATTGCTGTCTGGATGGGTCTCTCCTGAGCACCCTGCCCTCGGGCTCCAGTTTCCCGCTTCTCCAAAGTCCTGACTTCCCCATCGTGAGCACCGGTTCTGGGTGCTGCCCACAGGAGTAGGTGCTGTCTGGGTGGGCAGTGCCCATTGATGTGGGGACTGAGTGCAGGTCTTGTGGAAAGATCAGCAGGGGACACCCTTGCCTGCTGTCTCCTCCCAGCTGGGCCCCTGGGGTTGGGGAAACGGAGACACCATCCCCCCAGAAGTCTGTTTGGCTCCAGAATATGAGGCCATGCCACGCAGGGCATCTTTAGAACACCAGCTACTGTAGTGCACAGGGATCACAATGCCTGCCTCCCGCTCTCTGCTGGGGAGGGAGTCCGATTCTATCCAAAACAAAGCATGCCATTGAACAGCTGGGAAAAAAGGGAACAGGAATTATCCAACACCATCTAGCAAAATGAGTTCCGAGTGACCCCTGCTTGCCCGTGCTGTGGTCAGAACACTCGCAACCAGCGTCTGTGTGGTTGGAGGTTTGCTGCAGACCTCCACCCCCAGCATGTAGCTCTCCTGGGATACAGTGAGGGGAACCACACACTTTGAAACCTGCAGACTTTATCCGTGACAAGTGTGACATGGACGACCAGAAAGTGACCAAGCTGCTCCTGGCTCCAGTTCCTCCCAGCAGGTTACCTGCTGTGCTGAAGGAAGCAGTGCCCATGTTGAGAAAAACACAGACCAGTGAACTCTGGAAACACCTCTTTCCAGTAAATTCCACCAAGTCTTCAGCCTCACCTCCTGCCTTCTGGGTCAGGATGGCAGTTCTCGACCAGACCTCATGCCAGCTGGCCTCAGACCCACCAGGAGGAGAAGCCCAGGCTTGGCTGCCAGCTCTCTGCCAACCTCCAGTCACTCACTTCCTCTTAAACTCTGAGATACCCTCGAGTGCAACTGAGCACATGGCTCTGCCCAGATAGAGGCAAGCTTTTCTGGACTTTCTTGCAGCGTGGTGTGGCTGTGTGATTAGGTCTGTCCCATGGGACCTAGGCACAAGGAATGGGCCCCATTTCTGGGAAATGTTCTTCAAAGTAACGGGCATGCACTCTCTTTGGCCCATTCTTCCTTCCAGCTAGCTGGGATGCAGATGTGATGGCAGGAGCTAGAGCAGCTATCCTGAGCTCAGAGTTTGAAGCCATTTAATGAGGTAGCAGAGTCACCCTGCCAGCCAAGCACTCCCTGCCTTTGGACTGATAAACGGAGGCTTTGTTACCCTGTGTTAAATGGTGCCCTACATCATAAGAGCAGTGACTGATCAGAGACAAGCTGGGAACTGCCCCAGGCTTCCACTCTGACCTTTTACAATAAGTATGATGTGGACAGCACCCAGAGGTGGAAATGCAAAACCACTTGTCCCACTGCTCTTCTTCCTCAGAGATCCCAAGAAATGGGACTGGCACCACCAACACTCCAGCCCCAAGGGCAGCCACATGCCTCTCTGGCACAGGTTCCTCTGGGTGGTGATGGGGGAACCCACCCTCTTCCGTTTGCAGCTCCCCCATCTCAGCCCTTAACTTCCAGCCCAGCTCGGGAATGGAAGAAGGAGGGAGTGAGGCACCGGGTCACAGTGATCTTGGGCCCCACACTGCTTCGCTCACCTTTCACTCAGGAAAATCAGCCATGTGCCCCTCCCTGGAAACTGGGGATGGTGGGGAAAACATGGATATTTGGGGAGCTTTGTAGGGCCTCATGATTCTACTGGGAGAAAGTGACCTACTCTACTTCAATATAAAACCATTAATGTGTCTCCTAAGATGCTGCTTGGTCTAGAAAACCAGAAAAGAAAACTGAAGGAGGACAGTTAATTTACACCAAAGTGAGAGACGATTTGCTGATAGGAAAACTAGGCAAGAAGACACAGCATTTAGATACAAGCAAGTTTCCACAGAGGCTCATAGACATCTCCATCAGAGAGGGGCTGATGATACCCACGCTGGGGGCCGTGGAAATAGGGTGACATCACAGAGGAGCGGAGCGGTGGGCAGGGTGGCACGCTTGGCTGTGGACATTTTTTAAAATCCCCAACTTTGAACAAAAAGTGAAAAAGTCTACGTTTGTTATTAGGTTAGTGGTTGTTCCTAGTACCCAGTGGGTAAATGTTGGACACACATGTAAAATGCTCATTGAGACCCCCACACGGTCAGCAGCCCCTTGTTCCTCCATCTGGTTCTGCCCTGGTAAAGAACTTGAATGTGAATGTGACTGGCCCACAGCCTGTACCCCTCTCCTGTCCGCCAGTGACCCACCATCCCATCAGGAGGCCAAGACACCCCCCACGTGAGAGACAACAGAGGCTGGGAATGCTGCCCCACCTCCATCTTCCCTCCCCTGCCTGCCTCCTCCACAGCTGCTGCCCCAGGCTGGAGCCCCAAGGCCTCCTCCTCCTCTTCTGCCTCCTTCTCATGCTCTGCCTGCCGTGGCCACCTCGCAGCCCCTGGCCTCGTGTGGAGCCCCTGCTTGTCCATCCTGCTGACTGCAGGTAAGGAGAGAGCCTGGGACGCCCTGCGACACTGGGCAAATCTCTCAGACCCCCGTCCACAAAAACAGCCCCCACCCGGCCTGCCAGCTCGACGAGGAAAATTCTGTAGAAAGGCAACTCCGACTCACTCCCTTCCTGAGCGTGTGGCTTGGCTCGGACAGTTCTAAGTCTCCACTGCTTAGCTCTGGGGCATGGGAACAGGCTGGGGCTGAGCTCACAGGGCCTGTGAAAGGGTGAGATGGGACGCGAGGTCTGCTAGAGAGAGAGCCCCGTGTGCGAGGCCCCAGGGGCTGCTGGAAGGAGCCACCACGAGCTTGGGGGCATAAAGCAAGTTGTGTTCATCCTCTCACAGTCTGGGGCCAGAAATCCAAACTCAAAGTGTCTTCGGGCCTGTGCCATCTCCTGAGGCTCTAGGCTCCTTCCAGCCTTTGTGCTGCCTCCTGAGGCTCTAGGCTCCTTCCAGCCTCTGGTGGCTCCCACATTCCTGCGGCCTCACGGCTCCAGTCCCAGGCTCCGTCCCCTCCATGTGTCTGAGTCCCGAATCTCCCTTTCCATTCCCTGAAGAGGAGACCTGGCATTGGACTTGGGGGCCCACCTGGGCCCATCAGGGTGACCTTCTCATCTTGAAATCATTAACTTAACCACATCTGCAAAAGCCCTTTTTCCAAATGAATCCAAACCCACAGGTTCAGGGGTTAGGACGTGGACAGATCTTCTGGGGCCAGCAGCCCCAGCTCACTGCAGTTAACAGGTGTCAGCGTTGACAAGCAGAGCTATCCCCAGCCTTCAGTTTGCAAGAAGTACACTCACCCCTTTCTCTCTCCTGCCAGCTCAAATTGCCCCTTGCCCGAGAGAAGCCTGCAAAGACCACGGTGCCTTCTCTCCTACTCCCAAGCCCCCAGTTGGCCATGCCTGCCAGGGAGCATTTCCAGCCCCGGGACTGAGGACCTTGTCCTGCCTCTAGGAGGTGTCTCTTCCAGGCCTCCACCTCTGTTCTACACCAGGAGCCCACTCCATGCATGGACCTGGCTTTGTGGCTCAGAAACGTGTGTGGTATGAAAATCCGGTGAAATCAAGTAAAATAGGAGGAAGGCAAGGTAAACCCAGCGCGGTGCCCTAGATGCCCGCAGAGCAAGCTGAACTGTTGCCCTGCCAGGCCTGGATGAGGGAGGAAACCTGCAGACGGGGGCACTGGAGGGGAGAGGGTTGACCGCGGCCGGTGAGTGCTCTCTGCTCTGAGAGTTTGATTGAATGAGATTTTTGGTTTGGCTTCACTGGTTATTGTAGTTTTTCCATTATTTTATTGTGCAAATTCCTAGTAGAGTCAGCAGAATCGGGAGGCAAACTGAGCAGCTACTGTGAAGTGTGAAAAATTACCCTCAACTAATACAATCACGCTATTTGCTTATGGGATTATGGCATGGAAATGAGGCCTCCAGGCTGGCAATTTGGCAGCAGACTCCGGTCACCTTTCCGGGCAGCAGCCCTGGCCCAGGAGTTGTGGTTCTCCTGACTTCAGTGGCAGGATGAGCTTTCCGGCTCCCGTGGGGCCGACGCCGATCTTTTCTACGGCATTGACAACACCATTAATTGTATCACGGACAACACACCCCAGGGAGCTAGGCAGGGCACCTCCAGGGAGAAAATACACTCATCTCACATTCACCCAGCAAATAGTGACCCACCTCTCTCAAACACAAACACAGACCTTAAATCCAAGCAGCCTGGGAATAAGAAGTGAAACCTTTTGAGTGCTGTGTCACCCCACAGACTCTGGGATTCAGGAGGCAGAGACCAAGCCTTGCTGCCTTTGTTTCCACAGCTGCAATCAGGACGGCATCCCTGATCCAGTAAGGGCTTCTGCCCTGACTCCACAAGATAATCACCTGAGGGATTCAAGAAACTCTAACGTCGAGGCCACATGCCAAACCAGTGAAATCCAAATGTCACGTAGGGGCCTGGGTTCCAGCATTCTTCCAATGACTTCCAAGTGGCTTCATGAACAGCCACTGCTGAGAACCACCATCCTAACTAGAGGTCTGGCAAGGTCATACCAGAGACACTGAAGACTCACATCTTCATTAGAATTCATGCCTGAAAGATGGAAGCAAAGGCCCTGCACACGGAGTGAGTTTATCTGTTGAACACGGAGGATACCCAGAGAGTCAAGCATCTCCTCAGCTCAGGAAGTGTTTAAAAAGTAAGTGGTGAGTTGGCAGAAGGGATAATGAAATTTTAGATAAATGTTTGGATGGATGGATGGATAGATGGATGGATGGATAGATGGGTGGAGAAATGGGTAGATCAATGGATCATGAATGGAGGAATGGGTGGGTGAGTGGATGGATGGAGGGATGGATGGTGGATGAATGGATGAGTGAATAGATATGTGGTGTGTGGATGGATGGATGGGGGATGGATGGATAATGGATGGATGGTGGATGAGTGGGTGGATGGATAGATTGGTTGGTGAGTAGGTGGATGGTTAGATGGTGGATAGATGATGGATAGATGAGTACGTATGTGGGTGGATGAATGGATGGTGGATGAATGGATGGATGGGGATGGATGGATGAATGATGGATGGATGGATAATGGATGGTGGATAAGTGGATGGATGGGTGGATGGATTGGTTGGTGAGTAGGTGGGTGGTTAGATTATGGATAGATGACGGATAGATGTGTACATATGTGAGTAGATTAATGGATGGTGGATACATGGATAGATGGGTGGGGATGGATGGATTAATAATGGATGAATGGGTGGGTGGATGGATGGGTGGTAGATGAGTGGATGGATGGATGGATGAGTGAATAGATAGATGGTGTGTGGATGAATGGATGGATGGTGGATGGGTGGGTGGATGTTGGATTAGTGGATGGATTGGTTGGTGAATAGGTGGGTGGTAAGATGATGGATAGATGAGTACATATGTGGGCGGGTGGATGCCTGGATGGTGGTTGAATGGATAGATGGGTGGGGATGGATGGATGAATGGGTGGGTGGATGGATGGATGGTGGATGAGTGGGTGGATTTGTTGGTGAATAGGTGGGTGGTTAGAAGGTGGATAGATGATGGATAGATGAGTACATATGTGGGTGGATGCATGGATGGTGGATGAATGGATGGATAGATGGGGATGGATGGATGAATAATGGGGAATGGAAAACACATGACAGACAGATTTTGTGCTGAAGACTGCGTAGAATTGTGAGACAGCCTCCCTGACCTGTTGGAACTTAGAAAGAAGATGGTTTACTGAGGCAGAGTGTGACTCAGCCCCATAAGCTGGATTGCGGAGGGATGAGGAGATACAGTGATTGACACTTACTAAGCACTTCCTGTAGACATGGCCGGGAGCATCCCGCAGGAATCTCCACATTCTCCCCCTCAACGGCTCTCACAAATTAGGTTGCCAGGAGGTGGCAGGGCTGGACCCAAACCCCACTGTCTCTGGCTGCAGGACAAGTGATCCTCATCAAACAGACAGCAAGGGCTCTGTGCCAGGCAGGTGCCAGCGACGCAGGGGGCCTGCTTGTGAAACAAACAGGTGGGCAGATAGATAGGTGGGCAGGTTGGCAGGTGGGCTGAGCTCCCCAACCCCCGACCAGCTGTTCTTCCAGGGCTTCACGGTGATCGAGACAGATCCCTTGATGTTGGAAGGCCACAGCCTGGTGTGGAGGAGGTCACCCGAATGGGACCTAGCCTGCTACAGGATGCACGCCTCTGGACCTCGGTGTCCCCAGCACCTGGGAAGTGGCCACTAGCTGAACAGGTGTCCTGCCCGGGACGCTCTTCCCCAGTGCCCGCCTGCGGGACTCCAGCTCCTTGTTCCGGCTCCTGCTGCACTAGCTCCTGGCGACTGAGGCTTCTCCCGACCCCCTGTAAGTAGAGCTCGCCTCGCCCCTGCCCTCCCTGCCCCCTGAATCTTCATGTCCCTGCCCCGCATTTCCTCACTTGCTGCGTCATATGTGTGCTTCATACGTTTAATATTTGTTTCTCATCTGTCTTCCCCTGACCTCAATTTGAAGTCAGGCTCCAGGAGAGCAAGGGCTGGATTTTCTGAGCATCATAACTTCCTTCGTGCCCAGAACAGCCGCATAATAGATGCTCCATAAACACTTGTTAACCACATTATTGTGTGAATAAATATCAGGTCCTTTTGCTCACTGGGGAATGCTGGTCAATAAAAAAGGAGTTCAGGAATTGTAGGGGCAGGGAGGGGGCTTCATACTAGGGGGCAGGCAGATTGAGGAGTTCCAGGGCAGCTTAGCCTCCACTCTGACCCTCAGTCTCCTGCTCTGCTCGGCCCAGGTGCCACTAACTCCTCTGCTGTGGCGCTGCCTCGAGGATTCACGAGATGAGGCCCGTCAGGTGCTCAGCCCAATGCTGGCCCCGACCGTGCTCCATGCACCTCAGCTGCCGCTGGGTCTGCTGCTTTTATCTGCACCTGCCCCTCCTTCTGTACAATGTATGGGCCTCTATTCATCTCTCCTACTTCCCCATCTCCAGGGCAGCAGGTATGTGTGGCCCGCATGTGTGTGTGATTTGCAGGAAGGAATAGGCTATTTGGAGATGGTGCTGGCTCAGAAGACCAGGAGGGAGGGGTGAGGGGCAGGAACAGAGGTGACACGGCAGATGCGGACACAAGGCTGACTTGGGCTCAGGGCCCAGTTCCAAGGTGCCACCAAGTCAGGTGGGTGGAGCCCCAGGTGGGTGGAGCTCCAGGGAGCAGCAGGTCCTGGGCTGCCAACCCCCAGAATCTGATGTAGGCACCATGCTCCACAGCCTGAACTTCCCTTTACCAGGGACATGCTCACAAGACCCTAGGCCTGCCCAGGACCCAAGGTCAGCCTTCCCTTCTCACCCCCACCTGCTGTCCTGGCAGAGAGAGGCCCCCACCACAGGGCGGCCATAGTGGACAGAGCTTCCTCCTGGGCTGGGACCCAGGGGCTGGGACTCCCGGCCTTGTCCCCCTGGGCAGGACCTGGCCACCTCCCTGTTGCCCCAGGGTCAGGCCCAGCCGTGGTGTCGGGCACCCACTAGGTGCTCAGTCAGTGCTCCTGGGGGCAACTAAAGGAGAGGGCGGGACGAGGGGAGGAGGGAGGCAGGCACGGGGCGTTGGAGAGTGCCGGACGAGGGGAGGAGGGAGGCAGGCGCGGGGCATTGGAGAGTGTGGGAGGACGGGAGGAGGGAGGCAGGCACCGGGAATTGTCTGTTGGGAGACGTTTGGGGAGAGAATCCCGTCCCCTCAGGGCCCACTCCCCCCAGAAACCTGGAGAGGTATTGATTGCTCTAGTGGGGGGCGGGGAAGAGGCAGGTGATTGCAGAGATTTGAGGGTATTTTTTTCACGTTTCCCCAGACTCCAGTGAGGACAGGTCTGCAGGGAGCTGCATCCAAAGGCGAGTTTCCCGCACGCGCTGGACAAACCCTTCTCGGGGCTCCTGTTAGGTCTCCCTCTCGGTGGCTCGGGGTCTTGCAGTTTCTCACCTTGGGAGGGAGGTGCTTTGTCGGCCAAGGCTCCAGGGAACTGTGGTGCCTCAGAGGAAAGCCCAGACCCACTGGCGCAGGGGACCGGGGCCCTGGCTCCAGGTCCCAACTCACAGGGGAGGAGGAGCTGGGTCATCACCACTGCTTCGCCTGTGGGGAGACTGGGCCAGGCCAGGCCGGGGTGGATCGGCTCAACCCCATTCTTCCCACAGGCGCCATCGCCGGGGCCCCTCACTGGTGCTGGTTTTATATCAAAGCCCTTGGAAGTAAAGTAATTGTCACTAAAGGACAGTGAGTTTTTATTTATGCATTTTTAAAATTTTCCTATGTGCTTGTTTACTTTGGCTAGACACCTTCAGAATTTAGCATTCCTAAAAACGTGTATTTTCAAAAGCCATTTGCAGAAAGCCCTGGGTCTCCTATCCCTTGGCTTCCCCCACCCCAGGAATTCAGAACACCCCAATCCCATCCCGGCGTTGCCCACACACGTCCTCTAACCTCCACGCGGGCACCTACCTCCACTACACCCTCCCGCATGCATTCCCATCCCTGTGACGGAAGCAGAGACTGGGGGCCCAGCTTGGGTCCTGGTCAGACACTGGCCTGCGTGCAGCCCTCACTTTGCCCTGCCTGACACACGTGCCGTCCAGGGACAATGGACCCATCACTCAGCGTGTTACCAGTGGAGGGTTTCAACTAGGAGTCATCCAGGTTCTTGGCATTTTGAACAAAGAATTGGACAAAATGCACAGGCAAAGCAATAAGGAACAAAGTAACAAAAGCATAGATTGATTGAAATGAAAGCATACTCCACAGAGTGGGAGCAGGCTTGAGTAAGCGGCTCTAGAGCTCTGGTTACAGAATTTTCTAGAGTTTAAATACCCTCTAGAGGTTTATCATTGGTTACTTGGTTACACCCTATGTAAATGAGAACTTGGCCTGCAACTAGTCTGATTGGTTGTGGGAGGCAGCCAGTCAGAGGTGCTTTCCATTTTTCATCTGCCATGCCGTGGAAAGGGGGGGCATTGTAAAGGGGTAGCCTCTGACCCGTTTGTTACTTGGGCATGGAGAGGTGGGGGTTTTCTTTTGATTCAGTTCTAGGAAGTCAGCGTGAATCGGCCTTAGGTTCCCTGCCTCCAGACCCTATTCTCCTGCCTCAGTGGGCTCCCCAAGCCCATGCCAACCATTGCCTCACTGAACCTGCATTGCGGTCTGGCCAGCTGACTAAGTGTGTTGTCACGTGCAAACAAGGCACTGAGGCAAAGCTGGTCCATGATTTGTCCACTGCCCAGTGACGGAGCTGGGCTTAGACCAGCACTGGCCCAGGGGCTGAGCTGTGAGCACAGACACCCTGCTAGGAGCTCAGTGTACTCACGTTCCTGGGAGCTAATGTCGCCCGGTGATGTGGGTGAAATGGGATAAGAATGGCCACTTCCTCTCCTTCCTGGGTCCCCTACTCCCTCTCCTTCCCAGGCCCTGGGACTTGCTCTTGAAGCATCCCTGAAGAAGCAGGTGAGTCTCACCCAATCCCTGGGCTCCAAGATGCTGGGAATCCATGAAGGCATGGAAGGATGAACACGGGTCCAAGCAGAGAGAGGCTCCATGGTGGACACTGGCCAAGTTGGGAGGCCTGGAGCCGGGCAAGCGTTGGGCTCCTGTCTCCCACCGCCAGCCGAGCGCCAGCAGCACAGAAGACCACCCGTTAAATTTTCAAGCTGAGCTGTTTAACGAAGCCCTCGGCTATTTGTATATAAATTTCCATGTGGAAAACGCCAGTGTGGGCTTAGCTCCGAGAATGGTTTCTACAGCATCCCTAATGACTCCATAAATCTCCAAAGCGTGCACCTTTAATCTGACATAATTAAAGACCGAGTTCTTTCCAAATGAAACGTTTGAACCAAGGAAGGCAGCTCTAAGTGTCCCAGGTCTGATGCTGGGCAGTGGGTCACGGCAGCATCTCCTCCTGCCTGACTATCCTCAGGGACAGGCTTGGCCGGGACGGGAGTGGGGACGGCAGGCTCAGGGCCCCTTCTCCTCGGGCATGTCCCTCAGACCCCCGCCTGCTCAGAAGGGATGGATGGATGAGGGGCAGGGCTGCCCCCGGTGGGCTGGGAGTGGGCCGGGCGTTCAGGCTGGGCAGAGTCACGGATGTTGTGTGCTCTCCCAGCTGTGTGAGGGAAGATAAACAGTGGGGGTATTTCCAGTCCTGCTGCCTCCCGCTAAGGAGGAGACCCCGGGTGCAGGGCAGAGCTGAGGCCTACCAGGTCAGCCCCAGGAGGGGCTGAGGACATGGCTGGCTCGGCTTCCCTGGGACATGACGGGGCCACCATCCTGCCTCCCCCAGGCTGGGTCTGCAGTGCACGGTGTTAGTATAGGGTGTGATGTGTGTCATGTGTCCTGCATGTGGTGATGTGTACCTGTGTGTGATGTGTGTGCTGTGTATCCTGTGTTTGTGGGTATGGGGTATGTGTGGTGTCTGTGCAGTGGTGTGTGGTTTGGGGTTTGTGTACGTGTGTGATATGTGTGGGGTGTCTGCTGTGTGTGATGTGTATATGTGTAGGTTGTGTGTGTGTGGTGTGTGTGTGCATGTGTGTGTGGTGTTTGTGTGGTGTGTGTGGTGTATATGTGTTTGTACATGGGTTGTGTGGTGCGTGTCGTGTGTGTGTGGTAGAGTGGTTTAGGGTATGCGCACATGTGTATGTGTTGTGTGTATGTGTGTTGTGTGTCCACGTGTGGTGTGTGTGTGGTGTATTGCGTGGTTTACCGTGTGTGCATGTGGTGTGTGTTTGTGCATGGGTTGTGTGGTGTGTGTCCTACGTGTGTGGTGGGTGGAGTGTGTCTGCACGTGGGTTGTGTGGTGCATATCCTGCGTGTGTGGTGTGTGTTTCCGTGTGGTGTGTAGTGTGTGTGGTGTGTGTCCTGTGTGTGTGGTGTGTACGTTTTCACATTGGTTGTGTGTTGTGTACGTGGTGGTGTGTGATCTGGGTATGTGTGCATGTGTTTGGTGTGTGTCCTGTGTGTGTGGTGTGTGGTGCATGTGGGTTGTGTGTGGATGTGTGGTGTGTCCTGCATGTGTGGTGTGTGTGTGTGGTGTGTGTCCTGTGCATGTGGTGTGTGTATTTGTATGTGGTGTGTAGTGTGTGCGGTGTGTGTCCTGCATGTGTGGTGTGTGGTGTGTGTGTGTGTAGTGTGTGGTGTGTGTCCTCGTGTGTGGTGTGTGTATTTGTGTGTGGTGTGTAGCTTGTGTGGTGTGTGTCCTTCATATGTGGTGTGTGTGGTGGTTGTGCTTGCACATGGGTTGTGTGTTGTGTATGTGGTGGTGTGTGATGTGGATATGTGTGCATGTGTGTGGTGCCTATGGGTCGTGCCCAGGTTGTGTGGTGTGTGTGTCTGCATGTGGGTTGTGTGGTGCGTGAGGCAGGAGGAGGAGCTGGGCCTGGGCAGCGGCACATGAGACACGCAGCCTGGTCGGAAGGGCACACGGAGCCACAGGCGGCCCCAGGAGGCCACACTCACCCTAAAAAGAGGCGAGGCCCAGGATGAGCGGACGAGCAGGAGTGGGGCTCTGGGCGTTTCCCAGCAGATCCCGGCGGGGGTGGTCTGGGAGTCGGAGGAACGCCACCACCCACAGCCACCAGGACATGATGGATTCAGGACGAATTCCCTGGCCGGAGCTCTGGTCTAAAAAAGGAGGGCGCAGGCCGGGCCCGGTGGCTCAAGCCTGTAATCCCAGCACTTTGGGAGGCCAAGGCGGGCGGATCACGAGGTCAGGAGATCGAGACCATCCTGGCTAACACGGTGAAACCCCGTCTCTACTAAAAAAAAATAGAAAAAAATTAGCCGGGCATGGTGGGGGGCGCCTGTAGTCCCAGCTACTCGGGAGGCTGAGGCAGGAGAATGGCGTGAACCCGGGAGGTGGAGCTTGCAGTGAGCTGAGATCGCGTCTCAAAAAAAAAGATGAGTATGCAGCCCAAAAGACGGCCCCAAAGGTGATTTACTGATTGTGAGGGAGAAGGTGGAGAATCCACGGTGGAGAAGCCCTCGTGGTCAGCACCCTCACCGCGCCATGGCAGCCACAGCACCAACAGCAGGGCAGTCCTCAAATTGTCCATCAGGAGGACTCTGCTTCACTTCATGGGTTTTCCCGCCAAAAAGAGGAGCACGAGGAAACATTCCAGAAAGACAAGTGAAAGCACATTCTACAGAACAGTCAGGCTGTGATCCTCAAGATTATCAATGTTGTGAAAGAAGGATGAGAAATTATCCCAGAATAAGGGAGATGAACACGTGACAACTAAATGCAATGCATGATCCTGCTGGAATCCTGAGCCATTGACTAAGAACAATCATAGTTGCTAACAAGGACATTATTTGAAGAGGGAGTGAAATGTGGGTATGGACTCCACACGGCACTGTAGGGTTGTGTCAGTGAGAGATTTTAGTAAGAGACTCGAGGTATGTGAATGCTCTTAGAAGATACGGATGATGCGTTTGAGGCAGGAAGTCACGATTCTGAAAGTTACCTTCCAATGGCGCATCAACAACAACCACTGCCGTTACAACAGAGATAAAACGGGCAGGATGACATTGCAGCCATGGCGGATCCGGCACAGGGCATGGGGTTATGCATTGCACTGTTGTAACTTCTCACTTTCTGAAATGTTTTCAATGTGAAAAAATACAAATAGAGTGATGAAAATGATACACCAGCAAAAATATATATATGTGCATATACACACACACATATATGCATATATATGTATATATGTGTATATATGTACGTATGTATACACACATATACGTACGTATGTATACACATATATGCACGTATGTATATATACACATACGTATGTATATATGTATATGTATGTGTATATGTGTGTGTGTATATATGTGTGTGTGTGTGTATGTGTGTGTATATATATATATATATATATATATATATATATATATATATATATGAGAGCCAAGATGAACCATTATGTGAGACACACTGGAGTTCAAGGGCAAAACTGGAAGGATACAGAAGCCAGTTATGTATTGGTCAAGGGAGCAGGTGATGGAGGAGACGTAATGACCACGAGCACGTAGGAGCAGAACAACACAGCCTCAAAATACATCAACAGCCAGCGAGCCACCTGCAGAGTAGGAATACGCGAGCAACACTGCAGAAGATTTTAACACTTCGCTACAAGTAATTGACAGAACAAGTAGGAAAAAATCAGCAAATTTAGATAACCTAATTAAAGAGCTCACAGTAGAAGATAGATTATCTTACACCAACAATCAGAAAATGCACGTTCTGTGTAAACATACTGCGAACAACATGTGCTCAGAAATTAACCATGAGCAAAATTACAGAAGTATTCTCCCAATTCCAAAGAATCAACATCATACTGATTATCTTCCAGGCCAATGTATAATAAAATTAGGAGCTATTCACTGAGGAGTATTGTTAAAAAAAATCTCATAGGAACCTAAATAACAGACAACTCAATATGCCTTGGGAAAAATCATAAAACTTATGAATACCTTAGAGTAGAATGAAAATGAAAATATATTCATTGGTGAGACATAGTAAAGCACTATGAGGAATTTATGAGTTCAAAATATATTTACGAGAAAAAAACAAGGTCTTGTAAATCTTCTAAGCAGTAAAATTCAGGATAATTAATGACAAAAAAGAGATGACTGTCTGAAAATGCTTGCAAAATAGTAAACTTAGTCAAGACAAGAAAGAGAGACAATGGCAATGAAATTCTTAAGACTGAAAGTGATCAAAGAAGACACAGATGAGACAAAAGGATGTTTCCTCAGACAGTTCAGTATTAATGAATTGGAAAATCTAGATAAAATACTTAAACTGAAAATGACAAGCTTAAAACAAGGAAAAGTTTGAAAATGTTACCTCCTTGTATCTCTCAGAAGGGCTTTAATTAGATAATTTCTGTCAAAATCCTGGCAAAAATTTCTGTAGATACAGACAAGGGGATCATAAAATGTATATGGAAAGTCTAAGGGGCTAAAACAATTAAAACAATTTCGAGAAAGAAAACAAAGCTGGAGAACTTACACCTCCTGATTTTAAGAATGCCTGTAGTCCCAGCTGCTCAGGAGGCTGAGGCAGGAGAATCACTGGAACCCAGGAGGCGGAGGTTACA
Organism: Homo sapiens; assembly: GCF_000001405.40. NCBI lineage: Eukaryota > Metazoa > Chordata > Mammalia > Primates > Hominidae > Homo > Homo sapiens. The sequence goes on along the minus strand of NC_000022.11, from coordinate 48,878,891 downwards.
GTGAGCCGAGATCACGCCACTGCACTCCAGCCTGGGTGACAGAGCGAGACTCTGTCTCAAAAAACTGACTGTAAAGCTATAGTAGTCAAGATAGTGTGACATGGGTAAAGGGATAAACACCTAAGTCAATAAAAGAGAACAAAGAGTTCAAAATAAGGCACACAAATATGGCCAAATGATTTTTGACATGTTACAAAGGCAATTCAATGGAAAAAAGATAGTATTTTCATTAAATTGAACATCCATATGCTAAAAGAAAAATGCAACTCAACCTAAACCTCACAGCTTATATAAAAATTACCTTAAAATGACTCATAGCTGTAATGTAAGGCAGTAAATATTATTTATTTATTTATTTATTTATTTATTTATTTATTTATTTATTTATTTGAGATGGAGTCTCACTCTGTGTCCAGGCTGGAGTGCAGTGGCACGATCTCGGTTCACTGCAACCTCTGCCTCCCGGGTTCAAGTGATTCTCCTGCCTCAGCCTCCCGAGTAGCTGAGATTACAGACATGCACCACCATGGCCTGCTTTTGTACTTTTAGTAGAGACGGGGTTTCACCATGTTGGCCAGGCTGGTCTCGAACTCCTGACCTTAAGTGATCCTCCCACCTCGTCCTCCCAAAGTGCTGGGATTACAGGCGTGAGCCACCGCACCCAGCCAGGCTGTAGTATTTTAGAAGAAATATAGGAAGAATATGTATGGCCCTTGATTAGGGAAAGAATACTGACAAAACCATAAGCACATTCCGTTTAAACAAAGATAAATTAAGGCTTTAAGTTTGCTTTACACTGAGAAAGAACCTGATAATGTTATTGAATGCTAGAAAATATTTACAAATCACATACCTGATGAAATACGCACATATGTAAAACTCTCATGATTCATCAGTAAAAAAAAAACAAACTCATTTTAAAAATGGGAAGATAATTGGAGCAGACACTTCACCAAATAAATTACCAAAGAAGTGGATGAAAGGGTGCTCAACATCATTAGGCATTAAGGAAATAGGAATCAAAACCACAAGGAGAGATCACTGCACACCTGCTAGAATGGAGAATATATACATATACAGGCAACAGTGTGTACTAGTGAGAAAGGTGAGCAGCTGAACATCTCTTGTGTCATGGCTAGCAGACATAAGAAGTATACAGACACTCTAAAATTGGCTGTTTTTAATGAAGTTAAACACACTTACCAGATGACAGGAATTTTATTTGTAGGTGTTTACCCCAAAGAAATGAAAACTTGTGTTTACACCCAAAACTGCATATGGATGTTTGTAGCAGCTCTATCTATTCTGTTCATTAACTGGAAACGTCGCACCTGTCCTACAACGGTAGCATGCATAGAATAATAGGTATCCATACGGTGGGATTCATTTAGTCATAAAGGGAAATAAGCTATTGATGTGCACCAGTTGGATGCATCTCTAAGGCATTATGCTAAGGGAAAAATAAGCCTCTCGAAAGCTGACATTCTTGAGAATCAAACTTATATTGGTGGAGAAAAGTTCAACGATTACTAGAGGTTAGGATGTGGTGGGGTTTCAATACAGAGGGCAGCATGGGGGAGCTCTGCGGCGGGTATAAGGACTCTCTACCTTCTGTGACAGTGGTTGTAGGATTCTGTGCGTGTGTTAAAACTCATTATATTCTACCAGAGAGGGAGAGGGAGAGAGGAAGGAGGAAGGGGAGGAGAGGAGAGACAGAGAAAGTGAAAAACACTCTAACCCAAATTAAAGACAGGTTGCAGATTTGGAAAATTGCACTGTTGTAAAATCTGAACCAGACAGGAAATTAATATGTATTAAGTTCCAGTACATTTAAAAGGACTAAAAGCATAGATAGCATGTTCTCTGACTAAAGTGGAATTAAATTATAAACCAAGTAGTAAAGCCCGTCTGGAAAATCCCTAAATATTTTGAATTTTTAAATTACTTTTCTAAATACCCCATGGGTCAAAGAGGATATCACATGAAAAATTATAAAACATTATAAACTGAATGAAAATTTAGTGGCCTTTAGTTAAGCAGTGCATAGAATGAAATTTGTAGTTTTATAGGTTCACATGAAAAATGAAAAGTGTTTTGAAATTAATGATCTAATATTACACAACAAGAAAAGAAAAATCAAGCAAATGAAACTTAAAATTAAAAGGTAGGGCATATTAAAGATAAGAATAGAAATCAATAAAATTGAAAAACCTCAAACAATGGAAAAGATCAATAGAACCAAAAGCTGGTTCTTTCAACATTGTCCCTTTGTGTTTGATTCTCTGCAGTCTGAACATGATATGCCTAGGTGTAGATTTTTTGGTGTTTATCCTGTTGGATGCTCTGAATTTCCTGGATCTGTGGTTTGGTGTCTATCATTAATTTTGGAAAATTATGAGCTATGATCCCTTCAAATATGTACTGTGTTCTTTTCTCTTTATATTGTCCTTTTCTTTTCCCATGATGAGTATGTTACCCCTTTTGTAATTGTCTCAGAGCTCTTGGATATTCTGGTTCTTTTCTTTTTTCATCGGTTTTGGAAGTTTCTATTGACGTCTCCAAGCCTACTGACTCTTTCTCAGCCTCGTCCAGTCTACAGATGAGCCCATTGAAGGCATTCTTCCTTTTTGTTACAGTGTTTTTTATTTCCAGCCTTTCCTCCGGACTCTTTCTTAGAATTTCCATTTCTCTGCTGACATTATTCATCTGTCCTTGCATGTTGTCCATTTTTTTCATTATAGCCCTTAATAAAGTAATTATAATTATTTTTTACTTCTGGTTTGATAATCCCAAAAATTCTGCCATATCTGAGTCTGGTATTCATGCTGGCTCTTTCTATTCAAATTATGTTTTTGTTTTGTGATATGCCTTGCAACATTTTTTTTTCTTTGAGATGGAGTGTCGCTCTGTCACCCAGGCTGCAGTGCAGTGGTGCTATCTTGGCTCACTGCAACCTCCACCTCTGGGGTTCAAGCAATTCTCCTGCTTCAGCCTCACAAGTACCTGGGATTACAAGCCTGAACCACCACGCGTGGCTAATTTTTTTGTATTTTTAGTAGAGACGGGGTTTCACCATGTTGGTCAGGCTGGTCTCGAACTCCTGGCCTCAGGTGATCCACCTGCCTGGGCCTCCCAAAGTGCTAGGATTACAGGCATGAGCCACTGCGCCCGGCTCTACATTTTTTGCTGAGAGGTAAACATATTGTAGTGGGTAAAAGAAATTGAGACAAAGAAGCCTTTCTTGTCAGTTTGAAGTTTCTCTGGCTGAGAATTAGCTATAGGTATTGGAGGTTCAAAGCTCCTCTGAGGCTCTTGCTTTGGTCTTCCCTACTGTCCCTGGGTCTCCCCTTCTTAAATAAGGTGCTGAGGTGTGGAAGGGGTATCCTCTGGTCCCTGATTAGTCTCAGTTTTTAGGGAGCCTGTGTCCCCTGGACTGTGACCTTCACAAGTGCTGCTCAGCTTTGTTTTGATTTCCTCTCCCTTAAACAAGACAGGAAAGCTAGAGGGGCTGGAGTTGGGTGTGTCTCCTCCCTGGGTCATTAGGCACTGATAAAACCCCAGGAGGTTAAGATCTGGTAACACTTTTTCTCTTGAGAGCAGCCCCTATTAAGAGCAGAGCTCCAGAGCTTTTCCCACCCCTGCTAGAAGCAGAGGGGAGTTTTCTCTGATATTCACTGTGAGGTCCGGGCAGTGTGGGACCTCCTAAGACTGGGGTCCCCTCCCGAGTGTTTGACATTCAGGCCTGTCCACACTGAGCCTCCGCGGTGCTTCTACCAGTCCTGAGTCTGGCTGCCAGCCTCTGCTCCTGGGCGTCTGTTCCTGGGAAGGTGTAATTCTCTAGACCCACATGCATTTCTCTGCAGCTGTGGAGGCAGTGTCTTACCTTGTGTCCTAAACTCTCTGATAAATCTGAGAAGGGTTGCTTTCAGTTTGTTCAGGAAAGACATGGTGCCTGCCTGTGGCCCCAGCTACTCGGGAGGCTGAGGCGAGAAGATGGCTTCAGCCCGGCAGTTCAAGGCTACAGTAAGCTATGGTCGCCACTGCTCTCTAGCCTGGGCGACACAGTGAGACCCTGCCTCTAAAAAAAAAAAAAAAAGGAGAAAGTGAGAGAAACGAGATAAGACATAAATACCAATATCGTGAATGAAGGAAGGGACTCATTACAGGCACAGTATAAATTCAAAGGATGAAAAGAAACATGAGTAAATTTATGCAATAAATTGGACAACATAGACAAAATGAAAATCATCCTTGAAAGGCACAAATTATCAATATTGAAGAAAGGAGTACCAAATCTGAATAGTCATTAAATGCATAATTTATAGTCTCTCCTCAAAGAAAACTCCAGACCTGGATGCATTCAGTGATGGATTCTGTCAAACACTAAGGAAGAAACAGCACCAGTCCCAAGTGAGCTCTTCCAGAAAACAGAAAAGAAAAACCTTCCATCTTATTCTATGTGTCCAGCATCACCACGATTATGATGAGGGGAAAATCACACAACGTTAACTTTTAAAAATATCATGAATATAGATGCCAATGTTTATAAATTATTAGCAAATTGAATCTAGATACATATGTATACAAAGACATAGACACATGCCTATACATATATATATATATATATATATATATATATATATATATATATATACATGTCTGTGTATATCTGTGTGTGCACGTGTGTATATTCATTCCCAGGAATGTCAGGTGGATTTAGAAAATTGATCAATGTAACACCCTATATTAACAGAATATAGAAGAAAGTCAATAAATTCGACACAGGCATCTGACAATATTCATTATTCACTGACAGAAACAAACCTGAAAATGCAGATTGAAGAAGGAATAACATTTTTATGTGAAGGTGACATGAGCAGAATATCCTACGGAATCTGAATGATCTCAGCAAGACCACAAAGGTAACTGTATTTCTAAATACTAACAATGAACCAATGGGAAATTTAATTATCAATATTTACAGTAGCATGAAAAAAGCATGAAATACTTAGGGATAATTTTTTGAAATAGTGTAAGATCTGTATACTTAGAATCATAAAATACTACTAAGAAAAATATGAAACGAAAGCCCTAAATAAATGGAATGATAGAGGAAATTCGTGAAGTAGAAGAAACAATATTTTTAGCACAACAATTCTGCCCGACAAGACTTATACAATCAATGCCATCCCAATACAAATCCCAGCAGGATTTTTTTTTCTAAATAGAAATATGTAAGTGATTCTAACATTTATAGGACAACGCAAAGGATCTAGAATAATGAGAATAATTTTGAAAAAGAACAAATTGGAGGTTGATGGTTGCATAGGTATAAAATAGTCAATACTCATTACACTGTACTGAAAAGAATTGCATTTATTGTATTGATATCATGTCTCAATACAATGATTTTAAAAGGAAAAGCACTCCCTTCACTATGTAGCTGTGATAATGGCCTGTTTGGGGAACAGCCCCTCTCTTTGTGCATGTGACATTTCCAAAGCTGAGACAGTCCCTGGGGAAGGGAAGGACCCAGTGATTCCTCTCTGGTTTTCATATGAGATTCTGCTGGCATTATTAGCATAAAATTCAATGTTCTGGATTAGGGAATGGGGAAATTAATGCGATTTGCATTTCACAGAAAAATTTCTGTGACATGTGGCAGCGATGATAATTCCCATGCAGTCCGTGGGAGCAAGGGCAGCCTCAGGCATGACAGAGTCTCAGGGACAGCACTTGCAGCTCCTCAGCCACCGGGCCGTGGTCCCCAAGAAGAGGCAGCTGCTGGGTTTGACGCTTGCTCATTCCGAAAGTTGCGCCACACTTAAAGGTTCGTTTTGGAGTCGGGGGGATTTCTGAATCCAAGCAGGTGGAGACATCTGGCCCATCAGACAGGATGGCCAGCAGCCGCCCCAGGGAAGGTGTCCCGGCCGTCAGCCCCTGCTGTAGCAGCCTCACTTTGCAGGACACCCAGAGGTTCCTGAGCATGAGTCTGGAAATCTCACGGAAAAGGCACACATTTGGAAGCAGGTCCTGCGCACTGATAGTGGGATGCCTGATTCAGCGGAGAGAGAAGAAGCCTTTGGCAACTGACCAACACGTGTGTCGATTCATTCATTTGCTTAAGTCTTGAAAACACATCATATGCCAGGCACTGTACAAGATGCTTGGAATGTAATAGAAGGAAGGAAGGAAGGAAGGAAGGAAGGAAGGAAGGAAGGAAGGAAGGAAGGAAGGAAGGAAGGAAATCCCTACCTTCATTGAGCTAATATTCTAGCAGAAGACAAGCAAGACAAACAAGAAATAAGTAAATTATCACGTGTATATTTGGGTAGGAAGCACATGCTAAACCCGCTGGGCTGGAGGCTGCTCTGTCTACTGCCCACCTGGTGTTTCCCTTCCCCCTTCCTCCCCGCTGGATGAACCTGGCTTTTGCCCTGCTCTGGATGTGAGCCCTTTGCGGGGAGGGTCTCTAGGGCTCCATCAGTGAAGGGGCTCAGGGAATGTTTACCCTGCGTTGCTGGAGGAGGAAGCGATGGGGGGGATGGGGATGGAGCATCAGGTTCCAGATCTCAGAGCACCCAGGACTGAGCTCTGGGTATCCCTGCCATGGAAGGCAGGAGGGAGGAAGTGATGGGGGTGGAGCATTAGGTTCCAGATCTCAGAGCACCTGGGACTGAGCTCCAGGTGTCCCTGTCATGGGGAGGCAGGAGGGACAGGGGCCTGACTTGTGCCCCATGGCCGTGGTGGCACACACTGTCTCAGATGCCTGGAGGCTCATGTTAATTTCCCCAGTGCCCTACAAGAACAGCCATGTTCCTCAGTGAGACGAACAAGGTGGACCTGGGCAAAGCCAGGGACGAGACCACAGAAGCCCCGCGGCTGCTTCTCGGAGCCAGGGGAGGGGCCGGACCAGCCTAGCCTCCTGGACTTTATCAGGTCCTGAGCTCTATAGAGGCTGAAGCTGTGGCTTTGGAGCCTTTGTTGTGTGTTATGTTTCTGCTGTGGGGACCTCCAGGGCTCTTCAGACCAGGAAGAGCCTGAGGCCCCCAGGGAGCAGGTGCATGTGCACATACAGGGGTGAGGAAGCCACGTAGGGCCAGAGAGGCAGAGGAGGGTGAACTCTGGCCTTCCCAGTAGCATCCAGGGAGGAAGCTGGGAGGGGCAGCAGGGTGGTGGGTGGGGGACAGGAGGACTCGGCCTCACAGGAGCCCAAGAGGGACAGGACTCGCAGTGGGGAGGCTGGCTGGGGGTGTGTAGAGACCCAGCGGGGAACCAGACCAGAGCTGCTTCCTGGGGTGTTGGGGTGGATGCCCAGATGGGGAGGCAGGGGGATGGCCACCTCTTAGAGTTTTGGTAAATGTGTGCCAAATAAGAAAATGAACAGCGGGGCGGGCATCAGTTCACCACCTCCATCACTCCTCAGACTCCAGTGTTCAACCTGGCCCTCCCTTCTGAGCACCTCGTGCTTCCCTGGAGCCCTGCTCCCAGCTGCAGAGCCAGAGGATGTGCTGCCAGGGAGAAGCTCGCACGCTGCTCAGAATAGGACACCCCCAGATGGATCTCAGGTCCCTAGAGAGACAGCTGGGGGCTGCAGACTGGCTCGGCCCCGGGAGGGCACCAGCTCGCCCCCTCACACTAAGAACCCAGGGTGAGACTGCATCTTTAAAAATAAAAGCCACATCTTGACAAAACAACACCAGTGCATGGACCCTTGAGAGCCGTTTAATCCACACCAGCAGGAAGCCCCCGGCACAGGGTGTGTGCTCCCGCTGCTGCTGGAGGAAGATCATGCAGACACACGGGCGATGTGGAGGTGCCACGGCCCCCTGATTCCGGGGGCACGCCATTATGATGGAAATTTTGGCTGAAATGATGGTAATAGGTGACCCCTCTACAATATTAGAGACAGTTAAACCATCTGTTTTTCCATCTCAAGTACACATTCGATTTTATATGCATACCTGCATGGAAAAATGACTTCCAACAAAAGAGCGTTTTCATTATGTCAACTGGCTTCTGGGCGCACATTTTGGACGGTCATTCAAAACACATTGGCAAATTTCCCCTGAAGGAAAATGTGCCGCTTGGTGGCTCCAGCTGCTCAGGCGAGGAGGAGCCGACCTTCAGGGCCTGCCTCAGGTGCCTCAGCCTAGAGTCCCAGCCCCTGGCACAGCCCTTGGCCCTGACGTTTCTCCCCCGGCCCCCACAGGGGGGCCCAGGGTGTGTTCGGTTCTCTTTTGCATCCTCAGCAACAGCCAGGTGTGCCTTCACAGCGCAGCCTTGATTTCCATGACAAGTTAAACCGTCTGCCCCTCCGTAGAGCTTCAGGCCCATGAGATGAGCAGGGCGTAGGGCAAAAGAGCATTTGACAGCATGAGAGTCTGGCAAACGCTGTGTTTTAGAGGGATCAAGAATGATGGCGAAATCAGGCAGGAGACGTAGTTCATGTTCCCTGGGAGCTTAGCAGAGGAGGACAGGCACCCACCCCAGGGGCACACAGACCACACCAAGGCTGCCTGGGGGAAGCAGGATGGAGCGCACTGCGGAATCTACCCGGGAGGATGATGGGAGAGCTGAGGGTGGGGACTGAGCAGATGCTTGTAAGGTGGAGAAAAAATAAAAGAGAGAAGTCTCCCTGGCAGGAGGCAGGGGGAGGACCAAAGCAAGATGGTGCAGTGCCTTTTCAAGGAGTAACAGGCAAGAAATAGTAAAAGAGGAGAATGAAAAGTTAGGAAAGAAAAAAAAAGAAGGAACAATGGCCTAACCAATGTGAAAGATCACTTCTCTCTCCTGCACAAATCGGGGGGTGGACAGGGCAGAGAGAAGGGGAATGGAATCCTCCAGGGCTCAGGCCCCTTCTCTTACTATGCTTGGATCCTTACTGAATTTGCCTCAGGGTCCAAGATGGCTGCGTGTGCACCAACCATCACGTGTGCTATCCTGGAAGAAGGGGCCCTCCCAGAATACCGCAATACTTCTGCTGACCTCGCCTTGGCCAGAACCTAGTGGTCTGGACTGATCTGACTGCAGAATAGGCCTGGAGATGGCCTCTTCTAGATGAGTGTGTGGCCATCCTGAGTAAGATCATGGCTCTCTAAAAAGGAAGGAAAAAATGATGCTGGAGCAGCTACTGTCAGGAGGCCAAATTATCATGGCCACCAAAGGCCCAGCTTAGAAGACAAGCCAGTTTCAAGTTTATTAGGAGCAGGCAGCACAGGCTTTTGAGCATGAAGGTAAAGTGGTCAGGTCTGACTGTCAGCCTGGAGCCCTGGGGGCCAGGGTGGAAGGTGGACACAGGGCAGTCAAGCCAGGTATTTGCGCACAGATATACTGAGTGCTATCGGGCCCAAATGCTGTGCCAGTCCAAATAATTAGACAAAAGAATGTCTTGGCAAAGCCCGTTCCCTTCCCCGCTCCCTCCTAACCTGGGAAATAATGTCCCAACCCACCGGTTTTCCAGGACAACCAGCTCCCCAACCGTATCCAAGCCACCTCCCAATTCTGACAGCTCCCTCCCCAGGGCCCCGCAGGTGTGACAGCCTCCCTTTGGCCCCACAGTCTCGTCTGGTCCTGATCACCTGGGCACTGCCATGGGCCCTTTGTGGGCCCGTGCATTGCATGCCTACAGGCCTGTACCCATCCCACAGCCAGGACGCCGGGCAGCTCCACGACCCAGAGTCCCTTTGTAACGTCAGCTGCACTGGAGGTAGATTGCCAGGTAAATTTCAGTACCTAAGTCCCATATGAATTTCAGGTCAACAACAAATAAATTTTGTTATAAGTTTAGCCCCAATATTGCCTAGGACATGCTTAGACTAAAAATAAGTGCCTTGTTTATCTATAATTCAAATGTAACTAATCCTCCTGTATTTTGACTTGCTGAACCCAGCAAACTGAATTTGAAGGGTGTTTCCTGAAACTATTTGAGTGCTCCTCAGCCACATTCGGTTTGGAACAAGGAGCCAAGGTCCAATTTCCAGGCAAAACCAAATGGTGCCCTTGCTCCCACCCAGGGACGGTGCCAGGAATATGCCAGCCATCCCTGGACCCGAGAGTCACCAGGCACGGGCCCTGCTTAGGGGTTGATCATCTCTGAAACCTTCCAGGAAGGACCACTTTGGAGATGTCATCTGACCTCCTTTCCTGGGAAGCTGCGGGCCTGAAGCCATCTTCCAGGATTTCTCTCTGTAGCTGTAGAGCTAACTAACACCAGGCCTCCGGGCCAGGAACTGGCAGAGGATTCTGAGGGCATTTTAGCCTCAGGCAAAGCCTCCCTGACCCCCCATCTGCAGGACTTGCAAATGGACACTGCTTCCAGCCCTCCTGATGAGGACACGATTATTCTTCTCCACTGGTGCCAAAGCAAAATAAAATTCCATTTGCTTTTCTGACACATTAAACAAGAACATTAGGAGTTCTGCAGGGGTGACCATATTTTAATATGCTTGGAAACCGTGGCAGGGGAGGTTCATTCCCTTGCCTGTTTGTACAGGAGAAACAGTGAAAGAAATCTGAGTCAACCAGGCTGCAGGGAGTAGAAGGCTGAGACTTTTTCTTTTTTTTTTTTTTAATACAAGGTGGTGCGTAAAAGTAATAAAGAGGTCACAGGGAAAATCTGTATCATGATGAATCCAGTTATTGCAAAAGAGCTGTTTCCTTCAATGTTCGAAAGCTGATAATACACGTGCACAGGCGTCTGCTTCTAATTTCAGGGAAGCTAAGCCCAGGAGCGACCGCTTTGGAGGCCATCTGCATGGAGCTGGCTGTCACCCCTGGTGCACGCGAGTGGTGGGGTCTGTACCCCGGAGGCCCTGCCCCACCAGGCAGGACGAAGGACAAAGCACTCCTTCCCTTCTCCAGCACACTCTGTCCTTTGCACCCCCTCAGGGTCGCACAGGTCATTCCTGCTTCCTGGAAAGACTCATCCCTTCAAACTGCTTTTTAAGCTCCTACTCAACCCTCAAGACCCATCTCACAGAGACCTTTAATTACCTAGGGTTGAGCTAGTCCTGCCTTCCCCTGCAGACGGCCCCATTATGTTCCAGGCAGCTTCATTCACAATTGTCTCCTCTTTGAATGTGGCTTCCCCAGGAGCAGGGACCAGTTTAATTTGAGTCCTGTCCCCCATGTGTACCGTACAGTAGGCAGAATGTGGTGCTGAAGTAATTAATGTCTCTAAATATTGAATCCTTCCCACAACCCCAGAGGAGATCCAATTCTGATGTCAGTGGAATAAAATGCAGTTCAAGTTCAACTTGAATTGATTCAGATGGTTTTCAGCACAGCCACCCACCGTTCCCAGGCCCCGGCCCCTTGGCTGGCCTCTTCCGCTCCAAACCGGTGGCTTCTTCCTCGGGGAAGGTGCTTCAGGCAGCAGGGGTGCCAGGACAGAGGCCTGGAAGATTCTGTACTACGCAGCATGGGGGCCACATTCTGTTGCTGGAAGGGAGTCACAGGCTTGTCCAGCTCAAGCGCAGGGTCAGTGAGAGTCTATCCTCACACTGTCAGAGCCAGCTGGGCAGCATGCCGGGGCAGCTGTCCTCCAGACGGGGACTCAGAAGCTTTGTGCTTTAACTTCATGACACCGGCATCCAAGCTCACAGCTCTGGGCCCCACAGTGGGCAGGGAATGGACCGCAGGGTTGAGCCTTTGATCACAGTGCTCGTGCTTCCCCCTGTGCCGTTGCAGGCCTCAGTTTCCCCAGCTCTTTTGCCTGCACACCTGGGTCCCACATCCCCAGCCTGAGACAGGATCTCCTTGTCACCGTGGCTCTGCCACGTCTGGAGGTTTCCTGACCGCGCTCAGGCACCTCTCTTGGAACCTGTTTCCGCATCAGCAAGGACAGGCGAGGCCAGGGAGGAGGAAGAAGCTAACTCTCGTTAAAAGAAAAACTTTACACAAATTAAATCTAACAGAGTTTAACTGAGCAAAGAATGGTTCGGGAATCAGTCAGCCTCCCGAACCAGAAGAGATTCAGGGAGATTCCGGCACTGCCGTGGGACCAAAGAAGATTTATGAACAGAAAAAGTAGGGTGACTTACGGAAGACAGAGCGCAGTCCAGAAGCAGCCACTTGGCTCCAGCTTAGGGTCTGTCTTACTTGATCAGGGAAAACTCGATGACTGGCACAAGAGTAGGTTACAGACTATTTACACGTCCAGTTTGGTACAGTTCACTGTGTACAGAAAGACTTTTTTTTTTTTTTTCAGAAAGAGTCTCGCTCTGTCACCCAGGCTGGAGTGCAGTGGCGTGATCTTGGCTCACTGCAAGCTCCGCCTCCTGGGTTCATGCCATTTAGGCTGAACTTATGTGAGGAGGCAGCTTTAGGCTAAGCTTATCACTCTGAATTCTCAGTGGCATGTCGGAGTTTGCAAGAAAGGTGGATTTCCCATTCATGCCAACTCCTCCAGCATGGCTACAGATCGCGGCTCATCAACAACTCACACGTTCCTCCCAGGTGTTAGGGCAGGACTCAGAACTGGAGGTCCGTGCACTGGCTCGTCTATGCTCCAGCCTAGAAATGTCCCCGAGGCATGGCCAGAGTCCTCCAGGCTGGGGAGCAGCGGAGGCCAGGCCATGCCAGATCTGTCGTCTGGGTTTAGCTTCGTTGCAGTGAGTGTTTACAGCTGAGTGGTGCTCTGGTGACCGTTGCTCTACAATGATCCCTCTGGCAGCTCCACGGAAAACAGCAATAGTTGTCCAATTCAGGAGTGAGTTTCCACATCCATCCCTGCTAAGGGAGTGCACAGTGATGGTGACTGAGAAGCTCCTCAGAGCACCAGTTCTGAAGTCACACACGTTGGGTTTGGGACTGGGATCCAACAACTCCTTGTTGTGGGACAGTGTGCAGTCCTTGTCTGGTGACCCCACTTCCCGGTCTGCAAAATGGGATCCTGAGACCTGCCCCTCTTAGGGCTGGGAGGACCCGACCAGCAAAGCCCACACGGCCTCAGGGCCAGGCAGGTCCCAGAGTAAAGGACGTGCCAGCGTAATTGTTGCCCTGGGTGTTGTTAGTGATATCACTGAGAGCTGATATTTTCCTTTCTCCACTGCCACCTCCACGAAGACAGCACACATTTGCTTAAGAAATAGCAGCTAGAGCTTGGGCTGAACTGTGAAACATAGCAAGTGTGCTATATCAATCAGAGAACACTTTTCCCTGGCACCAGTGATTTCTCGGAGAACTGTGAGCCCAGGCATCAGCTGTGATTCCATGAGTGATGGAGGGCCAAGAAGCAGAATGACACCAAGGGACCTTTTGTAAACACCCGCAGGAGCTCTCTGCATCCACGACAGGAAAATAAAGACACAAACTCTTCTCTGAAATTAGGGAAAAGGAAATAGAGAAAGTAGATGAATGCTTTAAGGAAATTTTTGAAGATAGAAAACTAAAAAACTATTAATTTAAAAATAAATGAAGTACACAAGCTCTAAATAATGGCATCTTTCCCCCAAACTGTCATAGAAGAAAAGCTAATGTGTTATTTTAAAGGATGACTCTCAGATGACCCTTTAAATTCCATTTATATTCTAGTGATTAAACAAAGCGATTTATTAGAGTTTTACAGAGGCATTTTCTCCCTGTGTCTTACAACGCAGACCACATCAAAAGCACCCATTTACTGCCATTATTTCAATACTGATTTTATTTTATGATCTTGATTTGTGATTTATAACTTTGTTTTTCTTGAGATTCCCGTCTTCATGTTGTTGGACCTGTGTGTAAAGCAGGAAGCAGCTCCCTCCCTTGGATGTACTAAAATAGTTACTGCTTCACATGCGTGATGCTCCTGGCTACCTTCCTGCCCCTGATACAAGCCATGCCGAGGTGGGGAGGGGTCCAGCCCACGCAAGCAGGGAGGGAAGCCTGTGGTCTCCCCATTGGCAGAGGAAAGGGGTGCGGACGCAGGCACCTGTCCCAAGAGGGAAGAAGGCAGATTCAGGATGGAATTAGCAAGACATGCTCCCCGACTGATTGTTACTTTCAAGAAAGCAGCCGGCCGCACTGCCAGCTTTGATAATTGACTTTATTCTACCATTGATGGATAAATTGACTGATAGATGTCAGACAGAGGCATGACCGAGGTGGGACCAGGTTTGTGCAGAAAGAATGATCGGCTCTACTGATTCAGTAAAATTCATAGTTTCAATAAGCCACAAACACACACCCCCCAAGCACTAAACACACAGGCACACACACGCATGCACACGTACATGGGTACACACACACACACACACACACACACACACACACACGATACTTTCAGGAAGAGCTGAGTTCATGATTCCAAAGCTGGAGGAGTGTCTCAGATGTTTCCTTCTGAGACCTTGGATGACTGGCGTGGGTGCCGGGGCATGGGGGCAGCTGCTGGCCCATCAGAGACAGGCCTGCCCATCAGGAACTTATATAGAAACCACAATGTGGCCAGGCTGGATGTGCTGTCTTTGCCTTAATCCCCAGCTTCATGTGCCCCAGATTCTACTGTGACCAGGACTGGCCTCTCATACAGCACTCAACCGAGCCCAGTGTCCCCAGCTGCGTCCAGGGTCGCCAAAGTCCCTGCTCTCCTCTGTGCAGGGAAACACTCAGGCCCCGCAGGTGCCAATCTCTTCAGGAATAGTCAGGAATAGCACAGGCATCTGCTCTGGAGCCTCAGCCTTGAGTGGTCCATGGAGAGGAGGCGGTGCTGGCCTGCACACCATTCCCTCCTGGAAGCCGATTGCTGGGAGGCTCCACCTCAGCCTGCTATCCAGATCCATGCTCCACCCAGCAGTCCCCATGTGCCTTAGAACAAGGTCAAGAGAGGTATTCATGCCCAGGCCATGGTGAAAACCCGTCTGCTTGTTCTCTTTAGTAATTTCAATTATTTTATTTTTTTGTGAAAATTACACATGTGCATTAGGAAATTTTTTTTTAGTACAGAAAGCAACATTATCACCCCAATCTCATCCCCCAACAGGAACTTGCCTTCATACAAGGAAACAACCCCAGACGGCCTCCACCAGCCAGGTGGGAGGTCAGTGGGAGGAACAGCAGGGAGGGTGGGAAGTCCTTCTACTCATGCTTTTAATTAGATGATTTATTTTAAATTATATTTAATATGAAAAATAAAGTAAAACAAAGGGAATGGTCGATCTTCATTTCTTTACCATGGAAATGTTCATTTCTAAAGATCTTTTTAAGAGAAAAAAATAGAAACATTGAGAGTTTGATAATGAGGGTGTATGAGTGAGTGTGAGTGTGCCTGTGTTCTTATTTTGTTTTATTTTATTTTATTTTTATTTTTATTTTTATTTTTGTTTTATTTTGAGACAGTCTCACTCTGTTGCCCAGGCTGGAGTGCAGTGGCACAATCTCGGCTCACTGCAACCTTTGCCTCCCAGGTTCAAGCGATTCTGCTGCCTCAGCCTCCCAAGTAGCTGGGATTACAGGTGCACACCACCACACCTGCCTAATTTTTGTATTTTTAGTAGAGACGGGTTTCACCATGTTGGCCAGGCTGGTCTCGAACTCCTGACCTCACATGATCTACCCACCTCGGCCTCCCAATGTGCTCGTATTCCAGGCATGAGCCACCATGCCTGGCCATGTGTTCACATTTTATTTGCTGTCTATTCACTGAATTTGCTGTGAATGAGGAAGAAACCAGCCGGTTTTCCCTTCCTCTCACACGTCAGTGCTTCTTTCGGATTATGTTAGTTATATTATTTTTATTTGTACTGTTTTTTAAGGTCTGTCATTGCCAAGGTTGTTTCATCTTCATTCTACATTTAGGTGTGTACTAGTCAGTGCACCCGATGCATGCAGTTGGCATTTAGGTGTGTATTAGTGCACACGATGGATGCAGTTGGCATTTAGGTGTGTATTAGTGCACACGATGGATGCAGTTGGCATTTAGGTGTGTATTAGTGCACACGATGGATGCAGTTGGCATTTAGGTGTGTATTAGTGCACACGATGGATGCAGTTGGCATTTAGGTGTGTATTAGTGCACACGATCCATGCAGTTGGCATTCAGGTGTGTATTAGTGCACACGATCCATGCAGTTGGCATTCAGGTGTGTATTAGTGCACACGATGGATGCAGTTGGCATTCAGTTGTGTATTAGTGCACATGATGGATGCAGTTGGCATTCAGGTGTGTATTAGTGCACACGATGGATGCAGTTGGCATTTAGGTGTGTATTAGTGCACACGATGGATGCAGTTGGCATTTAGGTGTGTATTAGTGCACACGATGCATGCAGTTGGCATTCAGGTGTGTATTAGTGCACACGATCCATGCAGTTGGCATTCAGGTGTGTATTAGTGCACACGATGGATGCAGTTGGCATTCAGGTGTGTATTAGTGCACACGATCCATGCAGTTGGCATTCAGTTGTGTATTAGTGCACACGATGGATGCAGTTGGCATTCAGGTGTGTATTAGTGCACACGATGGATGCAGTTGGCATTTAGGTGTGTATTAGTGCACACGATGGATGCAGTTGGCATTTAGGTGTGTATTAGTGCACACGATGCATGCAGTTGGCATTTAGGTGTGTATTAGTGCACACGATGCATGCAGTTGGCATTTAGGTGTGTATTAGTGCACACGATGCATGCAGTTGGCATTTAGGTGTGTATTAGTGCACACGATGGATGCAGTTGGCATTTAAATGTGTATTAGTGCACATGATGGATGCAGTTGGCATTTTTACCAGACCTTTGTTCATCACTTCGCTGTTCTAATTAAGCCTTTGACGAATTCACTGACAATTGTTATAGGGGATGTTTTCTTCAGTTTGTTGTTTAACGTTCACTTGTTTTTCTTTCTTTTTTGCCGCTGTCCCTTTCCTTCTCTCTCTCCTCCATTTCCTTCTGTGCCAGCGTTGGCTCCACCGCAAGACCCTTTCTCTCTCCATGTGATCTTCCTGCAAGCGCTGGTCTCTCTGGCCATCCTGTTTGCTCTGATGCAGGCTGGAATGGCTTTCCTGGGCTCTCCGTCATCCAAAACCCATTTTCTCTGCCCTCTGGGCTGTGGCAGGGCAGGGAGTCCCTGTGGGTTTGTGGCTCTTGATGTTCATTTTGTTCAACATCAGTAACGCAGTGGCACATGGAGAGGTGGCCTCCGCGGTCATAGATGCTTCCGTGAGGGACCTAGGCACTGACTCCTGCTAAGAGATTTCTAAGTGACCTATTCAGGTCTGACTCCTCCACCTAATCACCACTTATTCTGTCTTTTTAACCAGACCTTCCTTTATTTTTATTTATTATTATTTTTATTATTATTTGAGACAGGGTCTCACTCTGTTGCCCAGGCTGGAGTGCAGTGGTGTGATCTCAGCTCACTGCAATCTCTGCCTCCTGGGTTCAAGCAATTCTCCTGCTTCAGCCTCCCGAGTAGCTGGGATTACAGGTGCCCGCCACCACGCCCGGCTAATTTTTGTATTTTTAATAGAGACAGGGTTTCACCACGTTGGCTAGACTGGTCTTGAACTCCTGATCTCAAATGATCCACCCGCCTCTGCCTCCCAAAAGTGCTGGGATTACAGGCGTGAGCCACCACGCCCGGCCCCGGCCTTCCTTTAATTCAGCCTGGAAGCTTGGCACAGGGTAGGTCCTCAATATCCCTTCTTCCTCTGCAGCAATCCTACAGTGGTGGGCCAGGGTTTTTCTTCATAATAATTTTTTGTCTTAACTTTTCCTCTGGTTGACCATTCACTTCCAGGTCACGTCTCTCCACATGTGGGGAAGTCTTGGGATATACTTCCCAAGGATATCCTTCTTTTCCTGGAGCTGATGCTCCTTCTTTTCCTGGAACCCCTTCCACTCGGTGGAGCAAGATGGAAAAGCCCTTGGGGAATCTGAATGTGTTTCTTTTCAGGAGCGGCAATGATTTTCCGAGTTCATATGATGACTTTGTGTGCCCTCTTTTATCTTGTGGAGTTGCTAGATTTTTTAATACATTAAAAAATACACATCTATTTAAATTACACCCAACACTTCACTGTTTCATTTTTGAAACAGTTTGAAACTCTCATATCCATGCCTAAATCTTTGTGAGAACTGAGTGAGGTGAAGGTGCAGAATGCTGCTGCGTCTCCCTCCAGCTGCCCCTCTCCGTCCCATCATCCGAGCGCCTTCCCCAGAGGAGCTTTGCTCACCGTCCCGCCGCTAAGACACTCCCTGCTTCCCCTTGCCTTCAAGCTGAAGTTCAAATTCTTTAGCCAGACATCCAGGTCCTTTAAATCAGCAACAACCACTTCTCCCACTCCAGCCCTAAAATTAAGTTGTAAGTGCCTGGCACTTCCATGCCAATGTATTTAAGTTTTCCCTTTTTTGTTGCCAGGAATTGTGTTCATCCCACTGTGCAGTGCAGTGTGATGTGGTGAAAAGACTGCCCGGAGGTTGGAGAGGCTGCCCAGAGTGTGGAGAAGCTGCCCAGAGGGTGGAGAAGCTGCCCAGAGGGTGGGGAGGCTGGGGTTCAGGATACTGACTCCAGCAATTACTGGCTGTGTCCTTGGTCAATTTACTCATCTGCAGAGCACCTTCCAGGCAGAACACTTGGGAGGAATAAATGACACAATAGTCTTTAAACACCCGGCAGGGGTAGGTGAGAAGAGAGTACAGAATCCTGTCCTCATGCTACCCAAGTCTACGAAGGCGTCCTGCCCCTTCCCCATCATGATCACGTGTTTTCCATGCACGGAGTTTGCACCATCTCTCCATCCACCCCCTTGCCTGGGCAGGTTTGAGTACCCACTCCCCCACCCCCAGTTTATCCATCTGCTTCCATTCCACTAAACTCCCTGAAGGATGGAGGGGACAGTGGCTTGCCCCAAGCACCACACCTGAAGCTATGATCTTCAGGAGACAAAGAGGACACTAGAGCCACCATTCACAGGCTGTCTCCCAGGCCCTCCTTGCACAGGATGTACAGGCTTCCAGCCCCCATTCCAACCACAAGCAACCAAGGCTCAGAGACACCAGCTAAGACACAGAAAGTCACTCAGATAATACCAGGAGGGTTATGATGCCCGTGCATTTCTAATATGACAGTGATGCCACTGTATAGCCAGGCTCCTCCACTGGGTCTAAGATAAGAGCCAGGATGGAGATTCTCATCTGCAGAGAATCCTCTGTACAGCTTCTTGTCAGGACAGGCTTGGGGAACATAGACCTTCATTTGGAGATGGTGGAAGAGTCGGTGCCGGTGTCTCTGTGCAGAGAGGGCTTCATGGGTAGAGATGTGGGCATGGAGCTGATTCATCCAGATTTGGGGCTCTGATGTTCACTTGTTGATCAAGTTCTTACCTTTCATAAGCCTCAGGGGTTTTTTTTCTATAACATGTGTTTAATAACAAGAGTCATTACTTCCCCATAAGTTTATTGGGAGTATCAACCCAGTTAATCTATGAGAACAACCATACAGGGCATGCAGCACTCAATAACTTTTGCAAGGATAGGTGAATTCGTGGATGGATGGGGGAGGGGACAACAGGTGAGTATATGGACGGGTGAATGGATGGATAGATGAATGGATGGAGGGTGGGAGGGACAGGTGGATGGATGGAGGGTAGAAGGGGTGGATGGATGAATGGATGGATGGATGATGGAGGGTGGGAGGGACATTGGATGGATGGATGCTGGGAGAGACAGATAGATGGATGATGAAAGGTGGGAGGGATGGATGGATGGAGGATGGGAGGGAGGGAGGGATGGATGGATGGATGGATGGATGGATGGATGGTGGGAGAGACAGATGGATTGATGAATGGATGATGAAAGGTGGGAGGGATGGATGGACGGATAGATGATAGAGGGCGGGAGGTACAGATGGATGGATGAATGGATGATTGGGGGTAGGAAGGAAAGATGGATGGATGGATGGATGGATGGTGGGAGAGATGGATGGATGGCTGATGAAAAGTGGGAGGGATGGATGGATAGATGATGGAGGGCAGGAGGGATGAATGGATGAATGGATGATGGAGGGTAGGAAGGACAGATGGATGAATGATGGAGGGTGGGAGGGAAGGATGGTTGGATGGATGATGGAGGATGGGAGGGACAGATAGATGGAGAGACACTTATGGGCAGGCCGTATGTTAAGCAATGAGAAAACAGCAATGTTTGAAAACTTATGTAATCTCCAACCTCACGGAGTATACACTATGGTGGGATAAACTGGAATTATTCAAATACATAAGAACAAGTGTGAAATTGCAACTGTAGCATGCTTTGTTCAGGAGAGAAACTCGGTTGTATGAGGCTCCCTACCTGAGCATTTGACCCCTAGCTATCACCTGCATGACCCCTGCCTGACCTCATCTGAGACACCAGAAAAGGCTTCTGTGACAAGGTGACTTTAAAAGCTGAAGGCTGTGTGAACAAAGAGGGGATGTGAAAACATTGGTGGTTCAGGACGGGTTTCCTCAGAGTCCTGTTGGATGCGGACCCGGGGGCTGGAGTGGACAGAGCAAGGTGCTGGTGGCAGGTGACTCAATCTTCAGAAAGATGGCCCCGGGCACGGAACTGGTCAACCTTGGTGCTAGACTGACTTTGGAGAGGGGAAGGATTTGGGAAGGGCCAGGGATGGCCTGGGGTTTCTGGCATCATCTGCAGGATGGTGGTGGTGCCGTTCCCAGATAGAGCAGAGGGTCTGAGCTGGGTGAGGTGGAGCCAGGGCCGGGTGCTGTGACAGGTGGATGGACAGAGAGAGAGCATGGAGCTCAGGGATGGGTAGGAGCCGGGGTGGGAAGGTCGGAGCTGAGCATGGAGCTCAGGGATGGGTAGGAGCCGGGGTGGGAAGGTCGGAGCTGAGCATGGAGCTCAGGGATGGGTAGGAGCCGGGGTGGGAAGGTCGGAGCTGAGCGTGGAGCTCAGGGATGGGTAGCAGCTGGGGTGGGAAGCTCGGAGCTGAGCGTGGAGCTCAGGGATGGGTAGGAGCCGGGGTGGGAAGGTCGGAGCTGAGTATGGAGCTCAGGGATGGGTAGCAGCTGGGGTGGGAAGCTTGGAGCTGAACATGGAGCTCAGGGATGGGTAGGAGCCGGGGTGGGAAGGTCGGAGCTGAGTATGGAGCTCAGGGATGGGTAGCAGCTGGGGCGGGAAGCTCGGAGCTGAGCATGGAGCTCAGGGATGGGTAGGAGCCGGGGTGGGAAGGTCGGAGCTGAGCATGGAGCTCAGGGATGGGTAGTTGCTGGGGTGGGAAGGTCGGAGCTGAGTATGGAGCTCAGGGATGGGTAGGAGCCAGGGTGGGAAGGTCGGAGCTATCTACACGGGTCCCAAAAGGCCACAGGTACAAATGGCACCACGCAGATGGGGCATGGGGGTGGCATAAAGAAAGAGGGCACCTTGTCCTTGAGCAGACCCATCACCCTGTGGCCAGACAGAGGATGAGCCCACAGGACAGAAGGCACAGCTAGAGAGGAGGAGGACAGCCCAACATGGCCACTGGGTGTCAAAGGCCAGGCAGCGGAGGCGGAAGGCAGCGCGGGCATGGAAAGCCTGGCCAGAGGGAGGAGAGAGGAAAACTCACCACTGTAGGAAGAGGCAGGAAGGACGGAATGCTCAGTCACTGCTGTTCTCAGACACACTCACACAGCAGGCCTGAGGCCATCTTGCAAACCACATTCATGGGACCTTGTCACTGTCCCTCCTGTAGAGCTCCTGGTCTAGAGGCAGCCATAGCCCTAGGAGCAGAGTTCTGTCCTGTGCCCATAATTTCCTGTGGGGCAGTGCCAGGACCTCACAGTCCTTGGGGACATTTTTGGGACCCAATATCTGAACCTCAATCTGATGTTAGTCAATTCTCTCCAAGAGTTTGGGAGTCAAATGACACCCCAGCCCTACCCTAAGCCTCTAAGTCCACTTTCATGGAGCTGGTTCTTGGTCAGGCTCAGGACGAGGGACATGCCCAGGCACACACATACTCGCAAAAACGCTCACACACACTTTGTTGTTTAATTCAGCCAAGCTCCTCACTTAAAAACTGTATTTCAGTTTCTTTCAAATTGATCTATTGCCAAAAATTCTTCTAACTTAACATTACAAAAATAATCATCACAAACTCCATAAATCATGAACTTATAACGATGATGGTAATCACTGATATAATGGTTGCTATATTGAGATGGATGGCATCCTAATCACTGGGGCCATCATTTGTGTCCCAGCCAATATTAAATTCTTCCTCATGCACTCAGGGGACAGGCAGCCCTGTCCAGGGCCTGAGGCCATCTCTCCAACCGGAGTCCCCCAGACAAACGCCTGCTCCTGTCAAGACTATG
Source organism: Homo sapiens (assembly GCF_000001405.40). Classification (NCBI taxonomy): domain Eukaryota; kingdom Metazoa; phylum Chordata; class Mammalia; order Primates; family Hominidae; genus Homo; species Homo sapiens. The sequence continues at coordinate 48,856,617 of NC_000022.11, read as the reverse complement.
GTGGGGTGGGCTCCCTACCAGGGCTCCTGCTGGGCCACCTGCGTCACCCTCCAGCTTGAATTTCCCACTTGAGCAGCAAGCGCCCGTAAGTGTGCACTCCCACAGGCGTGGTGTGCAAGGCCAAGCTGTCCCTGCTGCACGAGGCCACTGTCCGTCTGCTGCAAGCAGGGCTCCATAGAGGGGAGGTTCTGCCCTGCTAGACCAGAAGAGCCACATCCTTCTCAGGGTCCCAGCTGGCGCGGGCCTCTTCCCACCTGGGCAGCAGCTAAAGAGGAAGCTGTGGGGTCACTCAGCCCTTGTGCCTGTGTGCCAGATGGACAGGTAACACAGGGTGGGGGTGTGGCAGTGTCTTGTAATATATGCATGCACTCCCTGCACATAGACACACACGCTAGGGCACAGGGCCCTTTGCAGTGAAGTCCAGGCCCTGTTCTCTTCTCCTTGTCACCAGTTTATGGCATTAATCTCAGCACTGTGTCAGAACGCCGAGGGGCTCACAAAGGCCCCACGAAGGCCCCCTGGATGAAATATCAAGGAGAGAGGGTTCCGGCACACAGTGACTGAGGCCTGGTCCAGGGTGGCTCCCTGTGAGCAGTCCCCTCGGTTGGACAGCAGCTTTGCTCTTCTGGGGCCAGCCATCACCTGTCTATAGGACATCCCCACCCATCTGCCATGGGCCAGGAAGCCCTCATCTACTCAAGCCTTTCCAGGCAGTGGCAGCTCATGGCCCAAGTCCTCAGACTGTCCCTGCTGACTCCAGCCACAGAAGAGGAATGGGCATGCCTGACTTCTCTTACAAATAAAGCGGACAGGCTCCCAATCCCACGGAAACCCTGCCCTCGTCATGAGACATGTGAATGGGGTGGCTCATGGCCATGTCTGTGAGGCTGGGTCCCTGCCCATCACCTCTCATGGTGTCTCACACCCTCAGCCCACAGTGGACCCTGCAAGGCCCTCCAGCCAATAGGCCTCAGGCCACTCCATTTTCAGCTTCATACAACAACCACATAGGGAAGTGTTGTTGTTTTTTAATGTGCTTACTTATTTATTATTTTGTTTCTCCAACAGAATAAAGGTCCCAGAGGGCAAGACCCTTTCTTCTTTGATACCTGCAGCATCTATAGCCTCTGAAACACCGGTTCCAGAGTGTGGCATAGAACAGAGTTGAGGAAGGAAGGAAGAAATGAGTGGATAAGTGGATGCTTGGATGGATGGGTAGATGAATGATGGATGGATGGATAAATGGATGGATGGATGGATGGATGGATGGATGGACAGATGGATGATTGAGTACATGGACAGATGAGGGGATGGATGGAAGGATGGGTTGATGGATGAATGGATAGGTAGACTGGTGGGTTGTTGGGTGGGTAGATGATGGATGGATGGATGGGTGGATGAATAATGGATAGATGGATGAATGGATGGGTGAATGCATGGATGGATGATGGGTGAATGCATGGATGGATGAATAGCTGAGTAGAGGATGAGTGGGTAGATGGATGGATGGATGGGTGGGTGGGTGGATGGATGGATGGGCGGATAAGTGGATGGATGGATGGATGAGTGAATGGATGTGTAGATGGATGAGTAGATGGATGGATGGATGGATGGATAGCTGGTTCTCCTTTGTGCAGAGAACTATGGCATCTTTCCCCCGGAGGATCTTGTAGGGAGCAGAATATGGGGCCTTTGCCCCAGCCAAGTCCACTCCCACATTGTTCCCCCTTCCACATTTGATCTCCAAGTTTCCCACTCACCAGAGTGGTCTTTCATGAAGACCTGCTTCTCATTTCACTCCCCCACAGACCACTTCTCAGGCTCTGACTCACAACCAACCAAGCTCACCCTCCATGCAAAGCCTCAAAGCTTTGAATGAGCTGATGCTTCCTTTCTGACTCATCTCACCTCCTGCTGCTCCCCCTTTGCTGCCATTGCTGGTGGTCCCTGGGTTCTTGGTGGTTCCTCCCTCTTGAATGCATTTCCCTTCCTCTTCACCTGATGCCTATCCATCCTTCAGCTCCCAGATTAAGCAATGTGAGTGGAAAGGCACAATTTAGAAACCTAACATGCACAGGCTCAAAGGTATGCACAAACACGTTTGGTCCTGAGATGGCTCTTGCAACCTTTGCTGTGGCAAGAGGGGCTCCTGGTGACCAGGGCAGCAGAACCAGTTCTTGGAAGTGATAGAGGGATGTGCCAAGTGCTCCCTGATCCCTTCTGCTCCTTGGTGGCTCCTCACCTCAAGCTCCTCTTGCCTCTGCTCCTGCAGGTGCTGTGGCTGAACCTGCCATGGCAGAGGGCAGCCCCAGTCTCCTGCTCTCCACCACCCTCCCCACCCCCAAGTGGCAAAATCCTACCCCCACTTTGGTAGTGAGGGAGACCCAAAGCAGTCCATGATTCTGTTGGAGTAAAAAGGGGACTGCCAGCCCACACAGCCCTGCCAGCTCAGCTCAGCCTCTGTGTCCCTCCCTCCATGCACTCTCATGTCTGTGTCTCTGTTCGGGGATTCACTTTTCTCCACTGCACCTGCTTTTCTCCATGAGACCATATTCATGCTTTCCAGTCTCTGGCCAGGGAGAGGCCAGGGAGCCTCACTCTCTAGGAAGGGGTCCAGCTGGCCAGGCTTGAGCCACCTCTGTCTTCTTGTTGCCCAGAGGGGCCGTGTGCTATCAGAGGAGGAGAGGCCAGCACAGTGGGGTGACTGGGCTATGGTCCCGATGGGCAGCTGTCCATGTTCCCCGCTACTGGGCTGTGTCATATGTCTGTACTGGCTAGTTAACAGCTGGGCAGAGTCACTCTGAGCAACCTGTCCCCTTTCTTTCAGAGCAGATCCAGGTCCTGGGTTATGTGGGCCCCATGCCCATCCCCAGCAGGCCCAGCTCAAGCTGGAAGACAGACTCCTCCGTGCTCACACAGCAGGGGTGAGAACACGGGGGCGTGATGAGACCCAAACCAATGAGCCTTGCCTCCCTTTGGCCCTTGTATTAGTCCCTTTCATACTGCTATAAAGAACCGCCCAAGACTGAATAATTTATAAAGGAAAGAGGTTTAATGGATCCACAGTTCAGCAAGGCTGGGGAGGCCTCAGGAAACTTACAATCATGGTGGAAGGCGAAGGGGAAGCAAGCACCTTCTTCACAAGGATGCAGGAAGGAGAAGTGCTAAGTGAAGGGGGAAGAGCCCCTTACGAAACCATCAGATCTCATGAGAACTCCCTCACTATCATGAGAAGAGCATGGGGGAAACCGTCCCTAGGATTCAGTTCCCTCCACCTGGTCTCTCCCTTGACACGTAGAGATTACGGGGATTGCAGTTCAATATGAGATTTGGGTGAGATAGGAAACCTAACCATATCAGCACTAGAGGAGTTGTGGCTGCCCAAGTCTCTGGCTAAAGTCACTGAAAGTCCTTGGGCTTCAGAGGTGCATGGATGGGAGGACGACTCCTGCTTTCAGTGAACTCATCTGAGGAAGTGGCTGGCCAGCAGGATCTAGAGCTGCTCGGACAGGGGTGGGAGAGGAAGGGGTATTTTTAAATATGAAGGATGCGTTTAAGGACCACAAACCCACATTCCAGGAACGCCAGGCCTCCTCAACTTCCTTCTTAGAGATGCTTGAATTCCTGCCAGCCTGTTCTGAGTCCCAGGACCTCTTGAGCCCCAGGACCCCTATCCCTCCCACTGTATCCTGGGGGCTCCAGTTCTCAGCTTCTGGGCTGTGCTAGGGGAGGATCTGCAGATGGAGCTGGGGGATCGTTCCAGGGAGGAGAGGGGACCCTCTGGCCTTCCACAGTGAGGGTTTGTCCTATTCCTCAAAGCTCCCTCAAAGGATGCGTCAAGTCACCTGCCTGGCAGACAAGAGGGATTCTGCCCCAGGCAGGGGACAGGGTGTGGCTTTTCCATCTCTCTCTCCCCATGCTGTTCCTGTAGGCAGGAGGTGGGTTAGGGGTGGGCCCAGTGGGCTGTGAATAGTTGCAGGGGGGCTATCAGCACCCTCTGAGGGGACGGGTCTTTAGTCGTCTCAGTCAGGAGGGTCTGATGAAGCTTTGAGGCTAAACCACCCTCTGATCACTGGCGCAGGCCCAGGCCTGCTCCTGCCCGCCATTCCAGAAAAGTAACAATAGTGAGGTGCATGGATTTCTGTTGAAAGGAACATTAAGATTTATCGACTCGAGAGGTTTCTATCGATTCCCGTGGAAGCAAGGTCAGTGTGCGCCTGCGGAAGGAACGTCAGCCCCTTTCCTGAGGTGAGGAGTCAATATTTGCTCTTTCCTGGCTGTCACTCAGCGGCCAGGCCACCACTGTCCATTCTCAAGGTTAACCCAGTCTGCAGCTGCGGAGGGACCCAAGGACAGAGGGAGAAGACCACAGCCACAGCCGGGAGCTGTGCGTCTCCAGGATGCCCAGGAGAAAGCCAGGGACAGACCACAGATCCGGCGCTGGGACGGGCCCTCTGCTCCTGCAGACACCCATGCACCGAGATTAAACACGCAGTAGCTCCAGGCCCTGCCAGACTTTCGTCCCTAACTCAAGGGGTGCCTCTGGTGCACACCTCACACCTGCCCTGGTTCCTTGCTTCCCTTGGCCAATAACAGATGAGGCCCGAGCCTGTCTCAGCAGAGCAGGGAAGGAGCTCAGCGCCCCGTCAGACTCTGCAGGTGTCTGTTCCATTTCCCACCTCCTGAAGCCATGTGCCCCCACAATCTCACACAAAGCTGGGAGGCACTTGGGGAGAGCACCATGATGACAACCTCGGGACCCTTCTGGCTCCTGTGTCTCAGTAAGATGCAGGGAGCTGATACCTCCACGTCGGAGCAGACAGGTGCTGAGGACCAAAGATCTGAGATGGAAACGGTGTCCACCTGGGCTCCAGAACCCATTTTCTAGCACGCCCATGGGGCCTGGTGTCCACAGATACCTCGGTGAGCTCAGAATGACACTGTGGTCATTTTCTGGAGCAGTGATGCTCTCAACTGAGATCTCCGGACCTGAAACCCTCCCCTGGGCTGGTCCATACTTCACGGTGGCTACGCGAGATGGCTGCACAGAGTCCCATCAACTAAACACTCACCTGGGCTGGTCCATACTTCACGGTGGCCACGCATGAGAGCTGCATGGAGTCCCATCAACTAAACCCTCCCCTGGGCTTGTCCATACTTCACGGTGGCCACGCGAGATGGCTGCACAGAGTCCCATCAATTAAACACTCACCTGGGCTGGTCCATACTTCACGGTGGCCACGCGAGATGGCTGCACAGAGTCCCATCAACTAAACACTCACCTGGGCTGGTCCATACTTCACGGTGGCCACGCGAGATGGCTGCACAGAGTCCCATCAATTAAACACTCACCTGGGCTGGTCCATACTTCACGGTGGCCACGCGAGATGGCTGCACGGAGTCCCATCAACTCACCAACTGGGCTTCTTGTTGCCATTTTCCTCCTGCAGCAGAGCCTGCACCTTTCCACAGAGAGATCTGTGTCTCTTTCTTCATGGAACAGGTCCATGATAGCCCTGCCAGGGCCACCAGCCGCTGACCTCCTGTAAGTCCTCCTGCTTAGAGCTTGTCCATCTTCACAAAACGGGAATCTGTTAGAGCACCCATGTGTCATTCTACCATTGAGCGCTGTCCCTTCTTGGCGGACTCCAGGCGTAGCTGAGCCAGGCTTCCTCTTTAGCTATCCGCTGCGAGGCTGTGGGGGGCTCTGGCTGGGCCTCAGCCACCTTCTCCTGTCTGCAAGGTGGGAGCCCTGGCAGAGCAGGGATGTGCGAAGATCTCTGGAGCCCAGGGAGCCGCCAGCCCTCTGTCTGCAGCTGGGGATTCCTGGCGGTGCCCTCTTGGGAGGTTTGGAGGGTGACTAGAGAGAAAGCAGGAAAAACGACCAATCAGTCACCTGGTGCACAGAGCCCAGAACACCCTCTCTCCTCCCTTTTCCATCTAAAGAGAAGAAAGAACGGGATGGATGTAGAAACCCCAAGGGGGCTCTGGGACCCCCTGCCCCTTCCCTCCCAGGTGGGCCTCTCAGGTGCCTCTCGCCCAGGGTGGAGCTCTGGAGGCAGATGAGGATCCCCTGTGGGGACAGCTCCTGTGTGGCAGGTCTGCCTGGACAGGGGAGGCCCTATGGTGCCTGCGATGGCCCCCGCCCCCTGGCTCCTCGGGTGCTCCCCGCGAGTCTCCTCTGCAGCTCCTCCTCACCTCCCTCCTCCTCACCTCCCTCCTCCTCACCTCCCTCCTCCTCACCTCCCTCCTCTTCACCTCCCTCCTCCTCACCTCCCTCCTCCCCACCGCCTTCCTCCCCTCCCTCCTCCTCGGGTGCTCCTGGCCAGTCTCCTCTGCGGCTCCTCCTCACCTCCCTCCTTTGCACACAGCTGGGCTCTCTGAGGCGCCTTTCCCTGCCCACGACTCCCTGAGTGGCTTTGAGCTTCCCTGTGGCTTTAAGCACCACTCATGCCCCTGACTCCCAGAGGTGCCTGTGGAGTCCACACCCTCCCCAGAGCCCAGGCAGCTGGCAGGACTGTCTGCTCTGAAGGTGCTGTCGCCGTGGCTACAGCTCCTCTCATCTCCCACCTCTGATTTTCCCTTCATCCATCTTCCCTGTCCCAGTAATGGCACTGCCACCCACAGCTGCTCCTGCTACTGACCAGGAGCCAGTGTCCCTCCTCAGGCTCACCCCAAGGCCACTGTTTCCTCTTCTCTATCCTCTCTCTCCCTCCCCACTGTCTTCCTCTCTCCCTTTATCTCTCTATTTCTCTCTCTCCTTCTCTCCCCTTTCTCCCTTTCTGTCCCCACCTCTTTTTCTCTGGCTCTCTCCCTCTCTCCCTGTATCCATTTCCCTCTGCCCTTTCTCCCTCTCCACCTGCTTTCTCCATCTCTGTCTCCCTCTGTCCCTTTCTTTCTCTCTCTGCCCTTTCTTCCTCTCTCCCAACTTTCTCCCTCTCTCTCCCCATCTCCCTTTCACTCTGTCCCCACCCCACTGAGCACTCTCCGCTCTCCGGTCCCCACTCCTCTCGCACACACCCATCTGCCCTCCCAGCTCCCTCTCTCTGCACACTCCTCAGGACTTTTAGACGCGAGTGTCATCGTAACCACTCTGAGGTCCTAGACACATTCTCACTGAAAGCAACTGCATGTCACCTCATTGCACTGTTGCTCTGGGCACAAAATCCAGACTCATCAATCTGCCTCATGGGGACAGCTGCTCAGCCCAGCCCCGGACAGCCTGGAGGCCCAGGTTTCACAGCCAGCACTTCCCAGGGACTGAGGGAGGCCAGCAGCTCTGCCAAGGGCATGCATTTCTGGAAGGGAGTGGAGCCCACCGGTCACTCAGGTCTGCCACCAATGGAATCAGTGCATATACCACAGCCTGCTAATGTCAGCCTTGAAACAAAACTCCCTGGAAAAAAATACAGAAATGCCTGCACAGGCCTGCTCCTGCGAGGGACCTGCCACCTCCCAGAGATGGCCGTGAGCAGTGGCATCCAAGGGCGGAGTCAGCATGCAGAGGCCTTCCCCGCTGCCTCCAGCCCCCGTGAGTTCATTAGAGGCTCATGGACTGGATTAGCTGGTCAGCTCCCTGGTGTGTTTGTCTGTTTGTTTATTTTAAGTCTATCTTATTTTAAGTCTACCTTTTTTTTTTTTTTTTTTTTTTTTGAGATGGAGTCTCGCTGTTGTTGCCCAGGCTGGAGTGCAATGGCACGATCTCAGCTCACTGCAACCTCCGCCGCCTTCCGGGTTCCAGCAATTCTCCTGCCTCCACCTCCTGAGTAGCTGAGATCACAGGCACCCACCACCATGCCCAGCTAATTTTTGTATTTTTAGTAGAGACAGGGTTTCACCGTGTTGGCCAGGCCGGTCTCGAACTCCTGACCTCAGGTGATTGGCCCATCTCAGCCTCCCAAAGTGCTGGAATTACAGGCATGAGCCACCGTGCCTGGCCAAGTCTACCTTTTAGAACAGTTTTAGGTTCAGAACAGCAAAACTGAGCAAAGGTACAGAGATATTCCATGCAGCCCCTGGCCCCGCAAATGCATAGACTCCCCCATTATCGACACGTCCCATGAGAAGGTGTATTTGGTAGAACTGATGAGCAAACATCCACGCATCATTATGGCCCAACGCACCTGGCTCACAGTAGGGCTCACTCTCTGCCTGAGTGTCACAGTAGGGCTCACTGTCGCGGTGATGTGGGCTTTGACAAGGTGCGTGGACTGAATCCAGCACTGCAGCCTCATCCAGGGCCCCCAGACCCTCCGAGCTGCCCCTCTTCATCCCTCCCTCCTCACCAGCCCTTAGTAACTATTGATTTCCGTACTGGCCCCATAGTTATGCCTTTTCCAGCATGTCATGCACAGCAGATCCTCAAACAACATCATTTTGTCCAACGCTGTCTCGTTATAATGTTGATGAGAAAAAGAACATTGATTCCCTGTCATCTCCTCTGTGTGTGTGTGGAACTCGCATGTTCTCCTCTTGTCTGCGAGGGTTTTTTCCAGGTGCTCCGGCTTTCTCCCACCTCCCACAGGTGTGCCTCCCACAGGTGTGCACATTCAATGAGTTGGTGCGTCTACACGGTCCCGGTGTGAGTGAGTGAGGGTGTGTGGGGGTCGCCTGGTGAGGAGGGCGTCCTGTTCAGGGCTGGTTCCTGCCTGTGCTCTCAGCTGGAATAAGCATGCTGGAAAATGAAGGAATGAATGAATGAATTAATACAAATTATTGTAAAATAAAAATTTGTAAAGTCTACGATAATTACACAAATGTGTGACAGTAAAGGATGTGGTAGGAAAGCGCTCGGCGAGCCACCATCTCTGTGCTGGTTTCTGAGCTGTGCGGGGGCAGGAGGTGCTTCTTACAATTTTCCCTTTGCAAACATTTGTTCTTTGGTTTAACCCACCAGCACGTGACCACCGCCACTCACCAACTCCCCAACAATTAGGTAGATAGTCATCTTGCTTGTTTTCATTAATCTTTCTTAAATCTATATATGGCTTAAATTTATTTTAATGTTTAATACCAGAAGTATTCTGGATCTTCATTTAGAAGTTTAATGATGTTTTGTGACCAGAAATACACCACTGGAACTTAGCTCTTTTTAAAATCAAGCCATAAAATTGGTTTTGCTTTGCTTTGTTTGGGTTAAAGTCACAGTTTCCAAGAAGCTATCACCTGATAGGTTTATGAGCTTCATGGTTGCTCACAAACCGTCACAGGTAAGGCAGCTTGCTGAGCGCTTCCTATTATAATCTTTATCGTCATGCATTTGTGTGATTGTCATAGACTTTACAAATTTCTATTTTACAATAAGGGAGGACTTACTTATTATGTGGTTTTTTTTTTTTTTTTTTTTTTTATGTATCTGATAGCTGAGATGGCTACTCAGGTACTAGTGGGCGGGTAGTGTGCAGAGACTGGAAACCCAGGACAGAGGGGTAAGTCACGTCCTGGGCAGGACGGAGTGGGATGGTACAAAATCCCATCGTGCTATGCAGAATGGCACGCCATTTCAATTTATGAGTTTTTATTTCTGAAATGTTCCATTTAATATTTTTGGACCATGGTTGGCCTCGGATAAGTGAAACCATCAATACCCGAAAGTGTGGAAACAAAACCTTAGATCAAGTGGAGCTGCTGCTCATGGCGTCTACAAGAACCCACTTTAAAAATAAAGGCACACAGGCCGGGCGTGGTGGCTCACACCTGTAATCCCAGCACTTTGGGAGGCCAAGTGGATCACTTGAGGTCAGGAGTTCAAGACCAGCCTGGCCAACATGGCGAAACCCAGTCTCTACTAAAAGTACAAAAAAAAAATAAAATAAAACAAACAAAAAACAAACAAAAAAAAGAAACAAAGTTAGCCAGATGTGGTGGCATGCGCCTGTAGTCCCAGCTACTAGGGAGGTGGAAGCAGGAGAATCAATTGAACCCGGGAGGTGGAGGTCGCAGTAAGCCAAGATCATCCCATTGCACTCCAGCCTGGGTGACAGTGTGAGACTCCATCTCAAAAATAAATAAATAAATAAAGGCACACACAGGTGAAAAGTAGAGAGGTGAAGACATATCGCGCTAGCACTAATCGAAAGAAAGCAGGAGCAGCTGACATTATCTCAGACAGACTGCAGAAGACCATCATCTGGAACACCATCAGGGAGGGAGAGGGCCATGACTTAGTGATAAAGGGTCAATGACCCAGGAAGACATAACAAGTCAATGACCAAGGAAGACATAACAAGTCAATGACCGAGGAAGACATAACAAGTCAATGACCGAGGAAGACATGACAAACTATAACATGGATGCATCCAATAACAGAGCATCCAATTCTGTGAGACAAAAACTGTAGAACTCCAGGGAGAGAGTGATGGATCCACTGTTACATTTGGGGGCTTCAAAATCCCCACAAAGTGCAGGGAGGGACTTGTGTGGTCCCAGTCCCTCACTTTCCTTCCCAGCACTGGGCCAGAGAGGAGAGCACCATACCCCCTCCTTCCCAAGGACTGGGACCCGCCGTGGTCTAGACAAGGCCTAGTGGCTCCAGTGTCGGGGTCAAATCTCTCAGCACTTTGTGAACATTGTACGGACAGTTCCCGTTTTATGAGAGCCAGGGGGGAAGAGCAGCCTGTTCGGATCCCCAGGGAAATCATCAGCATGTGCTTGGAACCTCCTGTGTGCAGAGTGTAGGATTGAGCTCACCTGTGGCTGCCCCACCTGCCTGGAGCTAATGGCTCATGGCACTTCTCCAGCCCTTCATAAAAACAGATGACAACGCTGCACGATTCTCCTCACCTGGATCGGACTCCAGGCTGCAAAGGCTGTTGGCAGGGTGGGCGCGCAGCCCCAGGAGCATGGGGATGGGGCAGGCTGCCAACCCGTCCCCGACGCTGGGGCCTCTGTGTCTGTCCTCGCAGGAGGGAGGGAGGCAGTGTCTCTGACCCCCAGCACTGAACGCCCCAGGTGCTCAAAAACCCCTGACACGCGAATGCGGCCAAATCGGTCTGTTCCAGGGACGGCTGGACACGGCCGAGAGTGAACATGGGCGTGATTCTCAGGAACGGAGCACACGGTCTCACGTGGCAAACAGATATTCTGACCTCCTCACTTCCGTCTGCCTTTGCCCTGCAGTTTCTAGTGGGTAAAAGCAGCTAATGGCCCGACCCCGGCCCCTCGCAGGGCCTCTCTACTTGGGGTGGGGAAGATTGGACAAGGAGGCACTGCCTACGACGAGGGCACCGAGGGAGGCAGGAAGAGAAGCAGCTGTTCCTCGGCCTGAAGACCAGACTCAGTAGCGGTCACTGGAGGATCAGAAGAGTCTTGCAGTGGCCTTGGCAAGAACAGATTCCAGCTTGGGTGGTCTAGGGCTGAGGCTGGGTGGTCTGGTGGCCGATGGAGAGGGCATTGGACAGGAAGACGGCTTTCCCACAGGGGTTGGCTAGGAAGGATGAGAGAGGGCCTGGCAGGTCAGAGATGTAGAAGTAAGAAGGCTCCTGTTTGCTTTTGTGATTGGTTTTAAGGTGGAGGACACGTGAACCCATTTAGCAGCTTGGCAGAGTGGACCAGGAGATGGAAACGTTTGAAGACAGAGAAGAGGGAAAACTGGAGAAATGAGATCCCAGAAAATAGGACAGGGACAGATTGCCAAGTGCAGGATCCAGAAGAGTGGTCCCCAGGCAGGACAGGTTTTAACACCCTATTCCACATGCAAGGGCAGGTGCTGGATGCCAGGAGAAGACGGAGCCCCAGCCATGTGTGGGTGGGTGGCCAGTGTGTAAGAGGACATCGTGGTACAGTGGGTTCCCAAATACTTGTGGACAGAAGGAGGACAGAGAGGGAGGGAGAGGGGAAGGAGGAAAGGAAGAGAGAGGCTGGAGGGAGGAAGGTTTTTGGCGCTGGGTGCTGGGGAAGGAAGTGACTCCTGCCTCAGCAGCCCCCCTCAGCCTTTGGCGAGTTGGAGGCCCCAAGTATGAAGAGTGAGTGGGACTTTCCAACGACAAGGGTGGGTCAGGGAACCCAGGCCGCAGGACAGCAGGGCCAGGGGCATGGAGGCCTAGGGTGCGAGCTCCTCCTCCTAGCACGCGGGAGCCCTGGAGGTCTCCACACTGGGCGATGGGATAGGAAGACGGGATGGGGAAGGCCGCTCCATATCTCTAAGGAGAAGAGGCAGAAGCAATAGACTGAGGACAGTGAGGCCAGGTGTCCAAGGGGTCCGGGCTCCCCAGCGCTAACGTCCACCCCGATGAAGCACCCACCAGCGGGGCTGCCCTGCCTTCACCCTGCTCACTGGAGGGGAACCCTCGAACCTCTCGGGGTTCTCCCGGCAGGAGGGAGGGTGACTGCTCCCCACCTCGCCACCCGGGAAGAGCTGTCGCCATGGAAACCTCCCTGTTGTCTGACTGAATTTCAGAACAGGGAATATTTTAGTCAATCAAGAAATTCAATTAGCTGAATGACATTTATTAATGCAACGCTATGCAGCACTAATTCCTGCTTTTGGGGAGATAATTGGTGTATTTGTGAAGAAGTGCAATTCAATATTTATCAGCTGCTGGTTTTCAGCAAATGAATAATCTGTTAAAAATATTCTCCTCAGGAATGTCACTTTTACTCAAACCCGCTGACAAGTGCGTCCTGTCTGACACGCCCAGTTCACCTGGAGGTGGGGTGTGTTGAGGCACTGTGGGGTGCAGGGCTGTGGGCTGGGCCTCTGCCCTCAGAAGAGGCTGTGTGTCCTCAATGTGAGGCCCCAGGCGGCTCCATGGCACACATTCCTGTCCCTGCACAAAGGTGCCCCCTGCCAGCAGCTGCCCCGAGGGCTCAGGCCTGGATGGTGAAGGAGCCGAGGCAGTGCCTGCTCCAGGTGTCGGCCACTTCCTCCTACCTGGCCTCAAGGCCACCAGCCCACAGGAGGACCCGCTGCTGTACCCGCTCCACACCCACATCCCACACCCTGCACCCCACACCCTGCATTCTGTACCCAAAACCCAAATCCCACATTCTGTACCCCAAACGCCATGCCCCACATCCCGCACTCCACACCCCACACCCTGCCCCCGACATTCTGTACCCAAAACCCAAACCCCACGTTCTGTACCCCCAACACCACACCCCACATTCCACACCCCACACCCTGCACCCCACATTCTGTACCCAAAACCCCAAATCCCACATTCTGCACCCCAAACCTCACACCCCACATCCCACACCTCACACCGCACACCCTGCCCCCCACATTCTGCACCCCACACTCCACATCCTGCACTCCACATCCTGCACCCCAAACCCCCACCCCACACCCTGCCCCCCAAACCCCATACCTCTCATCTCCTGGGATTCAGCCCCTGAGCCACCCTCTGGGGAAGCCTCCAGGATCTCCTATCCCCTGGCTGGGGCTCGCTTTTATCTCAGCCCCACCTCCTGTGTTAGAATGCCCCAGCAGCCTGCCTATCCCTCCTTCCTCCGGCTCCTCAAAGGCAGGACCACGTCACTGTCCAGGAATCCCCACCATGCAGCCAGCCAGTGGGCTCACACTTTCTCTTTAATGGAAGTGCATACAGTTGGCATCCAATAAAGGATTCCAGGACTGCAGGAAGGCAAAATGGAAGCTGGAATGGGGGTGGACCTCAGTAGCCGGCGCTCTTGCTGTCCACAGCATTTGAGGCTGCAGGTGAGACTCAAGACACTCTGAGAGCCGAACATGCTTGTCACACACGGAGATCAGAGTAAGAAAAGGGAAACGCGAGGCTGGGAAGCCAGGGCCCGGGAGCTTCCAGGGAGGTGGGGGAGCACGTGCCCGTGGAACGAAGGGGCGACGGGCCTTTTGCCTTGGGCTGGGGTGTTTGAGAGCAGAGAGGTGGGGCAGTTGGGGACTGCAGGTGTCGGGCCCCTGTGGGAGATGGGGGCGTGGCGGCCAGATGCACCTGAACCTCAGCTTCCTTCTGGCCAGGTGGGGAAACGGCAGCGCGGACAGGAAAACCACAACGTGAGCATTTCCACCTTTCTATCCTTCCTGCAAATACTAACTTTCTGTGTCATTCCCAGCTACAGGTGTCCTGTCTGTCAAGTATTAAGAGCGGCTTACATTGGGCAACCTGTGGGGCCCTCCACACGCAGTGGGGCGCACGCTTTCAAAGCCTGGCGGGGATGGAGGACGCGTGGCTCAGGCCCACACGGTGCCACCTGGGCCCAGCTCCCAAGCCCGTTGGAAGCCACCCCCATGCCCGCAGGTGACAGCAGAGGGCGCAGCCCGCACCAGGGCATTTTCCTCAAGACCCTCCTGTGCAAAGACAAGACAGGGAAAGGCAAGAAAACACGGGTTTGGAGATTATCTACTTCTATTTAAGAAAAAAAAAACGTATTTTAGCATAATCCTCTGGTAAGCACTAAACAGGCACCATTAGCGGAAGCTTGGGTTCTGTTCAGAGGAGTGGATGGAGCTGGAACCAGGAGCGAGGTCTGTGGAATGAAAGGTGCCATCCTGCAGCGTGGAGCACCCCATGCCAGCCCCCGCAGGGCAGCTCTGATGCAGGTACAAGTTAGGGGAGGTGCTCCAGCAACACAGCCCCTTCTGTGTGTGGTGGCGGGAGTGAGAATGTGATGTGGGGTCTCACGTGGAGACGGGCGCAGGAACAGCATGGAGAGAGAGAGATGGAAAAGCCACACCCTATCCCCCACCTGGGACTGAATCCCTCTTGTCTGCCAGGCAAGTGACTTGAACCATCCTTTGAGGGAGCTTTGAGGAATAAGACAAACCCTCACTGTGGAAGGCCAGAGGATCCCCTTTCCTCCCTGGAACCATCCCCCAGCTCCATCTGCAGATCCTCCCCTAGCACAGCCCAAGAAGCTGAAGACCAGAGCCCCCAGGATACAGCGGGAGGGATAGAGGCCACTCAGGGGGTCCTGGGACTTGGAACAGCCTGGCTGGAATTCGAGCATTGCTAAGAAGGAAGTTGAGGGGCCCTGGTGTTCCTGGAGTGTGGGTTTGTGGTCCTTCAACGCATCCCTCATATTTAAAAATACCCCTTCCTCTCCCACTCCTGTCCAAGCAACTCTAGATCCTGCTGGCCAGCCGCTTCCTCAGATGAGTTCACTGAAAGCAGGAGTCGTCCTCCCATCCATGCACCCCTGAAGCCCAAGGAGTTCCCGTGACTTTAGCCAGAGACTTGGGCAGCCAAGTCTCTGATATGGTTGGTTTCCTATCTCACCCAAATCTCATATTGAACTGCAATCCCCGTAATCTCCACGTGTCAAGGGAGAGACCAGGTGGAGGGAACTGAATCCTAGGGACGGTTTCCCCCATGCTGTTCTCATGATAGTGAGTGAGTTCTCATGAGATCTGATGGTTTCGTAAGGGGCTCTTCCCCCTTCACTTAGCACTTCTCCTTCCTGCATCCTTGTGAAGAAGGTGCTTGCTTCCCCCTCGCCTTCCACCATGATTGGAAGTTTCCTGAGGCCTCCCCAGCCTTGCTGAACTGTGGGTTCATTAAACCTCTTTCCTTTATAAATTATTCAGTCTTGGGCGGTTCTTTATAGCAGTATGAAAGGGACTAATACAAGTGCCAAAGGGAGGCGAGGCTCATGGGTCTAGGAGACCACGGGGAGGCCAGGGCAGGAGGGATCTGTCCCATCCATCTCCACTCACAGGCCCTGCAGCTCTGCAGGGAGCACTGGGCTCCGGGAGGAGCACATGGAGATTCAGTCTTGGGGGCCGGAGGACAAATGTGTCACTCCCCTAGACCTGGCTTTGTCCCCTTGCCACTCACTCACTCACTGACTCACTCACTCACCCACACGGCTGCATTTCTTCATTCACTCAACACAGTCCAGCCTGGGGGAGCCAGGCCCCATTTCCCTGCTCAGAGCCTGCTCTGTTTCTTCCAGGGAGATGGGCCGATTCCGCGGGTCCCTGACTGCCCGGTCAGCACCTAGGCCCGGTCCCTGGCTGAAGCCCAGAGGCCAAGGTTATTTCACAGGGAAACCCCTTCTAGATGGTGAAGGGGAAAAAGAGGAAATGCTACCCAGTGGGGTGTAGAGGGAGGAGGGCGCCAAGGTAGATGAGGAGTGGAGGCCAGACTCTCTCTTCTCCCAGCTCTTGGGCCCCATGTGGGGGTATGGGCTCTGGGAAGACCCCTGAGAGGGTATGAGAAGCTCCACGTCTCAGGTCCTGGGATGCCCCTGGCTGCCATGTCTCAGGGGCGTCCTGCGTCCTCTGTGCATGGGTGGGAGGGGCAGCTCTGCTTCAGCGGAGAAGTTTCTAGATGTAGATGTGGGAGGGGTACTGCCAATGCTTTCTGCCCAGGCATGGCCAGGATGCCCAGACACCCTCTAGTACATGGGAGGGGCCGTGGGGAACCCTGTGGGAAACCTAACCAGGGGCCATGGGGAACCCTTGGAGAACCTGGGATTGGGGGTGGGCACTCAGGGCAGCAGCATGGGTGGGGGCAGGTTAGTGACGGTCCCCAGATGCGAGCACTGCCAAACAGCCAAAAGGAGGGGTCCTGCCTGCCGAGGCCCATCTGCTGGAGCTGATCCAAGGCCAAGGCTGGTGATGGCTGAGGCCCTGAGACCCTAAGACCCCAGCATCTGCACAGGGCAGTCATCGTGGGTTATCCCCAGGCACCTGGCCTCCACCATGTGAGGAGCAGGGAATTAGGGAAAAAAAACTAAAAGTCCAGGAATTTATGCAAAAGAAGTTGCATCGCCCAAGAGAGATAGCTTGGAAGGAAGTACTGCAATACCAGCAATGAATGACTAAAATCGCCCCCCGCTATGTGGAAGGTGGGAGCCCTCAGAGAGATTATGCTGGTGACAGAGAACAACGAAGCTCCCCCAGTGCCTAAGGCCACCCTTGACCTGTTCTTCACGTGTCCAGCCTACTCTCCCAGCTCTGCTCAGATCTTCCAGCACAAAGCCCTGGACAAGGTAGCTCCCATGTGCCCCCACGGAGTGGACAGCTGCCCCTCACAGCTCTGGCTCTGAGCACCCCCTTCAGAAATGGCAGGGCTGAGCTTAGTGGCTGAGCTTGGTGGCTGAGCTTGGTGGCCGAGGGCGGGGACTGGCAGGGGGAGAGATGGACAGACAGTGTTGAGTGGGACCTCACATCTTGGATGCGGACCAGTGCTATGGCCCAAGTCCTTGCAACCTGTCCGAGAAGAGAAGCCAGGGAGGTAGGCAGCCCCTTCCATCCATCCACTCATTCACTGAATGCACATGTGCCCAGCGCCTGCTCTGTGCCCTCCACAGTTAGGGTGAAGGGAGTACACGGTACAGGGAGCCAAGCCCTGCCCTCAGGGAGCTCATTCTCAGGGGCAGCTGGCAGCTGAGGCCAGCGGAGGGCCCGGGAGGGGCCAACACTGTGGGGAAGGGGCCTGGCAGGGACAAGCACAGGGCCTGCTTGCCACAGATGCTGCTGGGGGTCATGCAGGTGCGTGAGGGGAAGTACCAGGAGGAACACACCTCCACCAGAGCCTGACCATGGGGTAACTCCTTTGTTTCTCTCCTGTCTCCTCATCTCTAGTGTAAACCCAGCAAGACCTGCCTCTCAGGCTGCCCAGAGACCAGGAGTGCACCTGCTGTGCTAGGAGATGACACAAGGTGACTGTGAGGCTGCCACTCTCGTGGTGTTTGCTGTCTTAGGTGACGGAGGCTGCATATGCTCCACCCTGGGGACGCAGGAGCCTGCAAGAGCCCCGTGCCTGTGCTGCAGGCATCCTGGGACGGCGCTGCATCAGGGACGTTTTGCGCCTCCTTCCGGCCCCCTCTTTCCCTTTTCTCATTCCCACCTCCTTCTCCCAGCTCAGAGGTGTGTGAGTCTCAGCCACTCCCCAAAGCAAAACCCTCATAGTTAGCCAGGGACCCAGGCAGGGGTCTGGCAAGGCCCCCTCCCACCTCTCAGACTCTTCTGTCTCCAGAGGCAGAACGTGCACGTGGGCATCACATTGACTTTGGGGACTTGCCTTCACCCCAGGGCGCTCCAGTCTGGTGGATGCTGACTCTGACCACACCTGGGAACCAGTCTACACCTGGGTCTCAGCTCGTAGTGACAGTCCCTGCCAGCCCCGAGATTTCCAGGGGCAGCACCGCCCCTGAGGTACATGGACCCCACCGCCGTCCACACAGCGCACACCCACACGTGTATCCGAATCTGCGAGCAGCATATGTGCTGTGGGTACAGGTGCTGCAACCTTAGCTGACGGATTATGAAACTGAGCCTGCAGATCTGAGCCCGTTGTCCGAGATCCGTGCTCTCATTTCCTAATCCACTTCCAAAAGCCATTTTCCCATACTAAGGGCAAGACTTTCAGCCAGACACTAGGAGGATTTGAAGAGAAAGAAGCTACAGTCTTTGTCTTTTAAAGGAATCCAATCTTGAAGCCCGAATGAGGCATACGCAGAGGAACGCAGGCTACGAGACAAAATGCGATAATGCACAACCACCAGCTAGAAGACACAATGGAAGCCAAGGCCCCGTTTACGACAGCAACAAAAGAGATAAAATACCTATGAATAAATTTAACAAGAAATGGGCGAGACCTGTGTGAGGACAACTTCACAACATTCATGAAAAAAACAAAAATGGAAATTCACATGGTCAGGAAAAGTTAGTATGACAGTGATGTCTATTCTTCCAAGTTAATTTGCAAATTGAATGCAATCGCCATCAAAATACTAATGTGTTGCTTTCTCTGGGATTAGTCAAGGGATTTTAACTTCAAATGGAAAAATGATTCAAAAATAGGAGAAATGAGGGGAAGGAGGGAGTGGCTAGCTCTAGCAGATATTAGTAATCCATGACTAATCAGCTGTGATCCTGGAGTACAGTCATGGCAGACAGGACGGAGGCACAGGTAGGAAGTCCAGAAACAGCTGAGTCAGGTAAGTCCTTGCTGGGAGTGTGGCCAGGACGCGGTGGGACAGGATGGCCAAGAAAAGG
The DNA here is from genome assembly GCF_000001405.40 of Homo sapiens. NCBI lineage: Eukaryota > Metazoa > Chordata > Mammalia > Primates > Hominidae > Homo > Homo sapiens. The sequence goes on along the minus strand of NC_000022.11, from coordinate 48,837,695 downwards.
CACAGCCCTGGGGACAGCCCCACCTCGTAGCCTGTGTGTGCGCACGTGTGTGCATGGGAGGACACGTGTGCATGTGTGTGAGGACACGTGGGAGTGTGCATGTGTGTGCATGAGGACGTGTGTGCATGTGTGTGGACACGTGTGTGCATGTGTGTGAGGACACATGTGAGTGTCTGAGGACACGTGTGTGCATGTGTCTGAGGACACTTCTGTATGTGTAGGCATGTATGTGAGGACACATGTGAGTAAGGACACGTGAGTGAGTGTGTGAGAGGACACGTGTGTGAATGTGTGAGGACACGTGTGTGTGCATGTGTGAGGACACGTGTGTACTTGTGTGAGGACACGTGTGTGCATGCATGTGCGTGTGTGTAAGGACGTGTGAGTGCATTTGTGAGAGGACACGTGTGTGCATGTGTGAGAGGACATGTGTGTGCGTGCAGGTGCGTGTAAGGACACATGTGAGTGTGTGTGTGAGAGGACACGTGTGTGCATGTGTGTGAGGACATATATGTACATGTGTGCTATGACGTGTGTGCATGTGGATGCGTGTGAGGACACTTGTGAGTGTGCATGTGTGTCCACATGTGTGGGGACATGTGCATGCCAGTGTGTGCCTGTGTGCACATGCATGTACATATGTGCACGCACACGTGTGTCCCAGGCTGCCCCAAGGCTCAGACAAGCTTCCCCCACAGGAGCTGCCATTTTCCTCCAGAAACAGGATTTCCTCCCAAAACCCCAGGAATTACCGACCCCCAACCCAGCAGGAGACTCCGACAAAACGGCGCCTTCCCCCGCCCTTCCCACCTGCCGCCCCAGACCTCAAAGCAGAGGCACCTCCCACCCCCACACTCTGCACTCCCGGCTGCAGTGGTCCTAGGGCGGCCCTGTGAGTTCAGTCATGGAGACCTGAAGAAGAAACGGGAGGTGACCTTAACATGGTCCCAGTGTCATCTTTTATGGCAGCCCCATCACCCCTCCTTTCACTCCAGCAATGAAGCTGGCAGGTGCCTGGGCATCTGGAACAGGGCTCTGAGTCATTCATTGAAAGAGCAATAGAGCAGATTGCTCGGGGGAGATTGCTCAGGGGTGCTTGGCACTGGTGTCATCACCCTGTGTTGATGGGGGACCCCAGGGCAGCACCCCACGATCTGGGACCAGGCTAGGGCTCTGGTTTGAGACTAGACAGGCAGGGGGAGCTGGGCCTCGATGACAAACGTGGAGAGCACGGCCACGGGTCTGGGTGAGTGCTCAGTGCCCGCAGGCAGGGTGGGTGTGCAGGCTTCTGCCCCAGTCACAGAGGGGAGCACATTACCTGCCCTGCAGCCTCTGCTCTCCCACCTGAGGTTTGGAGCCCACTCCCAGGAGCGCGCACCTGCGCGTGGCTCCACAGACCTGATGGCTGTGGCGACGACCGTGAATGCCACTGTGCACTCCAAGACAGAAAGCAGAATCAGGCGTCAGCTTCAGACCGTCACGGGCACCGAGAACGCGGCTGACGCTGGATGGGATCGGGCTTCATAAGCAGGGCCCCCCACTCTTGCCCCACAGGTCCCCCCACGCTGGCAGGCAGCAGCGGCTGCAGGGAGCGATCAGGACAACAGGCAGGCTGGAGGAGCCTGGAATCCCCGTTGGGATGCCTCGGCGTGGCACCTGCAGCCTGCTCCAACCTTGAGAACACGCTGTGCTGGGCAGAGGATGGGCTGGCAAGAGGCCGACTGTCTCCTAGGGGCTTTGACCAATGCAAGTAGGAGAACTAAGCCAGAGCCCGCCCAGCGAGTCCTGGAAGGAGCCGGATGGGTGGTGGTGCTGGCCTGGCCCTGACCTGGGGGCTGACCATGAGCAAGTCAATTAACAGTCAGGCAAACCTCCATCTAGTGGGCAGGGTCCCGCACAGCTCCCAGAGCTCACAGGGGCGACACCGGGGGTCTCACCATCCACGAGGAGACAGATTACAGGTGCTGCAGGCAAACCTAAAATAAATCATGTTAAAGTGCAGCGTTTAGCAGCTCTCGGCACATGACCTTGGCGTCTATCTCTGTTTCTGAAACATTTCCATCCAGCGCCAACACCCCATGCATAGGCAGCCGCCGATCTGTGCCTACCTGTGGATCGATCTGTTCTGGATCTTTCGTATGAATGGGGCAACACAGCTTGCTACCTTTGGTACTGGCCTCTTCCCCTCCGCACCGTGTCTTGAGGTTCAACCACATCACAGCTGGGTCAGGCTTCATTCCTCTTTGTGGCTGCATAATTCTCCACCACATGGCTCTCCTGCAAATGCACCATCTCTCTCCATTCTAATTTTTAATTTTTAATTTTTTCTTTCAGATGTAGTCTCGCTCTGTCGCCCAGGCTGGAGTGCAGTGGCGCGATCTTGGCTCACTGCAACATCCACCTCCCGGGTTCAAGCGATTGTCCTGCCTCGGCCTCCTGAGTAGCTGGGACTATAGGCACCCTCCACCATGCCTGGCTAATTTTTATATTTTTTTAGTAAAGACAGTGTTTCACCATGTTGACCAGGTTGGCCTTGAACTCCTGACCTCAGGTGATGCACCTGCCACGGCCTCCCAGAGTGCTGGGATTACAGGCATGAGCCACTGCACCTAGCCTCGCTCCCCATTCTAAATGTGACTTTTCTGTCACCATTACCACGTTGAAGAAATTATCCCTTTTTTTAATTGACAATCTTGTGTCCATTATTGCAGAAATGACCCTCAATGACTACAGTGGATTTATGTTATCGAGAGCCCCTTCATATATTTAAAGGATGGTCAAGTGTTTGAAATGTTGTTTGCTTGCAAGTTTTTACTATTTCAAATAAGGCAGAGATGGACATATTTATAGCTAATTCTTTGCATATATCTTTATATATTTTTTAGGACAAAATCCTAGAAATGAAATTTCTAGGTCACGTCACACCCATTTAAAGGCTTCTTATAGAGCTTGAGAAACTGCCCTCCTTAAAGGTAGAGGAAGCAGTTGATGCCTCCTCCGTGGAGCTGTGTGTGAGTTTCCTCTCCGGGCAGTGTTTACCGCTGTGCAGATATGGCCTTTGGGGAGGACGGACATAGCTTTGCAGATGTTCTGATATATTTGCCATGGAATCTAAATATACAGCCATCAATACCAGGTGTCATCTATGTTTTAAAGAACTGAGTAAGTTCCTGTTTTATGGTTGAAACTGAAACTAAAGCCCTTTTTATTACCTTACACTCATATTTCTATGCCAGTCCTCCACAAAATTGTACCCTAATAGATTTTATGTTTCAAAGTTGTTATTGATAGTCCTATTATAATCCCTATAACAATATTCAGAAATATACATATATGTCTATAAATTGATTTTGTTAATTTCCAGGTGCCATTGATCTTTAAATACTAAAACCAATTCTTCTAGTTTGGGTTATTATTACAATTATTATTAGCAACACTAGATTAAAATCACATGAATGTGTTGTACATGTTGACAAATAATTTGTAAACATAAGAAGTTATTTTTTAACTGCATCCTCTGATATGATGAATGGGGCTTCTCCTCACATTCAAGTCATTGCTAGAACGAGATGGCATTCAGCTTAAATGTTATTAATTTTAGTTTGTATTTTTTCATCTAAAAACCTGAGAAAATGTTCATATAAATGAGATGAGTGTGAAGGGAACTCCTAAATTAGATATACATCAGTTTGTTGAAATTGTAATGAGTTCTCTGCCAGGGAACACACTGTGTGTGCTGAGCACAGTGCCCCACCGATGTGCGATTCTTCAATGAGATGGTGACATTCCCTTGACAGATGGAGCCTGCACTCCCTGCCCTGGGATGGGATCCTGGCAGGGCTGTGGCCTCAGCAGAGGTGATGCTACGCGATTTCCAAGGCTAGGACACAAAAAGTGATACATACCACAGCGAGATTCCATCTCACATTCTTTTGAATGGCTCATATTTAAAAAAAGATAAACAGAAAGAAAAAGTATTACTGAGAATGTGGAGAAATTAAAAGTCTTGTGCATTGCTGGCGGGAGTGTGAAAGAGCACAGCTGTGTGGAAAACAGTATGGCACGTTCTTCAAAAAAATGAACATGCAATTACCCTATGATCTGGGGATCCCAGTTTTGTGTATATCCTGCAAAGGATTAAATGCAGGGTCTTGAAGAGACACTTACACACCATGTTCAGAGCACATTATTCACAATGACTAAAACACAGAAACCACCCAACTGTCCCTGGGCAGATGAATGGATAAGCAAAATATGGTCTGTATATAGGACGGAATATCATTCAGTCTTCAAGAGGAAGGAAATTCTGGCACATGCTGAACACGGATGAACACAGATGTTATGCTAAACACAGATGAACACAGATGTTATGCTAAAGAACGTAAGCCGGGCACAGAAGGACAAATACTGCATGACTCCACTTACATGAGGTCTGTGGAGTAGTCAAATTCATAGAAACAGTAAGTGGAATGGTGAATGGCGGGTGTTAGAGGCTGGGGGTCGGGGGTTTCATGGGAACAGAGTTTCTCTCTGGAAAGCTGAAGCATTCCTTATGATTCATTGCACAACAGTGTGAATATACCAAACACTACCAAACTAGACACTTTTACATAATGGCTGACATGGTAAATCTTAGGCTATGTGTATTTTACTGCAATTGAATTTACAAAATTTTCAGTAAAATTGAGAAAGCAAAAACAAAAAAACCCACACAAAGTAACTGCGATGTATGTGTTTGTAGGGGTCATTTGTTTTTGAGGCACTTGTTACTAGAATCCAGTGACTTCACTGTGCAGAAGCCCAGGTCACAGAGAAAGCCACAGGGAGGGGTGTGGCTGACAGCCCCAGTGACCAACATCCATCATCAGATGTGTGATGAGGAAGCCTCCAAGGTGACATCAGCCCCATCCCCATCTGAGTCACAGCCTGTGTAACAACCGCACAGCTGAGCCCTGTCACCTACGGGAAATCACAAAATGACTGTGGGTGTCTGAAACCACCAAGTGCTCAGGTGTTTTGTCACATGACAGTCCATGGCCAGATCATACCAAAAAACACATTAGGGATCAATAATCATGATTTTATTTATTATCGAATCATTATTATATCCTTCTAGATGACTATGATTTAAAAATTAAAATTGATTTATGATTAAATTACTAAATATAAATTGTTGCTAATGTGATTTCAGATTTTAATAGTTTTTGTGACACTGAGTTTTGTTGAATGGAAACTCACCTGAATTTGCAAAAGTAGTTGTTATCCAGTCCTTGGCGATTATCTTTCTTCCTGCAAATCAACACTATTTTGCATTTTTTTGTTTGTTTATTTGAAGATCACTGTTTCTGACAGAGGTCAAAAAACTTCAGCCCATGGGCCAAATCCGATTTGCAGTGTGGTTGTTTTTTTTGTTGTTGTTTTTGTTTTTTAAGATGGAGCATTGCTCCATCACCCAGGCTGGAATACAGTGGTGCGATCTCAGCTCACTGCAACCTCCGCCTCCTGGGTTCAAGTTATTCTCCTGTCTCAGCCTCCCAAGTAGCTGGGACTCCCAAGTAGCTGCCATCATGCCCAGCTAATTTTAGTATTTTTCGTAGACAATAGAGAAAGGGTTTCAACATGTTGGCCAGGCTGATCTCGAACTCCTGACCTCAAGTGATCCACCTGCCTCAGCCTCCCAAAGTGCTGGGATTACAGGCATGAGCCACTGCGCCCAGGCTACAGCATTATTTTTTATGGTCTCTGGGCAAAAAATGAATTTTACATCTCTGTTGTTCAGCTTTTTCATTTTTAAAAGGGTGTATCAATAACAACAAGTCATTGGTGACAAAGACTGTATGTGGCCTGCAAAGCCTAAAGGTGTTTACTCCGTTTTTTATAGAAAAAGTTTGTTAATCTCTGCTTCAGAAAATCATTTACCAGAAATTTTAATAATAAATGTGCTGCTTTTGACTGAAAATATTTGTATTCTTCCTTATATTTTGATTACTAGCTATAAAATCATGAGGTGACCAATTTCTTTCTTCAGTCCTTCGGAGCTGTGGTTCTGTTGTCTATTCTTCTGCTAAGGATTCTGTAATCAAAATACTTGGCCTTCCTTTGCAGGCAATATGTCTTTTTTCTCTGGCTACTTTTAAAGTTCTTTTGTTTGACTTTGGTGTCCTTCAGATTGGTTTTCTATTATGTATCTCAGTATGGAGCTCTTATACCCTGGTACTTATAACACTTTCTGAATATGAGGATTTGTGTCTTTCACCAATTTTAGAACATTTCTAGCACTTATCTCATGGCCATTGCCTGTGCCCAATCTTCTCCCATCTCTTGTTCTGAAACTACAATTGAACTGTGGTGCACTGTTGGATTTGTTCTTCATGTTTTCTCCTGCTTCTACCAGGAAATTTACTCTGCTCTAGCTTCCATTTTTGACAATTCTCTTTCTTTAGAAATAAATAGGGCCAGGTAAGGTGGCTTGAACTTGTAATCCCAGCACTTTGGGAGGCTGAAGCAGGAGGATCACTTGAGCCCAGGAGCTTGAGACAAGCCTGGACAACATAGCAAGACACCCTCTCTACAAAAAACACAAAAAGTTAGACAGGTGTAGTGGTGTGCACCTGTAGTGTCAGCTAACTGGGAAGCTGAGGTGGGAGGATTGTTTGAGCCCAAAAGGCGGAGGCTGCAGTGAGTCAAGATTGGGCCAATACACTCCAGCCTAGGTGACACTGAGATTCTGTTCCAAAAAGAAAAAAAAAATGTATGATTATTTTTCCACTTCTTAAGATTTCATGTCTTTATTTTTCAGACATTCTTGTGGGATTTTAAAAAAATTTTTTATTGATATGTGGTTATGTTTCCATATCCTCTTTTATTTTACTAAATATTGAAAACATTTTATATTCAGCCTTTCACACTTCATGTGTTCAGCGTCTTGGTGGTCAGCTTCTGCTGTCTGTTCTTCCTCCTGGTGCTCAGGATGGCATGTGTCCTTGTGAGTTTTGTGATTTGAGATTGTGAGCTCATGTTCAGCGGGGATTGGGCTGTGAGAATCCACCGGCCCTGGGATGAGGCTCTGTCCTGCTGGGGGCTCTTGTCTTTGTTTCTGTGGGGTGGCCCAGAGCCTTAAGAATCTGAAGCACTTTAACCTAATTCCTTGTCATTTTGGTTTCACAAAATCTGCAAGTAGTGTGCATTTAAAGCTCAGAAGATGATGGTACGTGCCTGTGGCCATCATTTCCCTCTGCCCTTGGGTGATGTTTTTCCCTTTGAGTCTCTCACTCATGCAATGCCCCTTTGAGGGGCACCTGGAGGTGTCCTGGGAGAGACAGATCTCGGCTCCATGCAGCTTAAGGCAGAGGTGGGTGCCGAGTTTGTCTTCTCCTCCATTGGGATGGCCCCCGGTAGGTGGCTTAACTTGACCGCCTTGCTCAGCCCAAGGTGTTGTCTGACCCTGTACTGCCCTCGGGCCTCCCTTCCCAGGACCTCAGCCCTCATCCCATCAGCCCATCACCCATCTTGGCTTCTTTCCTGTTCCCTCTGGACTTGCCTGCTGACTTCAGAGTTGGGAACAGGCCCCCGGGCAAGCGGAGGTGACAGCTCCATCTGTCCCTTGAAGCCTCTTCTGGCCCTTGCACTGGCTTTGGCCATGGCCTCGACACTCAGACACTCCCAGGGGTGGGGGCCCCCTGACAACACACCTTATTTATTTATGCAGGAGTCTGTATAAAGGGACACCTACCCCAACCATGCCACACACTAACCCCCTACCCCACCATGCCACACACTAACCCCCTACCTCAACCATGCCACACAATAACCCCCTACCCCACCATGCCATGCACTAACCCCCTACCCCAACCATGCCACACACTAACCCCCTACCCCACCATGCCATGCACTAACCCTTTCCTCCTGTTTCCTTGAAGTATTTGAAAACCAGGCCCCTTGGTGACTGAGACTGGCAGGCAGCTCTCAAGCCATCCCAGCTCCCATGGAAGCCCCAGAACTTCTGCTTCCAGGTTCCTCTTCATTTGGTTCTTGGGGATTTCTTTTACTTCACTTGGAGGTAAGCTGTGCATTTTACAAAATATTTAATGTCTTCATCTTTTCTAAGTGTTTTTGATGGATAGTATATCTAATTCCATTGCCATGAATGGAAGCTTCCCATGATCCCTTCGAGCCCACGGCTGGCCACGCTTCCTCCCAGCAGAGGTTCCATTACCAGGATAGTCCCTGGAGAGGAGGGTGTGGACGGGGGAGTGAATCACCCACATGGAGTTCTATCATCTGAAGGAGACACAGCTGCTGAGCACCTACTGGATGCCATAATGACAACAAAGAACTGAGAAGCCAAGAGTGTGAATAAACAAAGCATGTTCTGTGTTCAACGGCAGTGAGTCCTTCCATAATGCCTATCATTGCTTCCCAGTTCAAACATTCATCCCATGGTCTTCAACTGCTTGTTTCTGGGTCTGTCTACTGTATGAGACACTGGAATTCACATCCCCAGTGTGTGAGACTGTATTTTATTCATGTCTGTATTTTTAGCACCCAACTCAGTACCCTCCATAAAGCCAGGGTTTCATAATTTGATGAATGAGTCACTGAGTTTGGCAAGTCCAGTGGTGACTTTTAAAGCAAGGATGTCTTGGGACTGAGTGACCTTCATCCCTGACATCCCAACTCTGACCTCCCTCATGCCTCCAGCGTGGGGTCCTGATACAGTGTGGCATGAGGCCCCATCACTCCACATGGGCACCATCACAGACACCACAAGAGCCCAGAGTGGGCCCCATCCCCACAGCTGCCTCCCCACCCGGGGCCTGGGGCTGGGCCACTCTTCAGTTCCACCAGGTAACCTGGTGCTTTCACGCACCCCCACAGAGTCCAGCTGAAGACAAGCAGGTTGCATTTCAGAAGTATGGCGCATTGCTCTGAGGGGCCTGGGGCCTGGGGATGAGGTGAGTATATAAGGAAACCTGTCTGGGGCCTGGTATGGATCCCCGAGGCCTGGCTGGGCCATGGGCACCCTGACCCTTCCAGAATGCATGCTCGGAGCCGCAATCACCCACAGAGGAGGGCATTAGGTTTCCAGGTGGGTTCCAGTGGGGACCACTTCCCTCCAGGGCCTTTCATTTGAGATGATGACATCATCCTCTGGCAATGCCCCCTGACCTCAGGATTCTGTCCTCAACTCCCAAAGCTCTCATTCCTTACCCTGTGTGCCCAATGGGGTGCCAGGCACCTTATCCAGGCCACCTATGTCCTGGGGATCCTCACTTCATGGAGGCTGGGATGCAACGGGGCTTGGACTCCAGCCAACAGCTCACCTCATACCCTTCTATGAGGTGCCCCCCTTGGCTGAACTCAGCTGGTGAGACCCGTTCCCTCTTGGAGCCGAGTCCCCAGTGCTCTCCCCAGGGCAGAGACCCCAACCCCAGGGGTGTCTGAGTGTCAGGGCCAGGCCACAGCCAGTGCAGGGGCAGGGAGAGGCTGCAAAGGACAGAAGGAGCCGCCACCCCGCCTGCCAGGGACCTCCTCCCAACTCCGATGTCTGCTGGCGAGTCCAGAGGGAAGAGGAAAGCAGCCAAGACCGGCGGTGACAGGCCGTGACGGGTGGTGGGCTGATGGGACGAGGGCTGAGGTCCCCAGAAGGGAGGCCTGAGGTCAGTGCAGGGTCAGACAACCCCTCGGGCTGAGCAAGGCCGCACAGGTTAAGCCACCTCCCACGGGCGGGGGCTTTTGACGGAGCAGAGAGCAGGTGAAGGAGAAGGCAAACCCCACACCCGCCTCCACCTGAAGCTGCATGGTGCCAAGATCTGGCTCTCCCAGGACACCTCCAGGAAAAACAAAGACAGCTATTAAGGAAAACAAATCTACCCTTCTAATTCCTTCGTGTTCTTAGAGGCACTCAGAGGGCAGTTTTTCACTCCGCAGTAAATAATTCACTCAGACTCCGAAAAACAACAGTCAATGTTCTTCCAACCACCAAAAAAGAACGAGTGAAATCACCGCGGCGAAGGCAAGCGGGCCAGAGACCCTTTGTTCCTTCTCAGGATCCCCTGCCTCCACCGTCTCCATAAACACTGCCAGTTTCCATGGCCTGCAGGCTCGCAGGGGCAGCCATTCAGAAGAAGAAATTTCTGAGGTCATCAAGGGGTTAATAAACCTGCCTGCACAAACCTTTCCCCAGCGACCCCATCCCCATCCCTTTGTTTAACTTCAAGACCCAATTCTAGGGAATATGATTGTTTATCCATTAATCACTGGGAGTTTGGGCTCAGAGCCAGCCTGGTTCTCGCTGGGTAGAAACCGCAGGTGCAGGCGGAGAAGCCGGAAACCCAGGGATTGCAAGGGCGGTCAGCTTTAAAATAATCATGAATTACGCCGTGATTCACTAACAGACTCCTAAGCACATAGAATTTTGAGTTCAAGGGGTCTTGGTGGTCCTAGAGCTGGGCTTCCTTTTTTTTTTTTTTGAGACAGAGTCTCACTCTGTCGTCCAGGCTGGAGTGCTGTGGCGCAATCTCAGCTCACTGCAACCTCTGCCTCCCGGGTTCAAGCAACTCTCCTGCCTCGGCCTCCCGAGTAGCTGGGATTACAGGCGGGCACCACCACGCCTGGCTAATTTTTTGTATTTTAGTACAGACGGGGTTTCACTGTGTTGCCCAAGCTGGTCTTGAACTCCTGAGCTCAGGCAATCTGCTCACCTCGGCCTCTCAAAGTGCTGGGATTATAGGTGTGAGCCACTGCACCTAGCCGGGGCTCCTCCTTAGTGGGTGAGGAACAGGTGTCCCAGCCAGCCTGGGACCCAGCTTTCGGGTCCAACCTCCCATCTCAGGATGTGGGTCAGCCTGATGGCAGGTTCTGCAGTTCCAAACCCAGACTCTGTCCTTCCTGCAACAAAAGCTCGCTGAACACTGGCTGTGCCAGGTGCTGGGAAGCCAGGTGGGCAGAGCTGCTGCCTGCAGGGGCACCTGATCAATGGGACAGTCATGGCGCAGCCAGACCCAGGCCCTGGTTGGTCTCGGTCGCTCAGGAGCCAGGCGGCCTCCTGGGAGGAGCCGCTGCCCTTGTCCTGGAGAGCGCACACTGCATAGGCTATGGGGACAGAGAGCACCTTCTGCAAGGGCCAGGGAGACAAGGGGCCTAGGACAGTGAGTCAGGACCTCAGCATGGAAGGAGGCCTGTGATGGAGAGAAGGGAAGGACAGCACGAGCTGTTGGTGGGAGGCTCCTGGGACTTCCGGGAAGGTCAGGTCTGGAGGCAGGAGTGTGGGGTCATCAGCGCCAGAGCTTGGAGAGGAGAGCCCCGACAGCGAAGCCTGGCGTCCCCCGGGGGGAGGAGCAAGCAGAGGAGACGGGGAGGACGCAGGGAGCCCGGAGGGACAGCAAGGGCATGGCAGGGACAGGCCTAGGTCACAGGACTCTGGCCTTAGCCTGGTGGGGGCTGAGCTCTGCAGACCTGATGTTGCACAGCTCGGTTAGGTGGAAACATCTCTGATGAATCATGAGGGCCCTGGAATCCAAAAGCAAAAGCAACGGCCGAAAGACCACCAGAGCCGGGAGAGGCTGGGGGATTCAACCCCATCAGCTCCACCTGGACACCTAAAGGCAGCTGGATCTCAACTCACCTGCGCGTGATCTTCCCGCTGGTGCTGCCCTGGCCAGCTTTCCCATCTCACGTCAGGCGCCTTTGCATGCCCAGCAGCTGGACCCAGTGTGGCGGCACCATGGAGTTCCCTCTCTCCTGCGACCTGTCGCCAGCCTACGGAAAAGCTGCCCACTTGACCAAACTTCCAGACATGCCTGGAATCCAGCGCTTCTCAAAGTGCTGTCCTCCTGGCTGCTGTCTAGTGCCCATTTTCTGCATCGGTCTCTGAATTTTCTGCACAGAAACTGGGAGGAAACCTGGGGCCAAGCGTGACCTCCCCCACTCAGGACTCTCCAGTGCCTTCATCTCACCAAGAGAGAGGCCCAGCATCTGTGCAGTGCAGTCCCAGGACCCTCCTCCCTGCCTGCTCCCTTCCAGCCGGGCTGGGCTTCTCGCACCCCTCTAAAAACAGCAAGCCCTCCAAAGCCTCAGGCTCAATGCCTAAAGTCTTTTCTGTTCAGGATTCTCTCCTCCCACCCACCCCGCGTGACTCGCTTGATTCTCTCCTCTCACCCACCCCACGTGACTCCCTCAATTATCTCCTCTCACCCACTCCACATGACTCACTCCACCGTTTCCTTCTGGACTTTTCTCAACTGTCACCTCCTCAGAGAGGCCTCCCATGATTGCAGCAATTAGGCCAGCTGCCCGGCTGTGCCTGATCCCCATCTGCTTTGTGTTTTTTATAGCATGAAGCTTCATTCTGGCCTTTATTTGTCCCTCCCTTGCTGGTTCCGACCTCCCCCTCACCCCCAGATGCTGTGAGAGTCCAGGCCCTGCCTCTCACTCCCTTCTCTGGGGAGCCTGTCAGAGGCGCTGCCTGCGTGACTGTTGAATGAGTGAACTGAGCCCCCACAGAGTGCTGGCATGGAGCCACACAGGGCACATCTCATCATTGTGCCAGCAAACTGGAGCCGGCCACTGCCCTCCATGTCTCCAGGGAGACCTCAGGCCCTGAGCCCCTGCCCCACCTGAGAACCCTGGGAGGAAAGAGGCGAGAAACCCTGCAATCACGGCTGCCGAGGGCCCCAGTGACACCTCTGCCTTCCTCTCACTTTGTCTTTGCCAGCAGCTCCCCGGATCCCATGCCCACGACATAAATACCGCTCCGAATGCAAACACAACGCCAGGCTGTAATTGCTCCGTGAAATCTGCATTCTCTCCCTGACATGCGTTTTACCACTCAACTAATCATTAACTGATAGTTTGCTGCATGGAGATAATATTTCTAATATGTAATGCAATTTCCAGAGTATAGAAAGTGCTTACGATACAAAGCTGTTATTAGAGGTCATGGACCTGTACGGAATTGATGAAGACGCAGCCTCCAGAAGCCCCGAAAAGAGCGGACGTGCCAACGGTCCCATTGCGCGTGGTGTTTGTCTATGCAGAAAGCGTATTTGTAAATCAAGGAGAAAGGAAAATCAATGAATTTGCATCTTTTCTCCCTCAAAAGCGCATTAGATGTACTTTATTTAATGTGACGTTCGTTTGTTGCCCATCACTTAGGGTGATGCACACAGGTCAGGACCTACCAATAATTTTAATCTCCTAAAAGCACATTTCTATGCTAATTTTTAATTACAATTACTGCAAATGTCAGCTGTTAGCTTTGGTGACTGACTTAATGATCTGCCTGTGTTATGCCTCCGACGTGAGATTCTAAGGCAGAGATCACCGGGGGCAAACAGTGATTTGGACGTTAAGTGAAATAACTTGAAACACACGGGCCTTGGAGCTCACACACCTGATGCAGATGCTTCTGTCTCGAGACCTGGGTGGCTCAGCTCAGGCCTGAGTTGAGCACCTGCTTGGCACCAAGGAGGCTCTGTCCTCCACAGGTCTCCCCTGCCTTGGACTGCTGTGCACCCGTCTGTCTTCAAGGAGCTGAGAGCCCGCCCTTCTCTGCAGAGAGCGCCTCGTCTTGGCCTGGGCCTAGAACAGCTTTGTGCGGAGTTGGGCCAAACCCCCAAAGACCCTCAAGTCACCCTGGGCTGAAGCCGTGACCAGCTCATGGCCTTTCCAGCCCAGCACTGGGAAAGCCAGAGGACGTCAGCAAGCCGCAACCTTCCCAAAAATCCAGAAACGAAGTCCATGCGTAGCCCCTCAAAGGCTGCTGGAAGCCGCAGACCCTGAGAACTTCGAGGCTTTCCAGATGCTGCATGTGGTTGGCTGTCTTTACAAGCCTCTAAGGCTTCTTGTTAAACACACAGAGTTACCACAAGCTTGTCCAACCCACCTGGCCCATCGGCTGCATGACGCCCAGGATGGCTTTGAATGCAGCCCAACACAAATTTGTAAAACTTTCTTTAAACAGTGTGTTTTCTTATGATTTTTTTTTTTTTTTTTTGCTATTGCTAGTGTTAGTGTATATTTTATGTGTGGCTCAAAACAATTCTTCTTCTTCCAGTGTGGCCCAGGGAAGCCCAAAGATTGGACAGCCCTGCATTACAGCCTCTGAGCTAGGAGAGAAGAGGGCGCATCCTAAGAACGGTGACTTTTCCTGAAGCAGCCTGACCTGTTCAGAGCAGGGAGAGCTCTGCCTCAGGAGGAAAGGAGGATGTGGCTTTGAGCCCATGGGGGGAACCCCTGTGAGAGTCACTTTTTAGAAAACTCACAGTTGAAGAGAATTGTTTCAGAGCAAGTGTCACTAGCTTGGACTAGAAGGGAGACAGTTCAGAGTCAGGAGCAGCCAATAAGCCTCTGAATTCTTGAGGGCAGGTGACAGCTGAGGAGGCAATGCCCCCAGACACACAGGCCACTTCTGAGAAAGGGAGACATCTCCATGGGTGGAGCCCAGAGCCCAGAGGGCAGAGCCTCAAGCTGAGGACAGCCAGGGAGGACAGCAGGGATGGGCAGGCTTTCTCTGAAGGCCCAGACAACAAATTGCCCAGGCCTTACCAGTCCTGGGGTCTCTGGAGGTATAGACACTGCCACTGGGGCACAGAAACAACCCTAGACAGCACATAAATGAATCGGCATTGTCGTGTTCCAATAAAACTTTATTTACAAAGCAAGCAGTGGGCCAGATTTGGATTAAGGATTAAGGAACGGTCCCAAGAGGAGAGCACTGGGCGTGGGTCAAGAGCTATTTCCTGGCCTTGAGTCTGGGGGCGGTGTGTGTGCCCAGCTGGATGTCAGCACTGCTCTGCCCACCCACTTCCGGGTCCTCCTGTCCTGGCTGAAACACCCGTCACAGGGCCGTCCTCCTGTCCTCACCGCATGGCTGGTGTTGCCATCCCCAGGTCAGGAGAAGCCACAGCTGGACCTGAAGCTGTTCCTGCAATGGAAGGAGTATTTGGGGTCTTGGGTGAAGGGGAAACATCTCACCAGCCACTTCGACAGGTGAGAAGGGCCCTGGCTCCCTGTGGCCCCATGTGGACCGACACTTGGTCTTTGAAGATGGTGGCCACCCATGTCCCAGCCTTCCCGTTCCTCAAGGGTGGGTCTTCATGGATGGTGAGTCCCATGGGTGGGTCCCATAAATGAGTTCCCTGGGTGGGTCCTGTGGGTGAGTCCCATGGGTGGGCCTGTGGGTGAGGCCGGTGGGTGAATCCCGTGGGTGGGTCCTCTGGTGAGTCACGTGGGTGAATCCCGTGAGTAGGTCCTCTGGTGGGTCCCATGGGTGGGCCTGTGGGTGAGGCCGGTGGGTGAATCCCGTGGGTGGGTCCTCTGGTGAGTCCCGTGGGTGGGTCCCATGGGTGAGTCTTGTTGGTGGGTCCACTGGGTGGGTCCCTTGTGTGGATCCCATGGGTGGGTCCTGTAGGTGAGGCTCGGGAGTTCAGCTCAACAGAAAAACAGCCCAGTCAGGATGTAGGGTGGTGAGGAGGGACCACTGTTGTCTTAAGCCACAAAGTCTGAGGGTGATTTTTCACCCAGCCAAAGAAAATAGTGCAGGAGGGCGGCCACCTGCCCATGACTGTGTCTGTGCCCGTACCAGGGGCTTTGCGCCTGCTCAGACCCCTGCACAGGGAAGTTTAAGCAGGGAAGACGCTGAGCTTCTGGATTTCGCTCCAGGGCGGCGAGGAAGGGAGAGGAGGAAGGTATATCTCAACCCCCACCACCCCAGGAGGATGGGGGGGGCAATGTGCAGGTCAGGAGGGAAGCCCCAGTGCCTCCGTGGGGCCAGCAGCAGAGGCCCCGAGGGAGCTAGGAGGGCCCGGCCTCCCTGCCACACACTGCACCAGCCCCAGGCCAGGCCAGAGGGACCCCCCCGCCCACATCCCACCATATCTGCAGTTCCCTTTCATAATGAAAGCTGACAGAATGCAAATGAGTTTCTAAAGGAACCAGCAAAAGTGGCAATTTTTCTCATTTAATGTTCAGATGAGCTGTCTGTCTCCCGAGTGCACAGTCTCATTAGAATTCAGAGACTAATTTCGTCCATCAACATGAGATGATTGGTTTGAGAAAGGTTTGGGGTGTCCTAGAGCGAGGCTGAGGTCCAGTGGCAGAGCTGCCGGCTGGGGCTGGCCAGGGGAGAGAGGCGACCCCCCGCCCCCCAGGGGCTCTTTGGGCAGCCCCTCCCCCACAGTAGGGAAAAGCCAGGGCTGGGACCTCAGAGCGCGCAGACCCGACAGCCCAGACCCTTGAATGCAGAGGGCTCCACCCCGGGACTGGACTCCTCCCACCAAGGACTGAGCTCTCAGCCCTACATGTCTCTAACAAGTTCTTACGGCTCAATACCCACCATGGTCTAAGCACCATCAAAGCCAGCCTTTTGGAGCGGCTGAAGATAGCCAAGCCCTGCATCCCCTTCTCGCAGAAGCTGCGTCTTCCAGGGAGCCACAGAGACCCTAGGGACCAAGGGCGGGGGGTACTGGGCTTGCCGGTCCCACCTGGCCCACCGCTCACTGGGATGTGGCTTCCATCCTCTCACCGAATCCTCACAGACCTTCAGAAGGGGGTGTCGACTCCATTTACAGAGGAGGAAGTAGAGACTCGGAAGGAAGTGACCATCAAGGGCACACAGCCAGCCCTGCATGTGTGGAGCCAGGATGGGAAGGCAGACCCCTGTGGCCCACGGACCTCCATGTCCATTGTCACTGTTGCCAACACCTTGTAGCCAGAACTCCAGGGATCAACGCCCAGTGCCGAGGAGCTTCCAGGAGGGCATCGTCAGGGAGAACCAGGATGACCTGAGCATGGAGATGGGTCTTGGCAGGCAAGCAGGTCTGAGTGGGCACGTCTGGGGGTGCAGAGGCTCAAGGCTGGTGTTGGGATGGGCAGTGGCTCTGCAGACGAGCGGGCGCCCCCCTGCACTTTCTGTGCTCCTCCCACATCTCAGTTATCCCCGGGGTCCTCAACCCACAGGCGGCTCAGCCATGTCACGGAGCCAGGCTGCAGGTGTGGTGCCGAGAGAGTGGCTGAAACCCCCCACCGTGGTGCAGGCAGCCCACAGCGCAGCCACATCTGGCAGTGAAACTCCAGGACTGTCCTTTCCCACCCACTCACCCACAGGAGTCCACCCTCCCTCTGTAAGCGGATGGTGGCTTTCACCTGCACCACGACACACATGCACATGCAGGGCCCGTAGGCAAAGCGTGACAATGAACAGGTGTCTCCCACTTGCAACTATGCAGACGCTTATCAACACGGAGCTAGTGAAAAATTACTGAGATTGAAGGAAAGCAAACATCACCGCAAAGTCTCAAAAAGGTGTGAGTTGGCGCAATTAGAATTAAAGCTTAGAAAGCAGGTGGACTCCATGATAAATTGCTATTTGCTGAACACTTGCGGCGTGCCTGACACGGTCCACTATTGGGGGAATTATCAAATACTCACAATCCTGCTATGGAAAATGCGCCAGGTTCAGCCCAAGGTTGTGGAGGGGGCCGTGGACTCACAGAGTTTACTTTCCCTGCCCCGTGCTCCACGGCTAACGAGCGGCAGTGCAGAGACGGATGCAGGCGGAATGACTGAGCACCCGCACGCTCAGCCACTGGCTTAAGCTGCTTCCTCAGTAACATAAAGAGACAGAATTCCTGATATGTTGCAGAAAGGCAGCAAGTGACAGAAAAAGACAAGAACTTCCATTTTCATGAATATGACAAAATGCAATAACCTGAAGATTCTCTGCTGCAGGCCCCTGGAAACACGGGCAGAGTGCAGCAATCACAGCAGCAGTGACAGTAACAACAGTACTGCTCAGGCAAGATCAAGTGGCCGTGCTGTTTATCCATCTCCCAAATTCCCCGTGGATGCAGACAAACAACAGAGACAAATTAGCTGGGCTTGGTGGCAGGCACCTGCAGTCCCAGCTACTTAGGAGGCTGAGGCAGGAGAATCACTTGAACCCAGGAGGTGGAGGTTGCAGTGAGCCGAGATGGTGCTCCTGCACTCCAGCCTGGGTGACAGAGTGAGACTCCATCTCAAAAAAAAAAAACAAAAAAAAATACTGGGATAAAACCAGAACAGGTGCTGACGGAGTCCCCAAAGTCCCCGAACAGCATCGTTAGGAACTCTCCTTTCCCCGGCAACCCTGCTCATCTGGGAACACAGATTGCAGTGGGACCATGTGGGCACGCCTCGGGGTGGAGGGATGTGAGCGCTCGCCTCTGCTAAGAGCCCCCGACATAGGAACCCAATAAGAGGCTCCCCCAAGCAGAGCCGCACATTCCGAGCAGGTGTCTCCTCAAGAAGAACCATGACACCCAGAGAGGGCTGCGCGGCCCCGTTCTGAGGCGGCCACAAAAGACTGTGGGGGACCATGGGAGGATGAGGGAATGCTGGGGCAGCCGAGGCCTTCAAGGATGCAGCAAATCCCCAACAGAGTCACCCTTCAGAAGGACAGGCCCCACCCTGAGAAACCTTCTGGTGTAGATTCCAAATTGTGAAGGGTGGGATACGGTTGGAAAAGAGGGTGTGGCTCAGGTCCTGGGCCAGGCGCTGGCCAACGGCCCTCAGTGTCATAGAGGCGGCTGTACCAAGAGGCTGTGGCTTCAACACTTTTGATGTAACAGAGGAAGAATCCTTGGTTGTGAGGGTAAGAAAAACACCTTGGCCCATGCCTCTCCACCTGCACACGGACACCCTCTAACATACAGGAGCATCAATCTTATTCAAAAGTAAGCAAGAGAAAAGGGCTGTGAAAAATTCCACACAAAGACACCTTTGTGAGAATAAAAAGTAAACGGGAACTGAATTATGAGCTAGTTAAGATCATGCAGCCTCCAAGCAGATGCAACCCAGCTCAATGCAATAGATGAACTGAGCAAAATTAGGGAAATGACAGATGCATGAAAGAACACAAGAAATTAAAATAGAAAATCTCAGAAATACGCTGGCTAAACAAGGAGGGGAAGTCAAAAGACGGAAAGAGTGCAGAAAAATTTTTTGAAAGAAAAAGGCACATTTTAGAAACAAGAATTGAAACAGTACAAACGTAAGAGTGAACAGACACCAAGAGATCACAGTCAAATCAGTGAGAGGTAGAAAGGAGAAATGGGCATCGGGGGGATGGAATCTCAAAGTAAAGATGATAGAAAAAACTCACAGTTATGGGATAGAAGCAAAGAAGGTCTGGATACAGGTGAACAGAAATGGCCAAAAGTGGAGAGGAAGACAATGGAAGAGACGCCAGGCTCGCCACGTCCTGAAAGCCATCATTGCTGAACTCGAGGAAGATGTGTCCAAGGAGTGCATTCTTGTACCCAGGACCCTAAAGCACCCAGAATGGTCAACGCTGAACAATATTCTAATAAAACACTGGGCTTTAAAGATAGAGAAGGCTTCTGCTGGGCAATGTGAGGAAATCAGCAGGTGACGCTAGAATCTCTCAGCCAATCGGGAATTTCTGAGCTAAAAGGAAGCATGTTTGCATCTGCTCTATCGCATGGACAACAGCCATAAACCGGAACTGTTTTGGGCAAACAGGGACACACAGCCACTGTGCGTGTAAGAGAAAAGTAATGAGATTGTCGTTCGATTTCTCAACAGCAAAACTTTGTACCAGAAAACAATGGGGAAACATTTAAGAAGCAAAAAGCAAGTCAAGGTTGGTTTGTTTTTTGTTTTTTTGTTTTTGTTTTTGTTTTTTTTTGAGATGGAATCTTGCTCAGTCACCCAGGCTGGAGTGCAGTGGTGCAATCTCGGCTCACTGCAACCTCTGCCTCCCGGATTCAAGCGATTCTCATGCCTCAGCCTCCCAAGTAGCTGGATTACAGGTGCACGCCACCAAACCCGGCTAATATTTGTATTTTTAGTAGAGATGGGGTTTCACCATGTTGGCCAGGCTGGTCTTGAACTCCTGACCTCAAGTGATCTGCCTGACTCGGCCTCCCAAAGTGCTGAGATTACAGACGTGATCCACCGTGCCCGGCCAAGTCAAGGGTTTTGTATCCTACCTAACTGACCTTCAGGTATAGACCACAGACAGTTATGAACAAATAAGAACTCAAGCCCTGCAACCCCTATGGGTCCTTCCTGGGAACCAGCTCCAGAAGGGCCTGCAGACAAAGCCAGAGATTACGGCAGAAGCCTCAGCATAAGGCCCGGGCTGAGCACACACAACAGTGTGGGGTTGTCGTACGCTGAGAAAACACAATTACAACTAATTTGCAGGAAAACCAGGATATGTGGAAGGTGGGAGAACTCTCCGATTGCCTCCTAGATCTTGACTGAGAGCAGCAAGACATGACTTTGTGTAAATGCTGAAGAAAAGGGTGGGAAGGGAGAAGAGGTTGCTGGCTCATTTCACAACTGCTCATTATGGAAACGAATGCAGAGCAGCCACGCATGAGAAGAGCAGAGATTTAAAAAAAATGCAAGGATAACTGTATCAGAACAAACATGCAAATATTCCCAAACACCAGATACAGCCAAAAAAGCCAAGAATTTTAAAAAATCATAAGCCACACATGAGCGTGCCGAGGCCAGACATACAGGCTGTATCGGCGCACGTACAAAGGCTTAACTCCCCCAGTCAGAGCTATGTGAGCAAAAAAGACCTGCCTCTGTGATACATGCATGAGATCTGTGTGAGACGAAGAGATTCACAAAGATAAAAATAACAACATGAGCAAAGAAATGCTAAGAAAGCACGATTAGAAAGGAAGCAGGGTCCGTGTGATTGATCTCTGGCAAGAAGGGTTCAGACCAAAGCAATCAACAGGGTGGAGATGGAATTCATGGCAAAAGTAGAATTGACCCTTGAACCACATGGGGTTAGGGGCTGCTACCCCCCTGTGCAGTTAAAGATCTGCATATCAATTTTGACTCCCCAAAAACTTCACTACTACTAGTAGCCTGCTGTTGACTGGAAGCCTTATTGATAACATAAAAAATCAACTAACACATATTTTTATGTTGTCTGTATTATATGCCATATTCTTAAAACAAGGTAAGCTAGAGAAAAGAAAAGGTTATTAAGAAAATCGTAAGGCGGAGAAAATGTGTTTACTATTCATAAAGTGGAAGTGGATCATCGTAAAGGTTTCCATCTTCGTGGCCTTCCTGTTGAGTGGGCTGAGGAGGAGGAAGAGGAGGAGGAGGAGGGGCTGGTCTTGCTCTCTCAGGGGTGGCGGTGGCAGAAGAAAATTCACGTAAAAATGACCCATGCAGTTCAAACCCATGTTGTTTAAGTGCCAACTGTATCAATTTTTTTTTTTTATTTTGGTGCATTCAATAACAAACAAAAGTTTGATAAAGAGAAACTATGAAATATAACAAATTCTGATGAATACAAAATACAAAATTTTGACAGACACTGCTAAAAACAGTAAAATACACCTAATGGTAGAAAAATAGATCAAATGGACAAAGCATCAGGTTACAGTTAGGCCTGAACGACACGTAGGTGCCACCTACAGATTCTGATTTTTAAACTGTGAACTACTTTTTTAAGTGCATAGGATGTATCTATAAACACTGACCATATTATTAGGCCAAAATAAAAACAATTAGTATTCTGAACATGGTATCATCGTGAATCAAAGAGGAAGTTTAAAACAAAATGATAGAATACAGGTACACCTCAGAGATATTGTGGGTTCAGCTCCAGGCCACTGCGATAAAGTCAATATCACAATAAGGTGAGTTCCACACATATTTTAGTTTCCTACTACATATATAACTTAGGTTTACACTATATTGTAGTCTATTAAGTATGAAATAGCATTATGTCTAAAAATATAATACGCATCCCTTATTTTAAAATACTTTAGTGCTAAAAAATAGTAACAATCCTCCAAGCCTTCAGCAAGCCATAATCTTTTTGTTGGTGGAGGGCCTTGCCTGGATGTTGGTGGCTGATGACTGATTAGAGTGGTGGTTGCTGAAGGTGGGGGTGGCTGTGGCAATTTTGTAAAATAACACAACAGTGAAGTCTGCCACATCAATGGACTCTTCCTTCCACAAAAGATGTTTCTGTAGCATGCAACTCTGTTTGATAACATTTTACTCCCAGAACTTCTTTCAAAATTGGACTCAATCCACCCAAACCCTGCTGCTGCTTTATCGACTAACTGTAAATAATAAATATTCCAAATCCTTTGCTGTGTTTCCAACAATGTTCGCATCGTCTTCACCAGAAGTTTCCATTTCAATAAACTACTTTCTTTGATCATCCCTAAGAAGCAGCCCTTCATTCGTTCAAGCTTTATCATGAGATTGCAGCAATTCAATCATAGAGATGCCACCTCTAATTCTAGTTCTCTTGCTGTTTCCACCCATCTGCAGTGACTCCCTCCACTGAAACCTTCAGCTCCTCAAAGCCATTCCTGAGGGCTGGAACCAACTTCTCCTAAACTTCTATCAATGTTGATATTTTGACCTCCTCTCATGAATCACAAATGCTCTTAATGAAATCTAGAATGGTGAATCCTCTCCACACGGTTTGCAATTGACTTTGCCCAGGTCCATCAGAGGAATCACAATCTATGGCAGCCATAGCCTTATCAAATGTATTTCTTAAAGAATAAGACATTAACATTGAAATTACTCCTTGATCCATGGGCTGTGGAATGGATGTTGTGTTAGCAGCATGAACACAGCATTCATTCCCTTGAACATCTCCATCACAGCTCTTGGGTGACGAGATACCTTATCAATGAGCAATCACAGCTCTTGGGTGATGAGATACCTTATCAATGAGCAGTAATATAGTGAAAGGAATCTTTTTTCTGAGCAGTAGGTCTCGACAGTGGGCTTAAATATTCAGTAAACCATGCCATAAACAGGTGGGCTTTCATCCACGCTTTGTTGTTCCACTTACAGAGTCACGGGCAGAGTAGATTTTGCATAATCCTTAAGGGCCCTAGGATTTTCTGAATGATCAATGAGTATTGGCTTACACTTAAAGTCACCAGCTGCACTAGCCCCTCACAAGAGAGCCTGTCCTTGAAGTCAGGAATTGACTTCTCCTCTCTAGCTATGAAAGTCCTAGATGGCATCTTCTTCCAGTAGAAGGCTGTTTTATCTTCATTGAAAATCTGTTTAGAGTAGCCACCTTCATCAATGATCTTAGCTAGATCTTCTGGAGAACTTGCTGCAGCTTCTCCATCAGCACTTGCTGCTTCACCTTGTACTTTTATGGAGACGAATTCTTTCCTCAAACTTCATGAACAAACCTCTGCTAGCTTCCACTTTTCTTCTGCAGCTTTCTCTCTTCTCTCAACCCTTCACAGAATTGAAGAGAGTTAGGGTCTTCCTCTGGATTAGGCTTTGGCTTAAGGGAATGTTGTGGCTGGTTTGATCTTCTATCCAGACCACTCAAACTTTCTCCATATCAGCAAGAAGCCTGTTTCCTTTCTCACCATTCATGTGTTCGCTGGAGTAGCACTTTTAATTACCTTCAAGAACTGTTCCTTTTCACTCACACCGCAGCTGACCATTTGCCACAAGTGGCCTCGCTTTCTTCCCATCTTGGCATTGGACCTGCCTTCCCGACCAAGCCCCACCACTTCTAGCTTCTGATGTAAATCAAGAGACTTGTGACTCTTCTCTTCACTTGAACAGTTAGAGGCCATCGTAGAGTTATTAACTGGCCTAATTTCAATGCTGTTGCGTCTCAGGGAATAGGAAGGCCAGAGGAGAGGGAGAGAGATGGGGAATAGATGGTCAGTGAAGCAATCAGAACACACACATTTGTCTATTAAGTTTGCCATCTTATATGGGTGCAGTCTGTGGTGTCCCCAAAACAATTACAATGGTAACATCAAAGATCACAGATCACCAAAACAAATATAATAATAATGAAAGAAATTGGAATATTGTGAAAATTATCCAAATGTGGCACAGAGACACAAAGTGAGCACTCGCTGTTGGAAAAATAGCGCCAATAGACTTCCTCAACGCAAGGTTGCCACAAACCTTCAATTTGCAGAAAATGCAATTTCTGCAAAGTGTAATAAAACAAGGTGTGCCTGACTTTGGCAAATTACAATAATTAAAAAAAATGAATCCCAGATCTATGAGAAATGCATCTATAGCTGAGCTTTGGAAAATTCATAATAAGTATTTTCGTAAAAATGAACAAGATAAATACTGAATTTAAAAATGGGAGAAATATCCATATAGTGCCTGGAAAGAAATAGAAGGAAGTAATTCATAATGAGAAAAGAAAAAAAAAGACAAGAATGACATAATGCAGAAAATCTCTGCGTTATGACTACATTAATCAAGCTGGTGCCTTTGGAAAAGGCAAACCCCTGACCCACTTGTTTTGGTCACGTTTAAACAGGATGCTTTTCCCATTACTTTTACTCTACAGGTTCCCTCCACTCCATTCTTTTCCTTACAGCTAAACGGTTGAAAAACTTGGGCCATGCAGTTCATTCAACTGGTCCCTCTGTCCCTTGTCCTGGGAATTGGCAACTGGATCCCAATAACCAACTTCATTTTTTAAAAAGCAAAAAGCACAAATGTACAAAGTAGGAAATGACAAGGAGTAAATAGCTGTCAAAATGAAAGAATTTTTAATTTAAAAATTGTGTACATTTCTTTGCAAATAAATTGAAGACCTAATTGAAATTGACAACTTCCAAGAAAAAAAAGTTTACTGAAAAATGGCTCAAGTCCCCGTAAGGAATCTAAAAAGGCCAATTTTCTACAAGAAGCGAAACTATAGTTATTTTCCATGAAACAAGCCAAAAAAAGCCAAAGTGATTTCACAAGGGAATTTTAGCAAATATCAAAAATCTTACTGCTATTTGGAATATTTAGAAGCATAGATAAAGGGGGACAATTTCCAAATCCTATTTGTGAAGCAAGAAAGGCATTCATCTGAATCTTTTTCAAGCACAATAAAAATACAGATTAATATCACGAACATTAATGCAAAATGTCAAATATGATATTTAGAAATTTTCAAATAATAGAGTAGATAATTTGTAAACAAAATCCTAATCACATTAAAAATTAAATATAACATGACAACTGGGGTTCATTCCAGGAATGCAGGGATAATTCAATATTAAGAAAAACATTAATATAATACATTCATCATATTAATTGGTCTAGATGAAAAAGTCATCCAGTCATATTTATAAAAAGTAAAAGGTCATTTAACAAAATTCAACACTCATTCCGTATACAAAATAATATTTAGTAAAATAATAATTGATGGATTTTTTAACCTGATAAATGTCATATACTTTAATTCAAAAGCCAGCATTTACTTAATGGAGAAATGGCACAGGCGTTTCCACTAAATGCACAAACAAGACTATGATGACCACTCTTCCCACTAGTGCTTGACATTGTAGTGGAAGTAACAGCTAATGCAGCTAGACAAGAGAATTCGATTCAAGGATTAATAACCAAAAAGAGAGATAAGCTATCTCAGTTTGCAGGTGGTATGATTGCATGTTTAGTAAGCACAAAAGAATAAGTGGAAACTATGACAAAAAAATCATAGAATATAAAAAAGTAGCAGGTCAGCATGCCCACCTTTAAGGATCTATTCCAAAGACGCACCTGTCAACACATGAAATGGCATGTGCACGCACTGATTCATCATGTCAGCACTTTTCACAGTAAAACTCAGTATGGGGCACTGACTCTCCAGCAGCAGGGAGCGGAGGAAGAGATGAGAACGCACACAACGGCGTAGGGCAGGTGCACTGGTGTGTGCAGCAGGCTCCTCCCAGCACCTGAGAGCAAGATATTCATTTCCAGGAGCAGGTGAAGACGTGCCACACATCTCATTATTACACTTTCATGGTTCCCATTAAGGCAAATGGAAACATCAACCGCCATCCCTCTCAGAACTACGCTCATTTGCCAGGGACAGAGATGGCTTCTTTGCTCTATTGGGTAACAACAAACATTGATTCATAGACTGATTTTGTCAACTTAGGGTTAAATTGCAACCATATATGGGCTACAGGTTCTAGAGTTTGGCCAAAATCAACAGAAACATTCTATGAGAATTGTTCACGTGGAATTAACAATAAAGACTATTGCACATTTCATTATTGTTTGTAAACTATGCTTACCATCCTTTATATCATTAGATAGCTAGAAAGCGAGATAGGTAGCTACGCAGGTAGGTAGGTAGATAGATAGATAGATAGATAGATAGATAGATAGATAGATACATACATACATACATACATACATACATAGATACATAGAGACACAGATAGATACATAGATAGATACATAGATACATAGATAGTTATATACACACATAGATAGATACATAGATACATAGATTAGATACATAGATAAATAGACGATAGAGAGAGAGAGAGAGATGATAGATAGATAAAAATCTAATCACATTTTTCCAGAGCGCCAGTTCTAAACATTTACTAGCACTCACCACTGTCCACTATGGTAAAACAAAGTGTGGAAATGAGGAAATTATTAATATTTTACTACAGAGTGATTATATATATATACACATACATATATATATACACACATATATATACACGTACATATATATATATTTAAGACAGAGTCTCACTCTCTCACCCATGCTAGACAAGAGAATGGGTGAGAGAGTGCTGGAGTGCAGTGGCATGA
Organism: Homo sapiens; assembly: GCF_000001405.40. NCBI lineage: Eukaryota > Metazoa > Chordata > Mammalia > Primates > Hominidae > Homo > Homo sapiens. Next base: position 48,811,079 of record NC_000022.11, on the reverse strand, counting down.
TCTTGGCTCACTGCAACCTCAACCTCCCAGGCTTAAACTACCCTCCTGCCTCAGCCTCTAGAGTAGCTGGGACCCCAGGTGCACACCATCATGCCCAGCTAAATTTTATATTTTTCTGTAGAGAAGGGGTCTTGCCATGTTGCCCAGGCTAGTTTCAAACTCCTGGGTTTAAGTGGTCTGCCCACCTCAGCGTTCTAAAGTGCTGGGATTACGGGCATGAGCCACCACCCCGGCCTACAATATATTAAATATATTTTTAAGTTAGTAAAGCAAGGCTCAGAACAGTATTTATGAAATGTTAATTATTGTGCAACTAAAAAGATAATACAAATCTACGTACACATTTGCTTATATTTTCGAAAAGAAGCAATGCAATAATAAAGTAAAAGCTAATTGTAAAGGAGTTACCTAAGAGAAAGGGAGGTGTCAGGGTAGAAGAGAACAGAATGGAAGGGGGAACTCTGATTGTGCCTCATTCTTTGTTTTGACTACAGAACCAGATAAATATTCTATATAATAACAGACAATATTAAAGCAAAAGAGGAAAATGTCTCCAATCATTTGGAAGCAAGCTGGAAAAAAAATGATGCTGTATGACAAGTAGGTGGCATACCCATATAAATTAGATCAGTTTCACATAAATTCAAAACACAAGGTTTTGACCACACATTCCTAATGGAAACGGCAAAGGATGCCAGGTGGAGCCACCACCAACAGCCTTTAGAGTCAGTGTGCTGAGCAGTGCAATGGGTACTGGGATTTTGAACTATTATATATGTGTTGTAGCAAAAAGCAAATATATTCAACCTAAGCAGTGAAAAGAGGCAGATATAACCATGCATTTAAGTTGGAAGTCTCAGCATGATGGTTTTACCTTCTGAAAGTCCAGCATCGACAGGCATCCTGATGCCCAGACACTTCTCTCTAAACACCATTTCCTTCTGAAAGAAACAGGACTCCATAGAGGAATGGCTAACTCTAGGGGAAAATGGACAGTGGAAGGTCAGAAAGCAAGGCAGCTATTAAAGCTTAATGAGATGGCATCAAAAGACGCAGGAGTCAGGCCAGGCATGATGGCTCGTGCCTGTAATCCCAGCACTTTGGAAGGCTGAGGTGGGCAGATCACCTGAGGTCGGGAGTTCAAGACCATCCAGACCAACATGGTGAAACTCCATCTCTACTAAAAATACAAAATTAGCCGGGCATGGTTGTGTGTGCCTGTAATCCTAGCTATTCAGGAGGCTGGGGCAGGAGAATCACTTGAACCCAGGAGGTGGAGGTTGCAGTGAGCCAAGATCACACCACTGCACTCCAGCCTGGGAGACAGAGTGAGACTCTGTTTCAAAGAAAAAAAAAAAAAAGACACAGGAGTCAACTTAAAGGGTTTCCACCAACCTGACATGACATAATTTGGACATCAACAGAATAGTGACTGCCATAGATTGACATACATCAAATATGTAAAACCCATGAGTTCATGACATTACTTAAAAATAACAAAGCCCATGGTCATTTTGGAGGTTGCCAGGGTATCAACTCATTGCTTCTAAAAATTGATAAATGAAAGAATCCAAATAATTTTGCTGCCTTTTCTGCAAACTCTCGATTTCAGAGTGACCAAATGGTTGAAGAGCAAAGTGTCTTATTATTATTAAATGTGGGATGAGACATTGTGTATCTGAGGATGCAATGAACTCAAACATCAGTATACTTCTAGATCTACCTACAGGGAACAGAAGAACATGCAAAACATCACCGCAAGAAAGACATCAGCCAATGCTGGAATGTGAGGCATTGGACACGATAAATCACCACGTTGCTCAAACAAATCAACCACCAGTAAAAAGCAGTTAATAATATAAAAGAACTTCAGAGGCGAGAAAACTGTCAGCTTTTGCTGTGTAACAGACAACCAAAAATTGCAATCATTTATAGCAACAAAAATGTTTTTGTTATTCAAGCGTCTGAAAGTTAACTAGGGTGGGTGTGCTTCAGGTTGCAGGTCTGATCAGCAGGTCAGCTGGCATGACCCCGTCCTGCCTGACTTGTTCTGTGGCACCGGCAGGAGCAGAAATAGCCACCCAGGTATGTTCTCCTGATGCTGAGGGCAGAACCTCGGGAAGCCCAGCCCAGCCACACAAACACCTCCACATCTGCTCACATCATGTTTCCTATCATCTCATTGTCCCAAGTGAGCCACAGGCCCAAGCCCTGTGGCAAGAGGCAGAAAAGCTCACTCTGCCCAGAGGGGGACCAGGGTATGGGGTGGCTGGGTGATTGCACAGTCGGGGAAAGAATAAGAATGATGATCCAACCTTCATCATTCAGAGGAAAAAAGACAAAGACAAGAGCAATGACAGATGAAAGCAGTCCCAGATGGCTCCAGAGAAGCCCTGGCCAGAGACCTAGCTGAGGAGAACACACTGGGGTTCTGGCCAAGGAGGCTGCAAGGCTGGTGTATGGGCCCTGCCTCCGCTGTCCTCTTGGGCTTCCCAGCTGGGGCTTTCCCACCCCCCTGGGCCTGGAAGAGGATGGAAGCCCTGCCATCCCATGTCTCCCTGGCCCACGTGTTGGGGAGAGGCCACTGGGAGAGCATATGTGCACCCTCACCCCATTTGAGGCAGAGGTTCAGCAACCTCTTCTTTCCCATCCCCAGCCCACCCTCCCTCTCCCCACTCCCGGAGTGCACGAACAAAGAATTCCCAGAGGAGAGAGGGAAAAGGTGGGGTTCATGGATCAAGCTGTCTGTCCAGACCAGAGACTCCTGCTGTTCTGTGAACCTCCAGGAGGCCCGAGCCCAGCTGGTGCCTCCTGGCAGGTCTGGGCCAATGCCCAGCCATCTCCGTGGCTTCTGCAGCTTCATTGAGCAATGGCCAAGGTGTCCTCACTGGAGTCTTTGACAAACCACCTCCAGAGCCAGAGGCACAAAATTGAAGGCCTGCTTCCTCCATTGGGGCTCTAGATTCTAGAGTGTTCTGCTACAGCCAGCCCCCTGCTTTTCCTCTGCTCTAAGGAGGATGAACCCCCATTGGACCTACCATGCTGCTGAGACCCTAGCTGGAGTCACGGAAGCCACGTCTGTGTGGCCGGGTCTAAAACCTCCTCTGTTCTGCTCTTGTGGCACTGCCTGGATCCTCCCGATAGCCTGGCCCTCGTCCCCAAGAGTACAGCACCAGCTTCTAGAACATTCCTCCCTGCACAGAGCAGGCAGAGCAGTTCTGCAGCACAGCTGGTGCCTGGTCAACAGCCGGGGACTGAATTTGTGAGATGAGTCTGGGTCAGCTTCCTAATTTTGCTAAGAGCAGAAGCCACAGCCATTGGCAGCCCTTCCCAGTGGCAGGCTCATGCACACACCTTGTGTCTGTGCCCCCCATAGATCTTCAGCACACCCTGTGGTCCCTCACCTAACTCACCCCTGTGTGCAGGGGCCAGCTTCACCCCAGCCTTCCCGGGTCCCTGCATTTGGCCCAAACATCTAAACCCACCTCCGAGTCTATCCCTGAAAGAGGGCCCTGGAAAGGTGTACCAGGGCTTGTATTCCAGCAAGAACATGGCCCCTTGACCCATCCCTCTACTCCAGGTGGAACCCAGAGGCCCGTCTACGCTAGGCTGAGTGTGGGCTGAAGGACAGGGAGCCAGGCAGACCCCCGGGCCACACCGGGCTACGTGAAAGCGGCCTGTGAGGATAAGCCAGCACGGCGCGGGGGGGTGTGTGTCTGGCTTCAAGGCCTGTGTGCTCTGTTCTTGGCGGCCACTGAGGCACTCTCCAGACAATGCGGTGCGTCAGAGCCCTTTATTTTCCCACTTGTGATTCCACAAGCGCCGTTGTTTCCTGGCTCAAGGCTGCAGCCGGGAGCCCTGATGGATGTTAATGGGCATCTCGAGGAGTGGATAATCTTTTAATGTTTTCCAAGAGGCCTCCACGGGAACCGCTCTTTATTAATACACCTGAGGAGTCAAATCCCTGCTTATCCTCCGTTTAGAAGGATGTCTGATTACGTGGTTTTGCGGTGGGCTCTGGAGGGAGGCCCTGCAGGCCTAAATCTGGCTCTTTGGAGGCGAGGACAGGACAGGCTTGACTCTCGGGGTACGGAGCCTGCAGCCCGAGGTGGCTCTCAGGGTCCTGGTGGGCCTCAGTGTGTCCCAGCTGGAGTGGAGGAAAGAATTGTGGGTCCGGGGCAGAAAAGTTCCTCTGCAGAAAAGCAAGAAATCCAGACACCAAGAGCCCAGGTCTGACAGAGGATAACTGACCAGGACCACTGTGCCCCATGGCAGGGTCCCACCAGCCGAGGCTGCGAGGGGCCCCTCCCAAGAAGTCCGGACTCTCTCCCGACTGTGTGAACAGGGAAATGAGTTTCAGTCAGTTCAGCGAGCAGGCATTCAAACTGGGGCCTGCCTCTTTTCTACCCGGTATCCTGCTTGTCACCACCACCTGCCCCAGTCAGGCAGGGCCCGGAGCCCGGGAGCAGGGGTCAGAACTGGACCTGTCCTTGCCTGCAGTGTCTCCCGCCAGCAGCGAGGTTGGTTGGAGCACGATAGTCACTGGCGAGGGGCCAGAGCAGACATCTGAGCGCTACACTGCACAACACAGGGAGCTGTGAGACCTCCACAAGATGAGGCCAGCCTGTCCCTCTGCCCCTGGCTGTCCTGGCAGGAATCCCTGGGGTCCGGCAGTGGCTCAGACCAGGACTGGGCGTCTCACCAACCCCCACTAGTCCATGGTGAGGCTCACACCCACCCCAGCCCCAGGGGCCCCTTCATTGTTTACTTCCAGCAGGATGGTGCGCCCTGGAGTCAGGGAGGTGGCTTGGAGTTCCCGGTAGGACCAAGTGAGGAAGGAGCGACTGAGCACAGGCCAGGGAGGCTTTGAGACGGGCAGTGGGGCTGAGAGTGGGTGCCCCAAAGGAGGGTGCCAGAGCTGAGGGGTGAGGACCAAGAGCTTTCTGTGGGCCCTGAACTCCCCAGACCAGCACCCTCCATCAGTCCTGCCTCTGGGAAGGGGCTCTCGGGGTCCTGTCTCCCAGATGACCTCCTGGGCTCTCTCCCACCCCTCCTCTTTCAGGTCACTGGGGGGTTCATGCATCCACTTTTTTGTGAATACATAGTAGGCGTATCTAAGTATGGGGTACAGGAGACGTTTTGATACAGGGATGCAACATGAACTAAGCACATCGTGGAGAATGGGGGGCTTTGAGTTAAAAGCAACCCAACTACACTCTTCAGGTTATTTCAGAATATACCATGTGTCCCTTTGTTCACCGGGCAGCTGCGAGTTTGCCCATTGAGGGGAGCCCAGAACACCAGGATGACTGATGTGGTGACTGCTCCGGGGGGCCCCGGGCTGGTTGGTGAGGGAGACCAGCCTCGCAGACACCAAACAAGAGTGTGACTCCAGGGACAGCAGCGCGGGCTGAGGCTTGAAACCACTGCATTTTTTTTTCCTAACTTAACATAAAATGGCAGATCTAAACATTTTTGTCGGAATGTTTTAAACGGCTGATGTGCTGTATTTGTACATATTTATGGGGTGCTTGTGTCCTCTTGCTGCATGTCTGGACTGTGTCATGATGGAGTCAGGGTATCGAGGGTCTGCGGCACCCGAGTATTTACTGTTTCCACGAGTGTGTAGGTTTCAGGTCCTCTCTCTGTTTCGGAAGACATGCTGCTGTTTTTGTTTTTGTTTTTTTTTGTTTTTTTGAGACAGAGTCTCTCTCTGTCGCCAGGCTGGAGTTTGCTCTGTTGCTCACTCTTGTCACCCAACTCTGCTCACGAACGTTTCCAGCCCAGAAATGCTGGCTGCTATGTGACCTTAGGCCCCTCCCCTTGTCTCTGAGCCCCCGTTTTCTCCTTGCTAACCTGCCTCGGGCATGGCTGTCCTGAGCGTCCAGGCGCTGCCGGCCATCACTGCCCTCATGGGGGCTGGGTGCCCACAGGCCTGGGACACAGGCTGCCCCTCCCTGAGAGGCCAGCACCGTGGTCCAGGAGGCCCGGAGACCCCTTCTTGCCACATCCACTGGCTGGAGAGCTGCATGTACTTGGCCTTCGCCCAGGAGAAGACGCCAGCCCGCCCGCCCTGCCCAGGAAGCAGGCCAGCGCGGTGGGCCGCGGCCATCCATCTCCTTAATGAGCCCATTTGTCACGGGGGCCGGCATTGTTCACCTGCCCGACTGAATGGGCCTGTTCCGGCCCGGATGAGAGCCAGCCAGGCCCTGATTGTCTGGGGGTCACTTTGCAGGCTGGTCAAGGCGGATGGGACGAGGCTGTGCAGGCCCCCCCACTCACTGCAGACGACAGCCTTCCTGAAGGTGCCCGGAGTGTTTTGAGGATCTAGTTGTCTAGGAACAATGTGGTCTGACTGGCAGTCATGCTTTCTTGTCACCAGGAAGGGGACATCTGCCATGTCCCAGAGTCGGGCCTGTGCTTGGCTGCCCCAGCCTGTGGTCCTCCAGGACAATCGTCAGCCTAGGCCAAAGGGGGGACTATCGCCCTGGTGGCCAGACAGGTGGGTGTGAGGCAGCAGAGGCCGGCCCTGTCCTGGGAAGGGGACAGGCCCCGAGGATGCGGCCACAGTCCCTCTGCATGGCTTCATGGCTGAGCAGCTTTGGAAAAGTCACCCAACCTCCTTGGGTCCTCCGGATGCTCCCAAAGGGCACAGGAGGCCCCTGGCCTGTGCCGTGCCAAGGTCATCATGCCGAGCTCTTGTGTTGCTGAGGCGCCGGCTGACAGGGGGCTGTGTTGTCCTCATGGCGCTGTGAGTCACTCCGGGCCAGAGGCCTGCTGGACACTGTGGTGAGGCCGGGGAATACAGGAGTCTCCATTTCCTGAGCCCCAGCATCCTCAGACATAGTCCCCAGGGCCCTGGGAGGAGAAAGGGGCCACCTGTGTGGCAGTTCTACTTGGGACAGGTGCGCTTGAAGAGAGCAAGAGGTTTGGGCGGTGCTGGAGTGGCGTGGTGGCGGCAGAGGTGACATCACCCAGGAGAACTGGGCCAGCAGGGCGGGCGGCGAGAAGGAAGGGCCTGTGCTGTGGTCCACAGCCCTGCACCCGTACCTTGGGGAAGGCCTCCTGCTATCTGTGGCGTCCCATCCCTGGGGACAGCCCAGCCTTCCCTGGGGAGGCTCTAGCAAGGCAGAAAAGAGGCATCGAGAGGAAAAGAAACACAGGAGCACAGACAGCCCCGCAAGGAGGACTCAGGATCTCCAGCTGGTCCCCATGTGCCTTGCGTTGAAGGATCAGGACGTGCCCTCCCACACAGTCAGGCTTGGCCAGGGTGTCCCAGGCTGGCCCCAGAGCTGTGGAGCTTAGCATTCGAGCCTCAGCTCAGACCCGGCCTGTGCCTGGACATTTCCCGGCCAGCGGCCAGTGTGCTGGTCAGGACCCGCTCTCCCAGGACTGCCTCAAGTGTGCAGAATCACCTCCCTCCACCATCTTCCCAGCTGCCCTCCTCAAACAGCCTCCCACCTGAGGAGGCCCCTGGCCCTGAGCAGTGAGGATCTCCTGGGGCTGCACACCTGAGACCCTGCAGGATTTGTTTAAAGGAGACCCTCTGATCCCAAGGGTCCACCTGTCCCTTCTCGGGCAGCACCTCAGCAGTTTCAAGGTGCTTTCTGCATCCCTGATCCACAGAAGGAAAGAAAGCCCTGAAGCACGGCCCGGGCCCCACAGCTCAGGCCCTGCTTAGAGAACTCCACCAGCCTTTGGATGCCTGGAGGGAGCCGGGGACTCAGCTGCCTACTTCTTGACCACGCACAGCCAGGATAAAGGGAACGAGGAAGCTGTGTCCCCGCCACCCACACACATCCACAACTGTGATAAAGGGGGTCTCTGCAGCCACTATCCCCGTGAGGCTGAAAGCAGCGATGGGTGGAAGTCCTGCTGCAGCCCAGACTGTCAGGGGCTGGCGGATCCCCAAGCCACCCCTCCCTTATCCACGATCCCATGGCTTCCTTCAATGGGACTTCTCCTTAAAGTGCCATTACATTCACTTCCTCTCAACATGAATGTTTCAGGGAGCAAATACAGAATGATTGATGAAGGCCAGTGAGCTGAGGGGGTGACTGCAGGCTCAGGGAGGGAGGGCGTCTCCCCAGGCAGTGGCACTCAGCACCAGCTTCCTGTCTCCAGCCAGGAGAACAGAGACCCCGTCTAGGAGCAGAGCATGAGGGGACCATGACCGCTGAGCTCGAGTGGCCGTCGGGAGCCTGCAGCCTCGCTCTCCCACAGGCACCTGCAGTCCTGAAGCCCCACAGAGGGTCCCGGCGTGGGGCAGGGTGGCATGGCTGCCGTGGGCAAGTCAGGCAGACCTGAGTCCAGGCTCTGGCATGGGACGGGGTGGGGCAGCCACAGACGAGCAAGTCAGGCAGACCCATCACTGGGCTCCTCCATCCTCCTCCCCTGCAAGGCCGGCTGCGGTGAGAATGAGAGGAGCTCAGGTAATCATCGTGATTATGGAGGCTGCCTCGAAACGTGACGCGTGTGGGCACAGAGGGAGCACGCAGTGACTGCCCGATGGGGGAGGGAGGGACAATCAAGGGCTCTGCTGATGAAACCCCAAATCCCCTAGTGCCATCCTTCAACCAGAGAGTAAACCAAGGCCCAGAGCAGCCCAGTGATGGCCAAGGCCGCAAGCCCAGGTGTCCACCCTAGAGATGGGCCCCTCTCCACACTGCCACAGCTTTCCGCAGTGGGGCCTGACATGGAGGGGTGAGCCCAGTTCTGTGCTCTGGGGGAGGCCTCTGCTTCAGCATGAACCATTATAGGGTTTGTGTGTGTGTGTGTGTGTGTGTGTGTAGTGTGGTATGTGTGGTGACTGTGTGGGGTGTGTGGGGTGTGACAAGTTGTATGTGGAGTGGTGTGTGGTGAGTGATGTGTGATGACTGGTTTGTGGTTTTTGTGTGGTGTGTGCTTGGTATGTGTGATGTATGCCGGTCTGTCTGTGTGGTTTGTGAGTGCGACATGTGGAATTGTGTTGTGTGTGTCTCTGTGTGTGTGTGTAATGCAGGGTTAGAGTTGGGGAGTATGAACCCTGAAAATCTAAGACAGGTCTCAGTTAATGTAGAAAGTTTATTTTGCCAAGGTTGAGGACGCATACCCTCGACACAGACTCAGGAGGTCCTGGTGCCCAGGGTGCTCAGAGCACAGTTTGGTTTTATGCATTTTAGGGAGATATGAGCCATCAATCACCATATGCAAGATGAACATTGGTTCAGCCTGGAAAGGTGGGACAACTCGAGGTGAAGGCGGGACAACTGGAAGCAGGGAGGGGGTCCTAGGCCACAGGTAAGTGAGAGACAATCGGTTGCATTATTTTGAGTTTCTGGTGAGCCTCTCCAAAGGAAGCAATCAGATAGGAGCAGGCGGTGACTTTACATAGAATGGGAGGCAGCTTTGCCCTGAGCAGTTCTCAGCTTGACTTTTCCCTTTAGCTTAGTGATTTGGGGGGGCCCAAGATGTATTTTCCTTTCACAGGGGTAGGGTGTAGCGTGGGGCTACGTGCGTGTGTGCCTGTGTGTATACATGTGTGTCTGTGTGGTTTATGTGATGTGTGGAAGCGTGGTGTGTATGTGTGTTTGTGACATGGGGTAGAGTTGGGGGTATGGTGTCACGTGGAGCTACATGCATTATGTGCATGTGTGCATGTATGTATGTGTGTGTGTCTGTGGCTTTCAAGTGTGATATGTGGAAGCGTGGTATGTATATGTGTTGGTGATATGGGCGTGGAGTTGGGGGCTGTGGTGTCGCATGGGGCTACATGCCTGTGTGCCTGTGTGCATGTGTGTATGTATGTGTGTCTGTGTGATGTGTGGAAGTGTGGTGTGTATGAGTGTGGGTGTGGAGTTGGGGCATGTGGTGTCACATGGGGTTACATAACTGTGTGTGTGTGTGCATATGTGTGTGCACATGGGCTTGTATGCATGTGTGTGGTGGGGATGATATGAGGCATGCACATGCGTGTCAGGGTCCACTGCTCCAGGAGACTGTGCCTCAGGTCCTGGCCCCCTCCTCAGTCCCTGGCCCAACTCTGCTGTGGAGGGACGTTCCGGCTCCATCCCATGACCCGGCTGAAGGACACCCAGACCCACACCACCCTCCCCGCTCCTTCCCTGCACTGTTCCCGCTTCCTTTGCTTCTTGCTCTATTTGCATGTCCTGGTCTGGAACCCTCAGCCCCAACTGAGACCCTCCTCAAAATGGGCGCTAGGATGGGACGGCCCCAGCCCACTCCCCTGAGTGGGGCCAGTGCCACGTGGAGCCTCCTTCACCTCCATGCCTGGGCTCAGGGGTTCTCTGCCAGAGGGGCTCCTCTCACCCTTCTGAGGCTGGGCACCCCACCCTCCCTGTTCAGCCAAGACGCCGTCCTCCAGCCACCTGTGTCTGCTGGCACTGACCACCATGAGGCATCTCTGTCATGCCAGTTCTAGGCAGGTGCCGTGGCCACACGGCTCACCTCGCTCCACCTGGGTTGGAACTCTGAGGGGTCTGCAAAGTGAAGGTGCAGGGGAGATGGGAACACCCCGTTGCTCAGCACCAGACACCAGGAGCGTCCTGAGCCTGCCTGCCTCAGGTGGGTTCCCCAGGAGACAGATTTGCATTCGAGGAGTTTGTGGGGCTTGCCTTTGGGGTCTTGCCTGTGGGGAAGCACAGGAGGGAGGCCTGGGCTGAGGGGGGCACTCAGCTGTGATTCAGGAGCCAGGGAAGCTGTGAGTCCCACAGGGAGTGCTGGAACTGCATCCCCGGCAGAGCTGGCCCACCCTGAGGCACGAAGGTATGGCCGTTACCCAGATCAACCAGCCACTGGATGCGTGGGCTGCCCTGGGAGAGGGCACACCCCTGGATGTGGCAACCATCTCTTCCCAGGAGGGCAATTCCCAAAGAGCAGCTCGGCTGGGAGCCGTCACCACCGCCGCTCCCGGCTGCTGCAGGAAAGAAGGGTCTCCCTCCCCACGGGAGTCCCTGGGCGTGCACCCTCCACCCACAGGGCTTCTCAGGGTCTCCTGTTGCAATTGACGGGTCTGGGGCAGCTCCCCATGTGGCATCAAAACTGGAAGGGAGGAAGGAGTCAGACAGACTCGGGTGGGTGACCTGGGACCCTGCTACAAATGGAATGTTTGTGACCCCTCAAAACTCTTCCCTTGTCACCTAATCCCCAGTAGGATGGTATTTGGAGATGGGGCCTTTGAGAGGTGATGAGGCCAAGAGATTAGTGCCCTAACACATGAGACCCCAGAGAGCTGCAGTCCCCCCTAACATATGAGGACACAGGGAGGCGGCACCGTCTCTGAGGAATGAGCCCTGGCCAGCACCTTGACCTGAACTTCCCAGCCTGCAGAACTTCCAGAAGCAACTTTCTGTTGTTTACAAGCCCCCAGTTTGTGTTATCTTGTTATAGCAGCCCGGAGAGGCTAAGACCGCGCCCAGCCTGTTCTTCCCGGAGGCCAGGGTCTCCAGCACCCACCTCCTCCAGGAGCAGGGTCAGCCACCCCTGCCATGAGCCAAACTCTTATCCTTGCCTGCTGGGCCCTGGGAGCAGGGCGCCTAAAGACACGGGTGAAAGTCGATTGGGATATGTGCGGAACTGTTTATTCTTAGAAACAGGACCTCCAACCTGCCAAGCATGTATTTGTGGGAACAGAAAGCAAAATCACCCAAGCAGACCACTGAGCAGGATCACAAGTGGGAATCCTAGCCACGCCTGGGGCCCCGGACCCGTGTATTCTACGCATGAGAGGAACGGTGGTGACTCATGGTCATCCACTTAGGATGTGCACACAGTTCCTACTGCACGGTTTTGTTAAACAACGTCGGTCTCCAACAGCATGGGTGGGATTGCAGGTACCAGGGCTATCAACCCTGATAATGGCACAGAGCACAGACTGTGCCGCCCAATCTCCCTCAACAAATCACAACACAGGTGTCTTGTGGGCACCATCATGGGGACCAATCACAGCGCTGCTTTCAACGCCGGCCTGTGATCCATGCCCAGGCACCTCTAGGTCGGTTCTCACACTGGCAGCCAAGCCTGTTGCACTGTCACCTCCCTGACCCCAGCGATCAGCGCCTGTGACATTTGACAAACACAGATGCTCCACGGAGGAGCTGCCCCACAGAGACGGGAGTGCAGCCAAGAGACAAAGTCACCGGGCATGAAATTACGCGGAGTAGCAGGAGAAACAGCTGAGCATGGGGTCCCAGGTTCATTCTGGCCACATCAGCCCTGTTTCCAGGAGTCCTGACCCCCGTCAACCCTGCACATGGACTTGTGCCTCCATGTGGACAAGCTCTGTCTCCAACTCCACGTCCCACTCATGGACCTGCCCCCTCGGGATGCAGCCCCACACAGGGTCCCTGGCCCCCGAGGCCTGCATCCTGGCCCCGAAGCTCCTTCAGGGAGAGCTCCCTCCCTCCCTTTAAGATCCACGATCGTCCTACAGGCTGACTTCCTGGGGTCTGGTGTCCAAGAGGGGAAGGCCTTGACCCTTGGACGGGGGTGCACCGTTGCCTTATTGAGGCCCTCCTTGGAGAATACATGGTCCTCCCTTGCATGACGTCAGACCTGCCCCTCATGGGATGAACCCCAACGTTAGGCAGCTCCCGGGGCATCAGACCCGCTCCTCATGGGATGAACCCCAACGTTAGGCAGCTCTGGGGCGCGCTGGCTTTGGGGCCTCCCCTTCAGCCCCGGGGCCCCACAGAAGCAGAGCGTCCCTCTCATGCCTGCTGGGACTAGGTAACTCCTGCTGGGGTCTCACTCTGATTCCAAATTGGTGGGTTGAGTTACGTCCCCTCCCAAAAATCACATGAAACTCCTAGCCCCTAGAACCTCAGAACAGGGGCCACATTCGGAACCACCACAGTGACACAGAAGCAACACTGGAACAAAAATAAAGGCCAATTAATTGTTCTGGAAGTGTGGAAACTTTGGAATCAAGTTATAGATTCAAGAGTCTCTGCAGATTCCAAGCAGAACAAATGTGAAAAAGCACCTATGAGGTAAGAATGTGGTCTTTATTCGGAAGTAGAGTACTTGCAGATGTAACTGGTTAAGATCCCAGAGGAGGGTGGCGCTAATTCAATGTGAGTGGTGTCCTCACACAAAGGGGACATTTGAGCACATACAGATGTACCCATACGGGAAAGGCCGCGTGAAGATGGAGACAGAGATGGGGGTGATGCTTCTACAGGCAAGGGGCCTCAGAGATCACCAGCAAACCCCAGAAGCTGGAGAGAGGCCTGGCACAGATGTCCCCTCACCGCTGCAGGAGGACCCCGCCCTGCCAACACCTCGATCTCAGAACCTGGAACTATGAGGTAATCAATTCCTGTTGTTGAAACTGTCCAGCCTGTGGTATTTTTTTATAGACACTGCTGGACCAAACTTTTCTCCAGATAACAGAGAAGTGCCCAAGTGTGTCTCATCCTGGGAGGAGCACATGGCTGTGTGAGAGTGCCGTCCTTGAAGGAACCAACCCACTGGAAGTGTAAAGCATCTGCTCCCTATGAAGCTCTCTGAACTCCTACTGCAAGGCCTCAGCACACCATGCAGGTGAGTCCGGAACACACAACCGCCCGTGCCTGCCAGGCAGCTGTGCTCCTCTTGGCTCACTGTTAAGAGTGTCCTAGAGCCAGCAGCCCCTCAGTGCCAGGGCTCGGGAACTGGGGCCAACATGAAAGAAAGAGCAACCATTAGGCCAGGTGCAGTGGCTCATGCCTGTAATCCCAGCACTTTGGGAGGCCGAGATGGATGGATCACCTGAGGTCAGGAGTTCAAGACCAGCATGGCCAACATGGCACAACCCAGTCTCTACTAAAAATACAAAAATTAGCCGGGCGTGGTGGCATGCGCCTGTAGTCCCAGCTACTCGGGAGGCTGAAGCAGGAGAATCGCTTGAACCTGGGAGGAGGAGTTTGCTGTCAGCCGAGATCGTGCCACTGCACTCTAGCCTGGGTGACAGAGTGAGACTCCAAGGAAGGGAGGGAGGGAGCAACCATTAAAATAAACAGGTAAATAAATAAAATAGATAATAAAAATAGATAAAATAAATAAGATACCTTGATGTAACGTGCAATTCCCAAGGCATGCAAACTCCATCAGCCGATTGACCTGAGCACCCCTGTCTCCTCCAAAGCTCTCATCCCATAGACGCTCAGTCCACTCCCGTCCCTGCTCCAACTCCAAGGCCCTGATCCCCTGCGCCTGGAATGCAGACCAGGTGTTTGTATTTATTTGTAAGAGCCCAGGTGATTCTGAGGCCGCTGGGCTGGGAGGCACCATTCAGAGACCCAGGTGGTTCCTGACAGTAACAACCAAGAAACGAGAAGGCCCCCGTGGAATGGGAGAGCTTCACCCTGTCTGCCGCAGGCTTGTCCCCTGTTGAGGCTTTGTTCTCAGGTGCGGTTGCATCATTCTGAGGAATGCATTTCTCTATCCAAGTATGTTTCCATGAGAGTAAGTTTCTGGGGGAGTCTTTGCAACAAATGAACAAGGCAATAGCCCTGCTCACAGCCCTCATTGCAGTGAGTGAATTCACATGGCCTTAGTTTCAGGGTCCAGATCTCATGGGAGGCTCCACTCCAGCTCCCTCCCCAGCAGGATGAATCAGCTTGAGTCACTCCCACGCAACACCCACCCTGTGTCTCTGGCATGGCCCTCTCCAGGCATGAAGAGAAGGCAGATGGACGTTCACACTCCATTGTCCAGGTGCACCGGGACGGAGGGGCTCTGGATTCCACGCAATTAGGGGGATGTGGCATATTTCTGGCATAGGCTTTTCCAACCCCCACTCAACTAAGGACAGCTCAGAGCTCTCTCCCGAGCTCCTGAGAAAAGTTTTTAATTACTTGCTTGGCGTCTCCACCTGTTGTGTCATGGTCGCTCACATCCCACAGGTGGGAGGAAAAAAAATCAGCTTCTGCTCACAAAGCAGGCCTCCTGTGTTCGGCGTTTCAACTCCTGGCCTGGTCGTGGTATCATGGCCTCAAATTCATCCACCCACAGACCCGTTCCTAAAGAAATATTTGCAGAGTTCCTGCTATTTGCAGGCACTGTTCTAGGAGCTGGGGATACCATGAACAAGAGACACACAATTCAGAAACCTGAGCTCACACATCTGTCTATGTTGAGGCAGCTTATGTCAGACTCACCGTCCTGCCAAGAACAACTGTGATAGCTTGATGAAATTTCAAAAAGAAAAAAAAACAAAACACAGCTTGAAGACATCAGAGAGCAGCCCAGGCAGCCAGGATCTGAGAAGTTAAGAGCCTGCCCAGAACCTCCCCAGAGCCAATCCAGAACCTTCCCAGAAATGGGCACAGCTTGGGAGGCAGCCCCTCCCCGACACTGGCCACTGCTTTTTCTCCTTGGGGCAGCTTCTGTCCCACCCACAAGGGCAGGAAGATGAGAGAGTGCAGCCCAAGGCCTTGCCAGAGTCTCCCTGGGCTGGGACGAGAAAGTTGGAACTCAGGGCTCTCAGGATGCCAGGGTTGGGGTTTTAAAAATGCCAGGAATACTGCTGCAGTGTTCATGCAGATGCATGTTGCTTTTTGGTAGAAGGAGGAAGGGGCAGGGGTTGAAAAGCGAACTGTTGCATACTGTGCTCAGTAAGTGTGTGACAGGATCATTCATCCCTAACCTCAGCATCACACAGTATACCCAGATAATAAACCTGCACATGTAGCCCCTGAATCTAAAATAAAAGTTGAAAATAAATAAACATAAATAAAATAAAAATCCCAGCGAAGTAAGAACTGGAGGAAGTAGGCCTGGCATTCCACACACAGCATCCCCTCAAGGGTCCTGATCTCGAACTTAGATGCACCTGGATTCAAGGCTAAGAAAGCAAACGGAGTCAACAGTGAAGGAGGCTGGAAAGTTGAGTGGCGGTGTCAGCTGCCCTGCAAGGCTAAGGAAAAGAAGACTAGAGTTCCTGCACCTTACAGAGGGGGGCCCCCGCAAACAAACCAGGCCGCTAGCAGAGCTCTGGTGAGGCTGAGCCCCAAGACTGGGCATAGGGAAGAAATGGGTCAGTCCTGCAGTTGCCTCCAAGGTATCTGCTCCTATCTGACTCCCGTGCTGGGTGGGCGTGGATTCCATCCTTTCCCAGGAAGAGGGTCCTCAAGGAAGCCTCTGAAGTCTCTCATGCAACATGTTCAACTGTCAATAAAATAATTACCAGGCATTCTCGGAGACAGGACCAAATGAGCAGAAACTACGAGCAAAACAAAAACTGACTTAGGAGTGATTCAGAGTTTGGAGTCTTTCAATATCTTAGTTAAAATAACTACTAATAATACAGACCAGAAAATAGCTGAAAAATGAAAACTTTCTGAGAGAACTGGAAATGAACCAAAATTGTCAAACGGAAACTGCAAAATTTTAAAGTGAAATAATTAAAATTAAATATTCACTCTATGGGCTTAGCAGCAGATGACGTAGAGCAGAAGAGAGAACATTGAAATGGGAGAGAAGGCAGTAGAGCCTGTCTAGATGAACACACGGCAGGTAAAAGGATAGAAAGGCAGGAAAGAATGGGGGAGATACGTGGGGTGACGGTGAATGTGTAATTGCACCCATACAAGGGCAGAGAATAACGGGCACAGAAGCAGTCTTGGAAAAAAAGAAAGGCCAGTTCATTTTTTTAGAAGTGTGGAAACTTTGGAATCAAGTTATAGATTCAAACATGTCTGCAGATTCCAAGCAAAGCAAATGTGAAAAGCTCCCCCAAGGACTGAGAAGACAAAGCAAAAAATTCTAAGAGCAGCTAGAAATGTAAAAAGTGCATGCGCACACGCACACGCACGCACACACACACGCACACACGCACATACACGCCCAGACATGCACGCACACACACGCACGCACACGCACACACGCACACGCACGCGCACACGCAGGCACGCACCCACGCACGCGCACACGCACACAAGGACACACGCGCACACACGCACATACACGCGCACACTCACGCCCACGCACACACGCACACGGACACACACGCACGCACACGCGCACACACACGCACACACACTATAAGGAATCAACAGGGAAACACAGCTTACTTTAAAAGGAAACAAAAAACGATAAAAAGATGGAAGACAGTAGAACGGTGTCTTTAGAATGCTGAGAGAAAATTGCCAACTTGGAACTCCATAGTAAAATATCTGTAATAAAAGCGAAAAAAAATTTTTGATAAAAACTGAGAAGATGGATTCACTGCAAGCAGAGGCATCCTGTAAGAAGCCATCCAGGTATTGCTAGACGCACGGTGATATGGGAGGAACACTGCACAGGGAAGTGAGAATATATGAGTCTATCTAAATAAACGTCATTTTTTTTCAAAATAATAGTAATAATGTGTAGCTGGGTTAAATTTTTGGTAAATTTAACAAGACTATCAGAAAGGGTGAAGGAAGAGAGTAAATATCGAAGAAGTGTTTTAAAATCCTTGCACTAACTTGGAAATGGTAAAAGAAATAAATGTAGACACGAAATGTAGCAAAGGTAATTTTTAATCTCTGGGGTAACTAAAAGAATACTTAAAGATGTAAAATTGAGACTGATAGGAGAGAAATAGGAAATACAATTATTAATTAATCAAAAAGAAGCCAAAAATGGGAAAAAAAGAAAAAAAATCAGAATGGACAAATAAAAAACTAGAGGAAAGACAATAAATTTGAAGAGAAATACATCAATATGTATCTTCAAAGAGACAAGGACACCCCCTCTCTGCATTCTGTTCAATGTTGCCCTGGAGCTCCCCAGCCAGGGCAGCTGTACCCCCTGTGTGTGAGTATAAATGTGTATTTTACATATGCGATTAGAAAGGATAAGTAACATTTTATTTTTTCACTATAAACATTATTATATATGTGGAATATGAAAAAGAATCTGTAGATAAACTAGAGGAACTATTAAGTAAATCTATGTTCAATGTGAATAATTCTATTACTACCTACCAGCAAAAAAATGAGAAATAATGAAAATGTTAAATGATTCTATTTACACGGGCACTGGGTGTGTACAGGATCACTGCAGGCTCAAAGCGAGTACGACAGCAGCATTTTAAGATTGGGAGGGGACACTGGGAGACACAGATGCAGACACACATGGAAGGCACTGTGTAAAGACACAGAACACATAGAGGGGAGATGACCAGAGGCAGAGGCGAAGCGATGCTCCCACCAGCCAAGGAATGCTGGGGGCCGCGAGAAGTTGGAAGAGGCAAGGAGTGTTCCCACCCTGGAGGCTTCAGAGGGTGCTTGGCCCTGCTGACAACTTGATTCAGGACATCTGCCTTCCAAAACAGAGAGAATCGATTTCTGTTGTTTTAATCCGTCGGGTGATTCATTACTGCAGCCCTAGGAAACGTCCTGTCCACCAAAGCTTTGTGCAGAGCACGCAGCCCGGCAATCGAACTCCTAGAAACAGATGCAAAAGAAATGCATGAAGTGATGACAAAAGAATTCATCCATCACGCCTGTAATCCCAGCACTTTGGGAGGCCAAGGTGGGCGGATCATGAGGTCAGGAGATCGAGACCATCCTGGCTAACACGGTGAAACCCCATTTCTACTAAAAATACAAAAAATTAGCCAGGCGAGGTGGCGGATGCCTGTAGTCCCAGCTACTCAGGAGGCTGAGGCAGGAGAATGGCGTGAACCCAGGAGGCGGAGCTTGCAGTGAGCTGAGATTGCGCCACTGCACTCCAGCCTGGGCGACAGAACGAGACTTCGTCTCAAAACAAACAAACAAACAAACAAACAAACAAACAAACAAAGAATTCATCCAGGATCATGCATAGCAGCACTGATTTCAACACAATCTCAACAGAATGAATGAAAACTTCAGTATGCCATGAAATGTTACCTTGTAAGGAACACGATTAGAGCTGTTCCTTACACACACAGATGAACTTCACATAGCGTTGAGCAGGAGACAGACATGAAAGAGAAGCTGCTTTATAATTGCACGTAAACAACATTTAGGAGGAGGCAGAACTAAACTAGGCGTTCGAGATCAGGACACTGCTGACCTACATGGGAGGTGCCATCTGGGAAGGAGGAAGACGAGCCATTGGGGGCTGGAAATGGTCACTCCCATTCAGCCGTTACATGGGTGTGTTTCCTCCCAGAAATTCATCCGGCCAGGACCTATTATCAAGGCCTAGGAATGGGTCATTCCATTGACTGCGTTATTCTTGGGTTAAATATTTTCACACAAAATAATCAGAGGCCCCAAAAGCTCCTCAAACCTACCTCACTCCACTCTCCACACGGTCCACCTCTTGTTTACGATACCTCTCAAAAATCTAACCTGCAGGTAAAATGAAAAACATCGCAAAGCTTCTAGAAAGAAACAGGAGGAAATCAAGATGGCTTTGTGCTTGGTGATGAGTTTTTAGATATGACACTGAAAACACAGACCTTGAAGGCAAAAAAGCCTTAGACTTTATTCAGATGAAACCTCTGCTCTGTGAACGATGCTGGGAGGATGCTGAAGACAAGCTGCACGCTGGGAGGAAACATTTGCAAAACACATCTCTGGTAAAGAGCTTGTACCAAAATATACAAAGAATTCTTGAAATTCAACAATAAGGGAACAACCCAGTTAAAAAGTGGGCCAAAGAACTGAAGACATGCCTCACGGAAGAATATATACAGAGGGCAAATAAGCACACAAAGGAATCCTCAGGATCAGTGGTCATTAAGATATTGCCAATTTAAACAGTAATGTGATCCCACTGCACACCTATTAGAATGGTTCACAGCTGAAACCCTGACAACACCCAATGCAGGCAAGAAGGCAGAGCCAGGCGACCTCTGGTCCATTGCTGGAGCACTAGCAAAATGGCACAGCCATTCAGGAAGAGAGCTTGACAGTTTCTTGGGAAGTTAAATATAGTCTCACCATATGATCCACCAATCACACTCCCACATATTTATCCAACTGATTTGAATACTTATGTCTACACAAAAACCTACATGCAAATATTTATAGCCATTTTATCCATAATCTCCAAAAACTGAAAGCAACCAAAATGTCATTCAAAAGGTAACTAGATAAACAAATGACGGTCCTTTCACACAACGGAACATAATTAGTGACAGAGATGAGCTACCAAGCCATGCAGAGAGAGGAAGGAATCACCAATGCTTGCACCTTGAGTGCATATTTTTCATGTGAAAAAAGTCAGTCCAAAAATGGCTACTCACACTCTGTGATAACAATATTTTCAAGCATGTGAGAAAAGGCAAAACTATAGAGATAGTAAAAAGACCAGCGGTCACCAGAGATTGGAAGGGGAGGGAGGAGGGCTGGACAATGAAACAGCAAGGACTCTTAGGGCAGTGAAACTATTCTGCATGATGCTGTCATGGGGGAGCATATGACACTGTGCATTTGTTATAACAGGTTTGGATCATAATTCCCAAAAGATGCAATCCCAAACTCCATAATCTTGAATGTTGAAATCCCAAAAGATCAAAATCTCTAAACGAAAGTTGGGAAAATTTAATAGGGAACACTCAAGTCACTGTTTATCAGGTCACAGAACAATTTCAAAAGAGGAGCAGCAATACCATATAGAAAATTAACGTAGGCCGGGCACAGTGGCTCATGCCTGTGATCTCAACACTGTGGGAGGCCGAGGCGGGTGGATCGCTTGAGCTCAGGAGTTCAAGACCAGCCTGGCCAAACATGGTGAAACCCCGTCTCTACTAAAAATACAAAAATTAGTCAGGTGTGGTGGTGGCGCCTGTAATCCCAGCTACTCGGGAGGCTGAGTCAGGAGAAGAATCGCTTGAACCCGAGAGGTGGAGGTTGCAGTGAGCCAAGATCAAGTCACTGCATTCCAACCTGGTGGACAGAATGAGACTCTGTCTCAGAATAAAAAAAAAAAAAAGAATGTGAACTTTCTTGGCAGAGAGAGTCATATCCTGAGAGGGAAAAAAAGCAGCTTTTCATTTATCATGCAAGACTCCAAAATATAGTTAATGGTCGTGAACAAGGGCCAGCTCTTATGGACACCTTCGTGCAATTGCCTGTAATCCATCCCTGTAATATACGTTTCATACGTCAAATTTTGTTTTTAGTTTTATTTTAACTTATTTAGTTTGTTTTTACTATTTTAAGTGGTCAGATTTTTTTTCTTACAATTTCCTGTGCTATGAATTTTATCATTTCCGCATCATTTCCAATACTGGAGGTGTAAATTGTGCTGAGACTTTACAGTTCTAATTATTTTATGCCTTTTTTTTTTTTGCAAATTTGACTCTACAAAAGCACATTATCATAATATTGACATTTTCTATAAGTATTGCCCACGTACGTACAAACTTTGAAACTTCCTCAGTAAATGGAGAGATGTCTTTTTTGTACATCCGCATGTATGAAAAATGAAATTTCTTGGGATCTCGGCTCTTTGGTCACCATCATGGTGACCCGTCACGGTTTTTGACAGAACTTCTCAAAATACTTAGGTTGTTCCTTGCAGTATCTCAGATGACTGCAGTTAGTGAGCTGGGTGCTAACAATTACCAGCCATTGTGGTATGTGTTTATACATTTCCCTTTTCCACCAGTTTCTTTTCTTTCCTTTTTTTTAAAGATGAGGTTTCACTCTGTCACTCAGGCTGGAGTGCAGTGGCGTGATCCTAGCTCAATGGATCCTCCTGCCTCAGCTTCCCGAGTGGCTGGATGGCAGGTGTGAGCCACCTGTCCTGTTTCCATCACAGACACAGCTCATCTTTTCTTTCTTTATTTTTGAAGGGGAGTCTTGCTCTGTCTCCCAGGCTGGAGTGCAGTGGTGCAATCTTGGCTCACTGCAAGCTCCACTTCCTGGGTTCACACCATTGTCCTGCCTCAGCCTCCCGAGTAGTTGGGACTACAGGCACCCGCCACCACGCCCGGCTAATTTTTTTGTATTTTTAGTAGAGACAGGTTTTGCCATGTTGGCCAAGCTGGTCTTGAACTCCTGACTTTGTGATCCACCCTCCTCGGCCTCCCAAAGTGCTGGAATGACAGGCATGAGCCACCATACCCGGCCAGCTCATCTTCTTATAACTGTTATGGCCATGTGTCTGTCCTTAGTTTACTGAGTGTTTATGCTTGCAAAAATACGTATGTGATTATTGCCTATTTTATTTTGTAAAGTGGCCTATAAAGGCCACTTTTTGATTCCACTTTTAAGTGGAATGGATTGTTTTAGATTCCACTTATAAGTGAGAAAATGTGGCTGGGAGTGGTGGCTCACGCCTGTAATCACAGCACTTTGGGAGGCCAAGGTGGACAGATCACAAGGACAGGAGATCAAGACCATCCTGGCTAACGTGGTGAAACCCCATCTCTACTAAAAATACAAAAAATTAGCCAGGCGTGGTGGCGGACACCTGTAGTCCCAGCTACTTGGGAGGCTGAGGCAGAAGAATGGCGTGAACCCAGGAGGCGGAGCTTGCAGTGAGCTGAGATTGCACCACTGCACTCCAGCCTGGGTGACAGAGCGAGACTCTGCCTCAAAAAAATAAAAAAATAAAAAATAAGTGAGAAAATGTGGTATTTGTCCTTCTGTGCCTGGCTTTTTTCATTTAGCCTAATGTCTTCCAGATCAATCCATGTTGTCACAAAATACAGAACACTTCTCTTTTAAGGCTTAATAGTATTCTATTTTATGTGTCTGTGTGTGTATATATATAAAATATATGTGTGTGTGTCTATATATGTGTGTCTATATATTATATGTGTGTATATATAATATGTGTGTATATATTATATATGTGTGTATGTGTGTATATATAAATATGTGTGTATATATAAAATATGTGTGTATATATATGTGTGTATATATTATATATGTGTTATATAAAATATGTGTATATGTGTATATATATGTATATATAATATATGTGTATATATAATATATGTATATATAATATATATGTGTATATATAATATATGTATATATAATATATATGTGTATATATATGTATATATGTGTATATATAATATATATATGTGTGTGTATATATGTGTGTATATATAATCTCTATGTGTATATATGTGTGTGTGTCTATATATTATATGTGTGTATATATGTGTGTATATATTATATATGTGTGTATATATGTGTGTATATATGTGTGTATGTGTGTATATATAAAATATGTGTGTATATATAATATATATGTGTGTATATATTATATATGTGTTATATATAATATATGTGTGTATATGTGTATATATATGTATATATAATATATATGTATATATAATATATGTATATATAATATATATGTGTATATATAATATATGTATATAATATATATGTGTATATATAATATATATGTGTGTATGTCTGTATATATGTGTGTATATATAAATAATCTTTATGTGTATATATATGTGTGTGTGTGTGTATATATATATATAAAACGTTTCTTAATCCATTCATTCATTGAGAAACTCTTAGGTTGACTCCATAACTTGTCTATTGTAAATAATGCTGCCAAAACAAAACATAACAACAACAAAAATAGACAAATGGGATTATATCAAACTATAAGGCTTCTGCACAGCCACAGAAACAATTAACAGTCAAAAGACAACCTGTGGATAGGGAGAAAATATTTGCAAGCTGTACATCTAAATACGGGGTTAATACCCAAAATGTATAAGGGACTCAAACAACTCAATAGCAAGAAAATAAATGAACCAATTTTAAAAACTGGCTTGGGATCCAATAGACATTTCTTAAAAGCCAACATACCAATGGCCAACACATATATGAAAACATGCTCAATATCACTAATCATTTAGGAAAAGTAACTTAAAATCACAATGAGATATCCACTCACACCTGTCAGAATGACACTATTATCAAAAGGATGAAGGACGCTGAGTGTTGGCGAGGCCATGCAGTAGAGGGGGCCCTGTACTAAACTGTAATAACTACACAGTTGGTGGGAATGTAAATTAGCACAGCTCTTATGGACGACTGTATGGAGCTTCCTCAAAAACCTAAAAATAGAACTACGGTATGATCCAGCAATCTTACTTTTAGTGTGTATCCGAAGGAGTTGAAATCAGCATGTCAAATAAATATATGCCTCTCTGAATCTCCGGCACATGCAGAACCCCAAGCCGGACCTGGGAACCTGGGCCCAGAGGATGCAGGCTCAGCCCTGCCCTCCAGGAGTTTCAGATAAAGGGAGATGGGGCACATTCAGGGACATCCCACCACAGGGTGGACCCCACAGAGGGCTGCCCAGAGGGGCCAGGGCTGGGGAGCCTGGGAGCGGGAAACCCACAGGGTCCCTGGTCTCACTCAGTGGTGCCCAGAACAACTGAAACCCCATGACTACCCAGGCCACCTGCCCTTGCATGTAAGCCTTGCTGAGTGACCAGCCAGAAAAGCCACAGGTGGAAAGGACCTTGCCAGCCCCAAGGCTGTGAGTCTGGAGGAAACTCAAATCCCTTGTCCGTAGTGAGGCAGGAGCAGGTGCTGCTTCAGGGACAGGGCTTAGGACCTGTGGTCAGTGAGCCCCTCCTCCCTCCTGGGACCTTGCTCTCAACCAGCCAGACCCCTGGGGCCTCAGCCTGGCTCACAAGTGGCGGCTCCTGCACCCCCATCCCCTGCCTGGCTCACTGTCCCCTCCTTGCCAGTGGGCTGCTGTTTTTGAGCCTTTGCCTGGGAGAGACTTCCTTCCAGAGGCCTCCCTCCCTCATCTGCTAGGCGGCCCTGCCCTCCCTGCAGACCAGCCCTCACTATAACTGTGTCCCCCCAGAGGGTGGCTCTGTGAGGATAGGACAGGCGCTGAGTGGACGTCACATGGTGACCCAGACACAGGGATCCCTCAGCAGACAGCAGAGAGGAAAGAAGGCTGGGCTGAGCCCCATCTCTCGGGAACATCTCAGGGAGGGCACACGCTGGGTGCTGATAAGCTCCAAAAAGGCTCACGGTGGCTCCAGCACCCAGCCTGGGACATGGGGTCGCAGATGGCAGGGCAGGTGTGGGGTAAGCGGGGAGCTGTTTGGGATTCCCTGGAACTGAGTTGAGGCTCCCTTGGGTCTGTGATGTTTGCAGCAGGAGAGTGACATCCCCGAGAAGGAGAGAGGTTGGCCCTCGGGTGTGTGGTGAAGGGGCCTGAAGAATGTAGCAAACGCTGTCAGCCCCACCCCATGACACCCCCATTTTGTTTACACTTTCAGGGGATCCTTGGCCTGTCTGTTTGTACTGCTACAATAAAATATCACAGACCGGGTAATTTTTATTTATTTATTTATTTTTATTTTATTCATTTTTTTGAGGCAGAGTCTTGCTCTGTTGCTGAGGCTGGAGTGCAGTGGCGCAACCTCCGCCTCCTGGGTTCAAGCGATTCTTCTGCCTCAGCCTCCCGAGCAGCTGAGATTACAGGTGCCCACCACCACGCCGGGCTAATTTTTGTATTTTTAGTAGAGACGGGGTTTCGCCATGTTGGCCAGGCTGGTCTCCAACTCCTGACTTCAGGTGATCCACCCGCCTCGGCCTCCCAAAGTGCTGGGATTCCAGGTGTGAGCCACCGCGCCCAGCCAATTTTTAATAAACAGAAATGTATTAGGTCACGAAAGCCCCACCTCACAGGACTGCCACATTGGGGGTCGGGTTTCCAACTCAGGCTTTTGCGGGGACTCCTTCAAACCACCGCAGCCCCCAAAGGCCCTTCATGCTCCTGCTGTCCATGCTCCAGGGTGAGAAGTTGGGGAGCAGAGTGAGAAGGGAAAGGAACCCAGGACTAAATCCCGGGGGCGGGGGGTCATGGGCACCGTCGCCATTAGCTCGGCCACACTCAGCCTTAACGGAACCCACAGCCCGCACGGCTGACACAACGGCCCTGAGTCTGCACAGCCCTGGAGGCTGGGAGTCCGAGAGTAAGGTGTCGGCAGGGCTGGTGCCTGGGGAGGCCTCTTCCTGGAGGGCATGTGGCCACCTTCTCACGGTGTCTTCACACAGCAGAGACGGAGCCCTCTGTGGCCTCTTCTCATGAGGCCACCAGTCCTGTGGGATCAGGCCCTCCCTCCTACAACCTCATTTAACCCTAATCACCTCCTCACAGGCCCCATCTCCAAATACGGTCACACTGGGGGCTAGGGCTTCAACCTATGAATTTGGGCCACATAATTCAGTCCATAGCAGGCTGCAGAGGGCAGGAGGGGGCTGCAGATGTCCGCTGAGGAGGGTCCTCCTGCAGACCACCCAGGGGGAAGTTTGGGGAGAGTTCAGGGGGTCAAGGGGACCATCAGCCCTGTATTGGGAGGGACCTGGGAGCTAAGCTGTATGGCCACCCCACGTCCCATATCTTCCCAGCACAAAATGTGCCCTGCCGAGTTGATTTGCTCAGCTCACTCTTTATTTTGAAACGACGTCAAGCATGAAGAAGAGTTGCACAAATAATGCCAATAACTCCGGTGCCGCCTTCATGGGGGTTATGGTGGTTCCAGTGCACTCCACATGTCCCCCCTCTCTCTGTCCCTCTCTCTCGTGTACACACACACTGTTTCCTGATCCAAGAGTGAACCACCCTTAAATTCTTCCCAGTGTGAAGATAAAAATTTCCAAAAATCAGGAAATCCTGTCTCTTAACCAAGGCACAGTTAGCACCTTGGGACGTCCCACATGGCCCCGGGCTCTCTTCTGACCTGTGGTCCATGGTGGAGCCACGCCACGCCCCAAAGGAGGCCAGGAAGACGATGCCATGGCCCGACTGGGACCCAGGCCCTGGGCTGCTGTCCCTTCCTGGCTGTTATCTGCTTGATTATTTGCGATTTCTAGATATTTTCACAACATCAAAAAATTGTATTAATCATTTACATTCCCCACCCCATCTTTTCCAAAAATCCAGGCCACAGACGGGCCACCCTCATGGTCACGGCCTGGAGGCCCCTTGCAGATGCAGAGTTCCAGGCCCCCGCAGGCTCAGGGAACGGGAGGTTCTGGGGTCAGGGCCCCCGGCTCGGTGTTTTATGAGACTTCCTGTTGATTCTCCAGCGCAGGGAATTTTGAGAACCACCGGCTTCGCCTGCACTTTGGTCTGAAGCTTGATGTTGGTTTAACCAGGGTGTTGTGAACTGTGCTCATGACCGATGTCCCTGGAAGTATCTTAATGGAGCTAGCAGGGCCTGACTTGTACCTGGAACCTTCAAGTTCCCTTATCTGGAGCAAGGTCCACAAGCCGGCCACGCCCCAGCCCCAGGACGGCCCAAGGGCTCAGCAAGACGGCCGCTGTCAGTTCCAGAGAGACTTGTCCTCTGGGTCCCCTCTGTTTCAAACCTTTCATCCTTGGACACTTGGCGAGTTTTATGAACAGACAGTGCATTTCATTGCCGGGATTATTATTTTTTTAATTTTGAAATTAAGAATCCAAGATTCCTCTACATATTTTATGAAAAGCTCTGTCTTCCATTTAATGAGCTCTGTGTGACTAATCAGAAAATAAAACGTATAAAGTAGAATGATTTAGCCTGTAAAATGAGAAATGAAGAAAAAGAGTAGCACATTAAACTTAGATGGGCTAGGTTTTCCTGGAGTTGACCTTGGAGATGGTTTGGGGCGAGGGAAGCTTTGGGGAGGGCAAAAGGTGGCCGGCCAGGAGCAGTGGGGCATGTCCAGAGGTGGACACCTGGAAGGCGTGGTCCTGCTGGCCGGGAGCTGGCCAGTACCCGCAGCCCTGCAGCCTCCAAGAGTGGGGCAGGAGGTGACAGGCCATAGGCACCTTGGGGGTTTCACTTATGGGTCCATCCCGTTGTCAAATGTGCACAGCTGTCCCACCCAGGAGGGAATTCCAGGGATGGGCAGAGTCTCCGTGCTTCCACCCCAAAAGTGTGCCCTCTAGTGGAAGAGAGTGGGTGGAGACATATTCGAAAGAGTCGACCAAGCTGTTGGCCACCGTATTTGTTGATGGTTGGCTTAGCTTTAAAGGCTCCGGCGCTGAGCTCCCAGCTGTTCAGGTTGCAGTCTTTAATTATTTGATCTGGAGCAGAGTTCCCTTTTGAAATGCAAATTTCCTGGAGCTGAGATCTTGCCGAGCCGCCATCCTGCATCCTGAGGACTGTGTACCCCAGAGGGAGGCCTGTCTGAGAGCGCAGAGGAAGTGGGGAACCCAGAGGCCGGAGGCATCCTGGCCACAGCCCTGGGCTGGAGCCTCTCTCTTCCTCCCACCCCTGCCCTCTGTTCTCAGTGCCTGGCATTTTAAATGGCTGCATAACTGTGAAGACTGTATTTACATAAATGGCCAATAAACATATGAAAAGATGTTCAAACTCAATAGTAATCAAAGACATGCAAATTAAAGCAACAGAGATTGATACCTTTCTCTGTTTAGCAAATTGGCAAAGATTAAAAAGAACGATAATCCCTGATTTGGGTACCAGTGTGGGAATAGTTGGGCACTCTCCTCTCCAGCTGGTGGGCTTGTCAAAAGCTTCCGCTTTCCTGGAGGGGGATTTAGCAACCTGCAGCACATGCTAAAATGCAGAGACTTTTTATGCCTCTTCACCTAACAACGCCGCTGCCGAGGGTTTATCATAAAGAAATGATTCAGTGAGATGGCAAGGGTGATACGCTGGAGAAATCGCAGCATCAGTCATCACAACAAGAAGGGGGCCCATAAATGTGAGCAAGAGGAGGACACGCCATTCTTGGAGGGCCTCCGACTCTGACATACCCTAAAGAACAGGGCACATTGCTATTATCGACATGGAACAATGGCTTAGTACTACAGGATTCAGGAAGAGAGCAGGGTCCAGAGCCCTCTACATAGAACTCCCAATTCATACAAGTGTGAGCGGGGTGACTGCTATGTGCCTAAAAAATTATAGGTGCTGAAGCTTCCAGCAGACATAAGCCAACTAAGCTTTTTGCCCACAAGAAGCAAGTACAGAAAGACAATGTATTAATCTCCAGCGGCCACCGTAACACGTTACCACAGACCGGAAGACCTGACACCAGAGGTCCTGTGTCCGGCGACGGGCAGGGCCTTGCTCTCGCTGAAGGCTGTGGGCAGGATCTTTCTTCCTCTCACAGCTCCTGGTGGCTGCAGGCCTTTCTTGGCATGTGGCTGCACCACTCCAATCTCTGTCTCCGTCATCACGCCTCCTTCTAGGAGGCTGATTTTCCAAATTTTCCTCTTCGTGTAACGACACCAGTCCTTGGATTTAGGAACCACCCTAATCCAGAATGAATGCATCTTCACTTCATCACATCTGCAAATGCTCTATTTCCAAAGAAGGTCCCATTCACAGGCACTGGGGGTCAGGACTTGGACGTATCTTTTGGGGGATGGAATTTAACCCACACTCGACGGTCATTATGGGTAAAAGCCGTCCTGCTACGCACCCAGCCCTGCATGCGGAAAATCCCTTTAGCCTCCAGAGCAAACCCATGAGCAACGCAGCACTGCAGCCCCACTTCACAGACGGGAGGTTCCAGGACTCACCCAACGCTGGGGCCCACAGTGGGCAGGTGGGTCGGGGTCCTAACCCCCAGTCCCCGGGGACCCCAGAGCTCAGAGCGGCCCTGAAGACATCCTCAGGCTGCTGTGTGGCTTCGGGAGGGTGCGATTTGGAGGTGAGGATGCCCCCATCCCCACCATGCATCTCTCCTCCCCCTCCCCAAGCATGGCCCCTTACTGCTCCTAGAGATAACCGATCTCTGTCATTTTCTGGCCATAAATTCCTTGTTTTTCTTTTCAGTTTCACTGCCACGTCTACATCCCTGAAAAGCAAAGCACAGTTTAGTCTCTGTGAACTTTATACAAATGGAAGCATATTTCATTACCCTTTTGCTGCCTGCCTTCCTCCACTCAGCATCACAGGTTTGGGGATTCATCCTGCTTTTCGTAGATCTGGGGTTCCTTCCTTCCTGTCACTGAACTTACGACAGTCCATTGATTCGTTTTGCTGCTGAAGTGGCTTTGGCTTGCTCCCATTGGGGGCTGAAATGAGACCTGCTGCTGAGGCCGCTGTGCTGTGGGTCCCGCAGGATGGGGGTGAGATGCTGGGGTGCACCCCAGGTCGGGGGGGTCCCATCCGCACCATGAGCACAGCCCTCTCCTCCCTAGAAAAGGTCAGACTGGTTCCCAATGGGGCTGCATCGGGCTTAACTCAATTTTCCCCTCTGCACTTTATAGAACGCTTACACATTCGAACATGTATTGTTTAAATAATTAGATTATTTTGGAATGGTGTAAGCCAGTGGGAGAGAGACAGCAGCGTGGTCTCGTGTTGGAAAGCTTGGGCCTGGCATCCAGGCAGACAGCCACCGTCCCGTCCCTGCAGGACTCTGGGCCTGGGGTCCTCACCGGGGATTCAATGAACCGCTTCCATTACAGGGCTCAGCCGGGCCTGGTGTGAGTTCAGTACTGGGTGCAGGCTTGCTATGATTGCTGTTGTTATCAAAACAAAACCACTTTCATTTGGGAAAAATATTAAAGCCACGACAAAGGGCGGATGGACAGAGGCCTGTACACAGGGCTCCACGTTCTGCATAGGGTCCCAGGCATGCACCTTTTCCCCAGCACAGTGGCGCACGTCGGAGCCACCGCCTTGGGCTCCAGAACTGTGTGTCTTGCTCTGTCCCAACCCCCAGTGTGTGTGAATTCTGCCTGCACGGGGCCAGCCTCTTAAGAGAGAACTGTGCCCTCTCATCTCAGTGACCCAGAGCCAGCCTAGGACAGAAGCCACCCAGTGAATTAAGCTGCTCAAGCCACATCGTCCCAGCCAGGTCCACGTGTCAGAAACCAACTGTGAAGACTGGGACCCAGTTTCAGCTCAGGACTCAGTGAAGAGCCCGTGCTCCTGGGTCCCCGCCATCTCCATGGCAGCAACGTTGGCGACTGTGGCCCCTCTTTCACAAACCCACTGTTGGGGCTGAACTGCACCCCTAAAGTCCACGTGTGGAAGCCCTAACCTCCAATGCCTCAGAAAGAGGCTGTATTCAGAGAGAAGGCCTTTATAGAAGTGACGAGGTTAAAAGGAAGTTATCGGGCAGGCCCTAATCCAACAGGACCCGGGAAGAAGAGTCATTATAGAAGAGAAGAGAACGCAGACAGGCACAGAGGGACGCCCAAGAGAGGACTCAGGGAGAAGACGCCACCTTAAACCCGAGGAGAGGCCTCAGGAGGAACCGGCCCTGGCCACACACCTCGATCTGGAACTTCCAGCCTGCAGAGCCTGCGAGAACCAATGTCTGTTGTGTTTGCCGCCGGTGTGGGTTGTGATGCTTTGTTTCAGGAGTCTGGGCCGGCCCGCAAACCTGCACTGCGTCTCCTTCAAGCTCAGTCTAACTCTCAGTAAACTCATTCTGCTTTGGCTCAAAAAGGTTGATTTTTTTCCTATTTTCTTCTTTCTTTTGCTCCTCAAATCCCAGTGGGTCCCTGCAGCTACTCGGTCACTCAGGCCAATGTGGGGCTTTGCCACCAGCCCCTGTCCCCTCGGGTGAAGGTGTGAGCTGCACCGGCTACGTGAAAGCTCTGGGGTGTAAAGACCCAGTCCCCGCACAGTCCGGGCAGCCTGGCTGCAGAACCGCCGGTGCTCCGCGCCGCTGCAGGGCTCCGTGAGACCAGGGCACCTCTCGAAACCTGTTTCTCCTTCTCAAACACAGGGATCTGAGGGAGGCCTGCTTGGAAGGGTGTCATAGGGTTTAAGTGAAATGAGCAACAAGTCCAGCCACGCTGTGCGTGCCAGCAGGGCCAGGCAGGCAGGACGGGATCTCCTCTGTTGCCTTAGAGGCGAGAAGGGAAGGCGGTGGGTACCGTGGCCCCGGCTGTGCGTCTTGCAGGGCTCGACAGCAAGGGCTGAATGGGGCCAGCCCGGACTCGCGGGATCAGTGGGAACTATGGAGCCAGGCTCTCTGCTGACGTTTGGTTAAATTTCAAGTAAGTTGCTCAGAGTTTTGCAAAGTCCAAGGTCACACGAAAATAAAGGCAAATGGTCCATTTTATGATTTTACATCAGTTACTCACACGTGGGAAGCAGGCACCTCGCCGCGGAAATGGATGGATTAATCTCCCGTGTGTAGGTTCCTGGCTCAGGGAGCGGCTCCCTTTATCTGTCTTTCATGGGCTTTGCGTCCCTGGTGGGCTGGTGTCCCTGGCAATGTCTCAGGGACCAGGCTTCCAGGACATTCAACAAGCACGTGTTAGCCCCACGCCCTGCCGCCATGCCGGTCCCAGCTCTGCCTGCCTCCCCACTTCTGCCCTCGCCTCCCCAAAGGCCGACGACCCCACAGCAGCCAGGGGAGCTGCATCTTCTGGGTCACAGCATGTCCTTCTCTGCTCAGACCGTGCAGTGGCCCTGCTCCTGGAAGAACAGCAGAGTCCCTCAGGGCCTGAACCCTCCAGAGTCTCCACTCCCATCGCTCTCTGACCCTACCTCCTGCCACTCCTCCCTAGGGCCCTGCATCCCTCCACTTCCCTCTCCTCCTGTGCCTGGAGCATGAAGAAGGCCCACTGCCGAGGCCTCTGCAGCTGCGGCCACCTCCTTCCCCAGCTGCACGGGCTGCGGCCACCTCCTTCCCCAGCTGCACTCAGGGCTCTTCCTCGCCTCCTTCAGGTCTTTGCTTAAACACCCATAACCTGTGTGGCCTTCCCTGGCCTCCCACTGGAAACAGAATCCTTGATCCAGCACCCCCAAACCCAGCACTCCACCCTGACACCCCTCCTGGCCCGTTTCACTTTTCCCCATGGTGCCTCTTGCGTCTAACATAGTTTACACGGTAACTTCAGGAAAGGGCTTGTTTGGGTCTGTGTAATGAGTGCTACATCCTTGGTACCCATAACAGGCACGGGAAGGGCAGCTCTGGGTTCTCACCTCCCGAATCCCGAGCTCCGTGAGACCCTGCTCGGGTAGCTTCACCTCCCTGGGACGCAGAAGAGCTTGTTAGAAATTTGCTGCGCCGTGAACCACCGTGACAGTGTGCTGTCTCTCCTCTCCTGATGCCAGTGAAAACCAGGAGAATAAAAAGCTGGGAACAGCAGCCACCCGCAGTGAGGGGCATTTCTTACTCTGGACTTTAATATACTTGTAAAATCAAAATGCTAAGGGGTCACAATTAGATAGGGGCAGAGAAGCCAGGGTCACTTCCACAGGCCTCAAGAGAATCAGCCACACTCACTTGGTTTCCAAAGCAGCTGGCTCACCCTGGGAACCGGAACCAACAGCTGTACGTGTGAAAAAACAGAAAGAGGTGTGTGCACAGGCTACAGGGGACTCCCGAAAACCAGTGACACCACGAAGCGCCACGAAGCTGGCAGGGAGCAAAGAATGCATGACCTGCCATCTTTACAGGAGACAGTGGGTCCCATATGTGATGGAAACAAGGATTCATGTGGACAGGAAGCAGCTTTGAACTACTGATACAACATGTGGAGGCTAAGACCAGACCGATGTCATATGGAACACAACATGTCTGTCCACACAGACACAGACGCACACCCTGTATCACTCAGTGCTTAACTGGCAGCCAGAGAGAAGATGTGGATGTGCCGACCACGTACATACTTTGGCCCCTTCTCCGCACGGTCTTTCTGCAGATACCTGGCCTGAAAATAGCTCTCCTCATTCAAACACAAGTAAAAATAACAAGAAAAAATAGGAATAATGTAGAGGAGGAAACTAAAAATATATTACAGAAAAATTTGGTCAGGGAGAGGACTGAAAAATATTATGAAGAAAAAATAGCATCACATGGATTTAAAGATGATGGTTTTTTTTTTAAGTTATAATAAGTCAGGAAATAAAAGCCTTAAAAGCAGAGACACAAGAGCTCATGGAGGCAATAATAAAACAGAAGAAAAGTATAAAAATAATTTGGCAGACCTTGGGAGGAAATGACAAAGATCAAGAAAGCCATCACAGAGAAGGCTATATTTGAAGCATCATAAGGCTGGAACAGCCATACCCAGGGGAAAATAGGCTTAAAAAACTTGAGCAAATGAAATAATTTTAGTTTTTAAATATAAGAAAAATACAATAGCAATAAAAGACAAGGAAGATTTCCAAAATATATATAACGGTTAGCCCTGAAGAAGAGGAAATGAAATTACTGGTCTTGAAAGATACAGAAATAATACTGAGGGAATTCACACCCCCTAAAGCTGTCAAAGGACTTTTCCATAGGAGATTTCAGAAGTGTGTGAAGCAGTTTCCGTAAAGACTTCATTAAAAAAAAGTCATTCAATAATTTTATACCTTGCTAAACTATTATTCCAGTATAAAGATATATATATATGCAAGAAGTCCCATAAACTTTATTGAAGACATTGCTAACAGACAAAAGTCATCCAGCTAAGAGCTTAAGAAATAGTCTATGGAAAATAAATTGGTAGTGAGGTTTGTATGAAGACTTGTAAGTTAATACTAAAGCTAAGACTGTGAAAATGATGGTTATGGAGTGATAACTGTTCTAAGCCCTAGTAATATAGAAATTACATAACTAAGCAGTGGGTGGATGAAAAAGGCAAGCTAGAGGCTGAATAAGCAGATTTCATCATCATTCTTAGTACAGGAGGTCAGCAGTTGTGGTGTAAAGCGCACAAATCATATAAAAGATGGATGATTGTATTGTATAAGAACATAAAGATGGCCAGTAAAGTATGTGAGGATCATGATGGAGCCAGCAGTACCACACAGTGCATGCTGACCCCAGGCTCTCCAGCCCCCTGGTTTGTAGCAAGACTTGGCCAAGGGGGAGACCCAATGACAGATCAAAGAGATGGAAGAGAGTGGGGTGAGGGAGTTCACTCCCCAGGTTCACTCCCTTAATGTCCCAGAGCTGCTGTGTCCATTGACAGAAGGCCACTGCCCCTCTCAAGGTGGCTGCTTTATCCATCACTTTTATTTTCCAGGTTCCAGTAACCCCTCTGTCCTAGTAGTCATTTGGCCTAAGTGCTGGCTCTTCCTACATTAAATTCACACAGACAGAGAGAGAAACAGAGAGAGAGGAAGACAGAGAGAGAGAAAACTTGCTTTTGATAAAAAGCAAGAAAGGAGGTGGAGAAAGCAAAGAAACTCAGATAAGGCAGAAAAAATATCATAAAGTTGTGTATACATAGATAATATTCAAATATAACTAGTTATAGCAAGTGTAAAGATTTCATTTTTAAAAAATGGTCATATACTAAGTATGTAACATACCTAAAATATAACAAAAAAATATTGAAAGTAAAGAGGACAGAGCCTTGGAAGCAAATGAAAATCAAAGCTGCCTTGGTGTAGCTATATTCAAAGCAAAATGAAAGTTCTAGGGGTGAGGAAGGCTATTTTACAATAAAAAAGTCAAATCCATCAGGAGAACACTTTGCATGCACATGGTGTAGTCCCAAATTTTATAATGCCAAAGTTAATAGAACTGCAAGGAGAAGTAGATAAATCCATCCCCATACTGGAAGATTTTCATACAGCTTTCTCAGTAAATCAAGACAGCAAAACTATTTATAAGCATATAAAAATGGAAACAACACAATTAACAAATAGATCAGATGAAAATATAAACTATAGAATCCTGTACCTCAAAATTGCAGGATATTCTTTATATGTATACACAGAACACTCATGAAAATTTACCTGTATTAGAACATAAGTCAAATCTCAACATAGTTCCAAATAAAGTATTACCATTAAACAGAGTATATTTTATGAACATAACTACATTGTAAGCTAATGACACACAGGTAACACACAGTTATTAATGAAATGGTTAAACAGACTGTGGTATGTCCATACCATGGAACGCCACTCAGCAATATAAAGAAACATGCTGTTAATACAGGCAACAGTCTGGGTGAATCTCCGGGCAATTGTGTGACACACAGAAAGTCAATCTCTAAAGGTTACATCGTGGATGATTGCACTTATATACAATTTTTTAAATGACAGAGATTTAGAAATGGAGAAGAGAATAGAGGTTGCCCAGGTTGCACGGGAGGAGGAATGGGAAGAGAGTAGCTATGACAGAGGAAGGTAATCGATGGGATGTCTGTGGGGTTGGAACTGTTAGGTATCTTGATGGTGGTGTTGGGTACATGAACCTACAAAGAGGATAAAATTGTATAGAACTCATCGCGCACACACACACACACACACACGCACACACAAATGAGCACAGGTAAAACTGAGGAAACCTTAATCAGCTCAGTGGCTTCTGTCACTGGGTTGTGCTACTGTACTAGAGTTTTACATAACATTTGTACTGGGGACGGGGTGGGGGAGTGTACATGGGCTCTCTCTGTATAATTTCCTACAACCGCATGTGAATCTACAATTATCTTAATAGAAATTTCAACTAAAAATTCTCTACATTAAAACTTGAAAATTAACTTTGGTTTAAAGAATGCACAGAAGTGGGAGCTGTATGATACTTATATTTAGATAATCAGACAAAACTGCAGATGAAAGCTCTATAAAAACGCCGGGCGCATTGGCTCACACCTGTAATCCTAGCACTTTGGGAGGCTGAGGTGGGCAGATTGCCTGAGCTCAGGAGTTTGAGACCAGCCTGGGCAACATGGTGAAACCCTGTCTCTACTAAAATACAAAAAAAAAAAAAATTAGCCAGGCGTGACGGTGTGCGCCTCTAGTCCCAGCTACTTGGGAGCCTGAGGCAGGAGAGTTGCTTGAACCCAGGAGGCAGAGGTTTGCAGTGATCCGAGATCATACCACTGCACTCCAGCCTGGGCAACAGAGCAAGCCTCCATCTCCAAAAAAAGAAAACAAAGTTATACAAAAACTGACAAGCTGGGGATTTCCCAGCCAAGGGCTCCTGCAAACCACCTGGCAGTAAAATCAAAAGTCAATGCATTTTGCCCACACACAAAGAGCTTCCAAACAGCTTTGAGGACCACTGCTCTCAACCAGTCAGGATGGTCAAGTGTAAGGAAGGCCTGCAACATGAAGATGGAGGCCACAGCCCAGAATCAAAGCAGACTCACTGGGAGAAAACGGGGACTTAACAGAGTGAAGAAACTTTCCAGAAAGCATCCAATACTCCAGAGAAATAAGAAAAATATTGCAATAATAAAAGGAGAGCAAGAAGCTATCTACACACGAGGAACATTGAGAGAACAAGAGCAAAATAGCTGATGGAAATTAAAAACATAGCAGCCCAAATGAAAACTCGATAGGAAGGTCTGGAAGATAAAGCTGAGGCTATTTCACAATCTTACTAAAGGTTAGCAGAGATAAAGAGACAAAGATGAAAAACTAACAAATGAAATTACACCAGTTTAGAAGGCCAAACATCCAAATAAGAAAAGTGACAGGGGAGAATGCTAAGAAAGGACATGAGATGATAGATCAAGAAGGCTCAATAAGGGCTGGGCGCAGTGGCACAGGCCTGTAATCCCAGTACTTTGGAAGGGCAAGGCAGGTAGATCATCTGATGTCAGGAGTTCGAGACCAGCCTGGTCAACATGGGGAAACCGTGTCTCTACTAAAAATACAAAAATGAGCCAGGCGTGGTGGCTCATGCCTGTAATCCCAGCTACTCAGGAGGCTGAGGCAGGAGAATCACTTGAACCCAGGAGGTGGAGGTTGCCATGAGCCAAGATCGTGCCATTGCACTCTAGCCTGGGTGACAGAATGAGGCTCCCTCTCAAAAAAAAAAAAAAAAAAAAAAGAGAGAGAGCTCAATAAGAATCCAGCATGTGGGTCCCACACACTGGCTCACGCCTATAATTCCAGCAGGTTGGTAGGTCAAGGTGGTCAGATCACTTGAGCCCAGGAGTTTGAGACCAGCCTGAGTGACATAGTGAGACCCTGTCTCTACAAAAAATAAAAAAGATTAGTCAGGCGTGGTGGTACATCAGCTACTTGGGAGGCTGAGGTGGGAGGATTGCTTGACTAGCCCAGGTCAAGGCTACAGTGACCTAGGATTGCACCACTGCACTCCAGCCTGGGCAACAGAGTGAGACCCTGTTTAAAAAAAAAAAAAAAAAGAAGCCAGCACATGAATGAAAATAGACCCACACCAAGATTCATTGTGGTGAAATTTCAAACCAGAGCACAGACTGTATTCTACAATCTTGTATATAGACAAGAGTTGGATAAAGGGACTGGGAATCAAAAAGACTTAGGGCTTCTCAATAG
Source organism: Homo sapiens (assembly GCF_000001405.40). Taxonomy (NCBI): domain Eukaryota; kingdom Metazoa; phylum Chordata; class Mammalia; order Primates; family Hominidae; genus Homo; species Homo sapiens. The sequence continues at coordinate 48,772,975 of NC_000022.11, read as the reverse complement.
CAACACGGGAGTCATTGACCCAATGGAGCACCACGTTCAGAAGGTGGAAGGAAGGTAGCTTCCAAACACAAATCCTTTACCTGGCCAGACCCATCAGTATGTATCTGAGGAACATGAAACCCACTTTGGATGGGCGGGATCCCAAACGCTTGCCTCCTTTGAACTCTTCTCGAAACTCCAGAGGAAGCGCCCCACTGAATGGAGAGTAACCCGTGGGGAGGCTGCCCCAGGACCCAGTGGACACCTGGCCTGATGCAGGATGGTGAGAGATGTCGGCAGGGACAGGAACAGCTCTTCACCACATGCAGGAGTTCACCCGCCCAGATGGGAGCATACCCCTAGAAACAGCAACTTCAGGTGAACCCCAGCCTCATCGCCGTTGTGCCATAGACTCTTTGCTGTGGGCTTCCCTTGGCCGTGTGCCAATGAGTTTTTCACTCTCCTCTGCATGACCTGAATTTTGGGCCAGCGGAGGGCCTGCGTCCTAACCTGCACTGTTGTTCTGCTTTGACCGAATCCTGAGAGCCGGAGGACTCGGCTAGCCAGAGACACATTTCCCTGCCTGCGTTCCTCTGGGACATACAGCCCTGAGTCAGGACATGGCCCCCATCCCCACCCCTGCCCCCCTCCCTCGCCAGCTGCAGAGGTCCTCAGGTTCCACGGAATTCCACAGGAGGCTCCGGTAAACTCTCCAAGAGGCTGAGACTGTGCTTTTGCCTACCAGCTCCCTTAGCTTGCCTTCCTCCAGTGCCTTCATCTAAACAGCTGTAATATGACTCTTTCCTTAGGAAGCTAGTTTTGTCCTTAATACTCACGTTTTAAACTAAATAATATAATGTTTACAGATGCACAAAGAAATATAAGAACATACTTGTACATATTCAGAACAACGGTAACTCTGGGGACATAAAATTAGAAGAGATGGGTGGGCTGAGGACATGGGGGCTTCGAAAGTGTTGGTCGGGATTTGATTCTTAACACAGGTGTTGGAAGAGAGAGTGTTTCATTTTTGCTGTTGTTTAAACAGTTCATATACAATTCTGAATGCATGATAAATTTCATAGTAAAGACATCAAACATAAGAGAACTTTACAAATAAACATGTGAAGACCGATAAATGTGAAGACTTAGTTAAACTGAAAACATTCCTGGAAAAAATATAACGTCAAAAGATGACCCAAAAAGAGATAGCAAGCATAAATAGACCTATAACATTGAGGAAACTGGATCCGTATTTTAAAGCCCACCCATAGTACATGTTCGATTTTAAAAAGAGGCATGCGTGGTTTTATGGGTGACTTCTACCAGCCAGTCAATGAATAGATCATTCCAATTTCATAAAGAATTTTCCACACAATAAAAAATGAAAGAACTCATTTTATGAGGTGAGTTTAATTTTGATTCGAAGCCAGGGAAGGACAGTATAAAAAGGGAAAATTGTAGGTCGATATAATTTACGAGCATAGATTTTTAAAAATCATTCAAAATATTAACAATTCAAATGTGGTAACCCACTAAAAAAAATCACTCATGACCAAATTGGATTTTGTTAGGAGTAAAAGAATACATTAACACCACATGCTATAATTCACTACATAAAAATCATGCAACTATTGAAATAGATACAAAAAGTACATTTCAAAAATTTAACTCAATTTTTAATAAAAGCTCTGAGAAAGCTATAAAGGGGAAAGAACTTTTAAAACTTGATATAGGTTATCTACAAAAATTCACAGCAAATGCAGTACTTCAGGATACAACCTCCAGACACCTTGTCTTTAAAATCTGGAACAATCCAAGGATACTTGAATACAGTAGAGTAAAACAAGAGAAATAAATAAAAGGTATAAAAAGGAAAAAAAATGACATTAATGCCAGTTTCATTGCATCAACGGACATATTATTCAAATTAATAAAAGTTTCCCAAAGTCTCTGTGTGTAAAAACAAAAGAAACAAAAATTTAAGGCACAAAAGTCTGTTAAAGAGAAAATAATAAAGTGTTGCTGAAGGACAGCGAGAAGACCCAAATAAAGGCAAAGATCTATTATGTTCATTTATGTGAAGGCATAAATGAAGGCGAAGATCTATTATGTTCAACATCTTTAAAATGTCAGTTGTCCCACTTTAATTCATAAATTCAATGCAATTCTCATCAAAATTCTTACAAGACTTTTTATGGAACTAGACAAACTGAAATTAAAATGTATATGTTCAATATGTGCTAATTAGAAGAGTCATTCCTCAAACTTACAGACCTGCAAAGACTAGAAGTGGAAGGATGGAAAAATGACCTTTCAGAAAAATGCTCACCAAAAGAAACTTGGTATGACTACCTTAATAACATTCAATAAACCTTAAGACCAAAATATTATTTTTCATAAAGAGGGTTATGACACAGATATAAATATTTTAATTTCACATTAAGATATAGCAATATTTACCATGCCTACTCTTAGCAAAATAGCCTCCAAACATATACAGAAAGAAATAAATAGACTTACAGGGAAAAAGTAATCCAATATCTATACTCTAATCCATAAATTAGATGTAAACAATAGTATTCTAGTGGGATATTTCAACACATTCTATGTATAGGTCAAGCAGAGGAAGAATCTGCAAGGGTAACTTACAGGGAAATAATTAGAGTTAGGCAACCAACAGATAAAGAATATTTTTTCCAAGTATACATATAAAAATATACAAAAATCGATTGTGCATGAGGTCATAAAGAGAGTCTCTGTGTATGTCTAAATACAGACCCTCCCTGACTTACCATGCTTCCATCTAACGATTTTGTTGACTTTATGATGGTGCAAAAACGATTCCATTTTCACTTTCAGTACAGCATTTAATAAAGTGTACAAGACATATAATACTTTATTACAAAATGGGCTTTCTTTTAGATGATTTAGCACAACTGTAGGCTAATGTAAGTATTCTGACCATATTTAAGGTAGGCTAGGCTAAGCTACAATGTTGAGTAAATTAAGTGTGTGTACTATTAAATGTATTTTTGACTTACAATATTTTCAATTTTTAATGGGCTTATTGAGACATAACTCCATCTTAAGTTGAAGAGCATCTCTTTGTGTGTCTGTGTGTGTGCGTGTGCAGAACAAGATCTCTGACCACCATGCAATCAAGCTTTTAAAACAAAAAGACAAGTTAAAAATCACCCACATATTTAGAAATTGAAACACCATTACTAAACAACTCCTGGGTTCAAAATAATTAAAAGAATTAAAATGTAAAAGGATCCATAACTGATTTACAATATAGACACTACATATCACAACTTTGTGGGTTTACTCTTCCGGTATAGCAGTGTGAGCCTCCACAGAACCGTCCTATTGCTAATAATAACTATAAACAATAGACAGAGTGCAAAATCCAACTACCTAAGTAAACTAATGAATACACCAAAAGAAGGCAGACTGTGGAGTGGCACCAAAACTTGGAGAAGCAATTGACTAGGGAGTGAGTTTCTCCTTGTTGGTGGCTTTACCGAGTGTGGACCACAGTCAAGGAAAGGTGCACAGCAAACAGCTGGAACTCTGTCTGGCCTGAAATGGAGGGAAGGAGTTCTGGGAGATTTCCACTGGTGAACAGTAAGCAGGTAAAACTGGAGGAAAGAGAGTCAGAGAGGGAGAGCCTCTATTTCCATGTATGAGTCCCACACATGTCTCAGGTAGACCATTAGACCAGGCAGGCAGAGGACAGGATTAAAGCAGCACACTAAAATTTTAGAAAATTCAACTGAAATGTAAACCTCCATCTTCAAAAGGTGGTTCAGGGCTAAGAGTCTGAATCTTACTGGATTAATAGCTTAAAAAAATCAACACTCTTCAGAGGAATATATCAGAATGCAGAATGAACAAAGTGTACAGAATGAAATCCAAAACAAATTGACATATATGCAAAACAAAATAGAAAAATGTGACAAATTATCAAGGGACAGTAAAATCAACAGTCTAATGCCCTGAGATAAACGAGATGTCTGAATTATCAGAAAATAACTTGAAACCTACTATTATATCTACACTTAAAAGTAAAGAAAAATATATTTGAAATAAATCAAAAGATAGTAAATCTTAGCAGAGACACAGAAAATATAAAAAAGAAACAAGTGTAAAATTTAGGGCAGAAAAATACAATATATGAAATAAATAAATCACTGGACTGAGCTCTGTAGCAGACAGAAGATGACAGAGGAAATTGGTTAAATCAGCAGAAACTAAGAAGAGATATATAAAAGATTTTTATAAAATTAACAGAGCCTCAGAAACTTGAAAATAATATCAAAACATCTAATATACATATCCTTGGAGTTCCAGAAAGAGAACAGAGATAAATTTGGTCAGAAAATAGTATTTTAAGATTCAATGGCCAAAAACATCCCAAAATTGGTGAAAGACATGAATTTACTGATTCAAGAATCTCAGCAAACTCCAACTAGAATAAATCCAAATAAAACTATGTTTAGACATAGTAAATAAAATTGCTTTTAGGGAAATTTTTTAAGTGGCTGAGAGAAAAATGATGCATCGGATACTGGATAAAAACAATTCAAGAGACTATGCATTTCTCATCAGGAAAGTGGAGGCCAGAAAATCACGTATCAACATCATTAAAGTGCTTAGAGTGAGAGAAAAGAAAAAAAAATTATCAACTTAGAAATCCATGGCCTCCGAAAATATCCTTCAGTAATGAAGGTAACATAGCAGCATCTTCAGCTAAAGGAAACGAAGGTAATTTGTTGCCATTAGACTTTCGTTATAAGAAATGCTAAAGGGAGATCTTGGGCTAATGTGAAATGATATCAGAGGGAAATTTAGATTTTTCCAGGGATGAATGAAGATCATTTGAAATGATAAATATCTGGGTAAATATTTAAAAGATCATTTTTCTGTTAAATGAATTTGTATAACTATATAAAGCCAAAATTAGTACAATGTCTGAAGGGGTTTGTAATGTTTGAAGATGTAACACATAAGTCAGCTATAAAGTAAATGAATGTAGCGGATGAGAAAAGGGAATCCATATGGCTGCAAGGTGCCTAGATTTTATGTGAAGTGGTCCAACATTGACTTGGAGTAGATTGTGAGATATTAAACATGTATACTCTAATCCATACAGCAACCTCTAAAAAGAAATAAGACAAAGATGAATGGTTAGATGCTAAAGGATAGTTGAAATAAAATTATAAAAAATATTTTTTAATATAAAAGAATGCTGGAGCAGAAGAAGAAATGAAAAGAGGGTACAAAAAACAAAAAACAATTAAATGGTAGACTTAAATATATAGGTATATTATCAATCATTACATTACATGATAATGGTCAAAAACTCCCATTTAAAAAACAGAGATCACCAGATTTTAAAAATCAGTATGTAACTATATTATGCCTATAAGAAATATATTTTAAATCTAAAGACACAGACAGGTGGAAAGTAAATGGATAGAAAAAAAATATATAGCATGTAACGAGTAAGCATAAGATAACTGGGCTGACTATATGAGTATCAGATAAAATACACTTCAGTATTATTTTACCACAGTTAAGAGGGACATTTCATGAGGATAAAAGGGTTAATTTCTCAGGAAAAGAAAAGAATGACAAAACTGTAGGCTAATTACAACAGAGCCTTTAAATACATGAAGCAAACATTAATAAAATTAAAGGGAAGAATATACAATTCGAAGTAGGAGACTTTAACACCGTCTTTCAGAATCCTAAAGGAATTAAACAAAGAACAGGGAAGATAGGCAGGATTTGAACACGCATACCAAACATTTTCAACTAATTGATATTTAGAAGCATTAAGAAAAAATTTTCAGAATTAAAATAAAAATGGAGAATTTCACATTATAATAGATTTTAACAATTTTCAGCAATTCATTAAAAAACTTGACAAAAATTCAGTAAGGAATATTTGAACAGCATTATCAACTACTTTCCCCTATTTGATATTTATAAAACATTATACCCAACATTTATAAAAGGCATATCTATTTCCAGTTAGTATAATGCATTTATGATTCACCATGATGGGAAATGTAATTGGCCATAAAACTTTTAGCTTCAATAAATTTAAAAGTATTAAAATTATACAGAATACTTTCTCTGATTGCAATGGAATTAATTTAGAGATTAATAACACTACACATTTAGAAAATACAGAAATATTTAGAAATTAGGACAATTCATGGGTCAAAAAGAAATAACCAAGGAAATTAGATTAACTGAACAATAATGAAAATACAACAGATCAAAATTGTGCGATGCAGAAAAACCAATGCTTTAGAGTGAAACTTACAGCTTTAAATGCTGATATTAATGGATACTAGGCTTAATGTCTGGGTGACGAAATAATTGGTACAACAAACTGTGTAGCAAACCTGCACATCCTGCACATGCATCCCTGAACTTACAAGTTAAAAATAAATAAATAAATAAAATAACACAAAAAGAAACATTAAAATGAAACAATATTATTTGCGTGTATGTATACACACACACCAGGGCCTCAAATAATATTGTTTGATATTGATTGATACTGGTCAATTCCTAAGTTTTTATTGGAGTGTTTATTCTATTTGCTTATTACTCTATTTATTCTTTTTTTAAATAAAACTCAACTTTAATCTGGAAATATATATCATTATATTTAATAGCTACATAAATATATGAAATTATATACAATATATATTATAATATATTATTAATAATATTATGATAATATATACTATATAACAATTATATAGTATGTATTCTATATATTATATATAATTTACATATATTATATGTATCTCCAGATTAAAAAGTTGAGTTTTATTGAAAAAATAAGAAAAGAAAAATGAAACACAAAAGTTTTCATCTTAATAAGCTAGAAAAAGGGTAGAGTAAACCCAAAGTATTACAGAAAGAAGAAAATAATAAAGGTAAGAACATAGATCAATGAAATAGAAAAGAGACAGGTGTGGGGTGAGGAGGGATAGAAGGATACATTGAGGAATGGCAGATATGTTCATTATATTGATTGCCGCTATTATGGATGAAATGTTTATGTGCCCCCCACAATTCATATATAGAAGCCCAAACCCCCAGTGTGATTGTGTTTGGAAATGGGACTTTGGGAGGTAATTAGGGTTAGACGAGGTCATGAGGGTGGGGCCCTGGTTTGATGGGATTAGTGCCTTTATAAGAAGAGATATTACAGCACTTGCTCTCATGCTGTGTGCACACATCAAGGACAGCCATGTGAGCACGCAGCAAAGAGGCTGCCATCTGCGAGCCAGCGAGAGAGCCCTCATCAGGAACCAAGTTGGCCAGCACCTTGATCTTGGACTTCCCAGCCTCCAGAACTATGAGAAATGAATTCCTGTTGTTTAAATCATCCAGTCAGGTATTTTATTACAGCTCAAGCAAATCAAGATAGTGATTGTTTCAAGGGGGTATATATATCAGACTTACCACGTGGTACGCTTTAAATGTGTGCAGTCAGTTACATGCTAACCATACCCCTAAAAAGCCACCTTTTGATTTTTTTAGTGAGCTTTTGGTTTCATTGATTTTCTTTATTACTTATTTATTTTCTCTCTTATTGGTGTCTGCTCTTTGTTATTTGGATTCATTCTGCTCTTCATTTTCTAGCTCCTTAAGGTGGAAGCTTACATTCTAGACTTTTTCCTCCTTTCTAATAGAAGCTTCTAAAGCTATACATTTTCTTTAAGCATTTCATTAGCAACATTGCAGAGATTTTCATAAATTGTCCTTTTGTTATCATTCAAATAAAAATATTTAAATGTTTTCAATTAAATATATACAATTTAAATTTCCCTTTTTTTCTTAACCTGTGGTTTGGTTATTCTAACCAAGTCTGGTATTTCCAAATTTCAGAATTTTTCAGATATTCTTATTGATTGCCAATTTAATTCTATCGTGATCAGAGAACATATACTGTTTGATTTTCAGTCTGGATTTTTTTAAAGATTTGCTTGATTGTCTAATATTTGGTCTATTTTGATTCATCTTCAGTATGTCTTGGAAAGATTTTGTGTAGAGTTAACACCTTACATCTATTAAGATGGCTAAAATTAATGAACACTGATCAGATATATTACAACCACTTTTGAATACAGTTTGGCAATTTTAAAACATATAAGCACACCCATATATGATTCAGCTGTCCCATTCCTAGGGGTGCTCTATTTGCTGTTTCTGCGAGTGTTGATTACATACTGACTGATGTTGTCCAAGTCTTCTACATACTTGACGATTTTCTATCTGTTTGTCCTATTGATTACTAACAAAGAAGAAATAAAATCTCCATTTATCATGGTTAAATTGTTGATTTTTCCTCTCAGTTCTGTCAGCTTTTGCTTCATGTATTTTGGAACTTTATTATCAGGCACATATGCATTTATGATTTTTTTCCTGCTATATTGACGCTTTATTATTGTTAAATGTTCTTTTTGTCTATAGTAATATTCTTTGTCTAAAGGTATACTGCATTTAATATCAACAAATGCACTCCAGATTTCTTATGCTTACTGTTTTCATGATATGTCTTTTCCATCCTTTTACTTTCTTTTTTTTGAAACGGAGTGTCGCTCTTGTTGCCCAGGATGGAGTGCAATGGCAAGATCTCGGCTCACCGCAACCTCCACCTCCCGGGTTCAAGTGATTCTCCTGCCTCAGCCTCCTGAGTAGCTGGGATTACAGGCATGTGCCACCAGGACTAGCTAATTTTGTATTTTTAGTAGAGATGGGATTTCTCCATATTGGTCAGGCTGGTCTCGAACTCCCGACGTCAGGTGATTGGCCTGCCTCAGCCTCCCAAAGTGCTGGGATTACAGGTGTGAGCCACCGTGCCTGGCTACCCTTTTACTTTCAACCTATCTGTGTCTCTGTAGTAAAGTTTTTCTGTTTAAAGCACATATTTTCTTCTTTTTATTTTATTCCATCAGTCATTTCTTGAGTTTTTATTGGAATGTTTATCTATTTTTATTTATTTATTTATTTATTTATTTATTTATTTATTTATTTATTGTTTGAGACAGAGTCTCACACTGTCGCCCAGGCTGGGGTGCAGTGGCACGATCTCGGCTCACTGCAAGCTCCGCCTCCTGGGTTCACACCATTCTCCTGCCTCAGCATCCCGAGTAGCTGGGACTACCGGCGCCCACCACCACGCCTGGCTAATTTTTTATATTTTTAGTAGAAATATTTTTAATTTAACTATCGATATGTTTGGACTTAAGTGCCACTTTGCTATTTCTTTTCTATTTTCTCATTTTCCTTCCTATATTATTCCTTTTATGTCTTTGCTTGTGGCCATCAAATGTTTTAAGCAAACCATTCAATTCCATTTCTAGGTAAAATTTCTTTGCAGTATTTTCTAGTGGTTCTGCTAAGGATCATATCATGTCAGCACAATCACCTTAAAGTTAATTAATATTAAATGATTTCTGAACAAATGAGGACACTTTCAAGGGACTATGTTCTATTGTACCACCTATCCTTTGGGCTATACAGTGTAATACAGAGATATATTAAACCTCTGTCAATTTTAACCCTACGATAGTGTTATAATCTTTATTTTAAATAGCCATGTGTGTTCTATAGAAATTATAAGATTACGCACACATGTATCTATCTTTATATCATACTTCAGCATTTCTTGCAGTAAAATCCTATTAATAATAAGTAATTTTTCTCACTTTTATTTTGTCTGTATTTCACCTTCATCTTTGAAGAATAGTTTTTCTAGATATAGAATCTTTGGATGACGGATATTTCCCTTCCTCCACACTTTCATGTCTCCTCAACATCTCTGGCCTCCACTGTTTTGGATGAAAAGTCAGCCATTAATCATGTCATTGTTCCTCTCTATGAAATGGACCATTTTTCTCTTGCTGCTTTCAAGAATTTCTCCTCTCCTCACTTTGTGTTTCAGAGATTTGACTATCATATAATCTAGTTGTGGTTTCTTATGTTTATCCTACTTTGGTTTGTTGATGTGAATAGTTCTATAAATATTCTCACCGGTTTGGGAAGTGTTGGCCTTATTTCCTCAATTTTTTTTAAATTGTCTACTGTATTTTCTCTTTTCTCTTTCTGGGGCTTTTATTTCACCCATGTTGGACTCCCCGATATTGTTCTCAAGGTCGCCGAAGCTTTTAAATGTCTTCTCAATCAGTTTCTGTCTGTTTCTCAGATTGGACAATTTTTATGGATCTATCTTCAGGTTCACTGATTCTTTCTTCTGCTGTTTCTGATCTGCTCATTGAATCCATCTGGTACGTTTTTCAATTTATTTTCTGATATTGTATTTTTCACCTCTAAAACTACAATTTAAAAAACAGTTTTCATTTCTCTGTTGAAATAGTCTACCTATTAACTCATTAATACCACACATTTCTTTAATGATTTATACACATTTATATTAGCTCCTTTGATGTCTTTGCAAAATCCAACATAAAAGCTGTCTCAGAGTGGGTTTCCATGCCTGATTTTTTTTCACATTTGACTGTTTCTCTGCATGTCTAGTACACGTTGGAGGGAGGCTTGCCAATGGAAGTAATATTTTGTAGACGCTCTGAAATGTCTAAGCGTTGTTTCTGTGTTACCCTAGGCAGCTAATCCGCCTGCTTTCAAAGCTGTCTTCCCTAAAAAATGCAGAAGGTGGCCTCTGCTTGTCTTCGTTGTTGCTGTTTTGTGAGAGAGAGGGAGCGTGTGGCTGTTTATTTTTTATCCTGGTCCCATGTATTAATCCTACAACTGTGTGGTTTAGCGATCAGCTATGTATTCGGGCAGTGTACGTACTCAGATTTGGGGGCTCACCCCCTCTCTAAGAGCCTTGCTGCTGAAACTACCCCTTAATTCTTAGTTGCTCTGCCATCCCCAGTTTCTTCCTGCTTTAAGGTAGAACAGCTTCCTCTTTCAGTAACAGGGACCAGTGTAGGCTGGGGAATGAACTCTGCCAAGGGTACAGAATTCTTCTGAATATCATCAGAAGCCTTTTCCGTCTAATTTCCGCCTCATTCCTCCAGGTCCCCCGTGCTCATTTCCTGTTTAGGAGTCAGCCAGGGATTTGGGCAAAGTTTGACTCCGACTTGAGGTCTCAGCCCATCTGCGCTTTCTTGCTTACAGATCTTCTCCGTGCACTTCCAGCTGCTCTGTGTCGTCCGCCCCCTGAAGCTGCAGAGCCGGTGGTTTTCCTATCACTACAGGTGGGGTTTTAGGAGCCACCTCCAGCAAGAAGCCACAAACCGGGCGTCCTTACCTGACGCGGATGCATCCCTTCCAAAATCACTTCTCAGTTTCTTCCTGCCCTTGTTCATGTTCCAGTGCTTCCAAATGGTTGCTTTGGATCATCGTGTTTGGATGTTACTGTTGTTGGCCCTGAGTGGATCTCCTGCCCCATCGTCCTCACCTTCCCCTGCTAATTCCTTCCTGAACCTCCAAGAGTCCACCTAGGATTTTATTTTTTTTCTGTCTCATTTTTCAGTATTTCCTTGAGTAAGACCCTTTTTGGAATCTTTTTCTGTCCATTTTCATTTTTCTGCAAGTACGTATCTTTATTTTACCCTCGTTTTAAAAGTATATCTTTGCAGAGGTGAAGTTTTAACTCAAAAATGTTGATTTTTTTCTACCCGGAACTTCCCAGCTGCTCTGCTGCTGTCTGGCTCTCAGTGCCCATCGGTCATCTGGAAACACTCCTGTGCTTAGCGTTTGTTCCCTGAGTCTGCAATTTGGACTGAGCTTGACTGGGAGTTTCTTTGGCTGATCCTGGGGAGCTCGCTGATGGCCGTCTACTGGTGGCTGGGCCGGGAACTGGCTGGTTTTTGACAGCTCCACTGGGAGGGCTGGGGTGGCTGGCCCCTTCCTGTGTTCCTTCCTCATGCAGCCTCACCCAGGCTGGTTCACTGCGTGGCAGGGCCTGAGGCCATCCAGCAGGAGGACACTCTAATGAGCCAGGACTGTAAAAATGTCTGCCTGCATCCCATTTGCTATTGTTTGATTGGACCGAGGAAGCCACGCAAGCTCAGAAGCGGTGTGGGACGACACTGGGAGATGTGAGCCAAAGCGGCTGTCACAACGACATTCTGCCATGGAACACTTGGCGCCAACCACTCACATTTCCAAACACTCCTCCAATTAGGCCATCACCCTCTGGTCTGTAGTCCCACCTTGTCTCCTCATACGCCTGGCTCATTGTTTGTCTGCAAGGGTCCAGGGTGGTGCAGCCATGCTACACGGCTCCATAACTCATGCCAATCTGCCCCACGGTACATGCACCCATGGAACCTCCCGGATCCCACACTCTGGGCAGGCAGGAGACCATCTGATTGCAGAGGAGCTCATCATGTTGCACACACAGCTGACCCTCCTTCACCCAGAGCCCTGTCAGTGGGCTGCTGTAACCCCTCCAGGGAGCTCAGCTCTGAGATTTTGGGACACAGAACCCAGCTGTCCTATAGCTCTTCAAATGGAACCTTCATGAAAACCTAGCACCCCACCCATCGTGCACAAAGCACAACACCTAAATCCTTGCCTATTGAAAGTTTATTCCAATAAACATTTGAGCATTCCCTTAACAAATCGACACCAGGCTCTGGAAAGACAAAGAAAGCCGCCGTAGCACCTTCTTGCAAGACCCTTATCTCCTGGTGAAGAAGAAAGACTTGAGGACATAGTGTCTCTATGAAGCTGGACAGACAGAGACGAGGAAGGGGAAGAGAATCCTCATGGCATCAACATTCAAGAGGCTGGAGCAAGAGCCTTTCCCTGAAAAGCCAAAAATGGAATTTACACCAAGAAATCGGGTTGAATTTAGACCATGAGATAGGGAAGGTTGTAACGTCCAGGGAGCGTCTGAAGAGAGATGAAGTAGGAGGGAATTAATCTGAGACGTTCGAGGGAAGATGGGTATAAAGGAAGCTGACATTCATTGGATCCGGTGTTGGGCCCGAGTCTTCCTCCTGCTGTGCTGGGGTTGCATTTCGCGGCTCTCTTGCTCTCTGGGAGCTCCCCCAGGTTCTTGTTCTTAAAGGCTCTTTTGCAATTTTTTAAAGATTTATTTTTATTTTATATATTTAACTTGTACAATATGGTGTTTGTTTTGATATACAGAAACAGAGAAATGATTACTACATAGGAATTAACATACTCATGACCTCCACAGTCACGCTTCCTGTGCACCTGTGTGTGTGTGTGCGCATGTGCGTCTGTGTGTGTGCGCGTCTGTGTGTGTGCATCTCTGTGTGTGTGCGTCTGTGTGTGTGTGCATCTGTGTGTGTGTGCGTCTGTGTGTGTGCGTCTGTGTGTGTGCGTCTGTGTGTTTGTGTGCACCTGTGTGTGTGTGCGTCTGTGTGTGTGTGTGTGTATGTGTGTGGTAAGAGGACCTAAAATTGACTATCTCAGCCCATTTTCCATATGCAGGACAATGTTGTTAACTCGGTTGGTCCTCCTGCTGTACATCAGACTTCTAGGCTTGGAATGGACAGGACACAGGTTGACTCACACGGACCCGTCTATGCCACACATCTTCCTCAGAAGGTAGGTCCTCGGCCCGGGGCCCTCCGGGGTCTGTGGTCACTGTGACCCTTGCAGAGCCATGCACTATTCTCACCTGCCACCTGGCCCGTGATCTGGTTCGGGCCTGTCTCTCCGGAGGTAGGAGAGAGGACTTCCCTTTGAATTTCTCTCATTTCAGGCAGGTTAGCCTTTGGTTTGTAGAGCCAGGAAATGATTGAACAGAGTCCAGGAGGTGACATGAATGGTCCTCCTCTTTCTGCCAAATCACCTTGGGCTGTCTCCAGCCATCTTTGACAGATGCCCACACACTCTGAGTTGCTCCTTGCATATGTGGGTCTTGATCCACCTGTTGTGTGTCCCGCCTGTGGCCTGGAGGGAAGGGAGGCAGTGTCCACAGGGCCTGGGCCCTGGAGCACAGCCACGGGAACCCACACCTGAGATTCCCCTGGGAGCTGGACCCTGGGCCCTAGTGACACTGCTGCAGCGGCCTGTGGGCAGAGATGCTGGTGGCCACACAGAGATCCACACAGAATGAGAATGCAGATGTAGACAGGATTTCCAAAAAGCTCAACAGGACAGGAAAGCAAACAAGAGCTCAAAATTCTACCTCCAACATGTCCTAAGCAGACGACTCCAGGCTATGGTCTGCCACAGTTGGATTAGGATAAGTTATGCTGTGGCAGTGGTGACACCCGAATCCTAGAGGTTTCAACAAAAATGGTCTGCTCTTTCCCTCATTTCCGTCTGTGGCAGGTGGGCACCTGGGCCCTGCCACGCATGCTCTGGCTTTGGCCAAGCAGCCCCTGTTTAGTACATGCCTGTTTGGTGGCAATGGGAAAAGAAAAAATACAAGACAGCAGTAGAGCTTGATGGCTGTAAAAACTTCTGCTCAGAGGCCCTTGAAATCACTGCCGCTCATCCTGCACTGCTCAAGCAAGTCCGAAGGCCAAGGTCCAGGCCAACAGGGCCGGGATGAGAGCGCCGGGTCTTGATGACCGTAAACCACTGTCCTCCCAACACGGGAGCATGATGGATGGCTCGATCCATGGATGGAACATGACTCAGACCTCCAGGCTGCACAGGTGACTGACAGGCAACAAGAGGGGGCGTGGCCAGGAGAAAGAGCAGGTGGAAAGGCTAGTTCCAGTTACAAGCACACAAACATGCATGTGTGTGCCATGCCGGGGTGTGGAGGCAGTGGGTATTTTCTTCCACTGTGCGTCCCTTGATAGTGGCATAATTTTGTTCCAACAACATGTAAAAATGAAAGGGGAGATACCCAGTGGGGATGACAGGCAGCCATGGCCGGAGCTGCCAGCTGGAACAGGAGGTCTGGGCACCATCCTGGGTGCTGCTGTGTGCATGGCGAGCTGCCACTCCAGCATCATAATTTATGCCCGGTAAGGTGGACAATGTGCCGAGTAGTGTGAGGACGCTTGTGACGAACACCTCAATGCTTCAAAGGAAGAAAGGCCCACAGATGGCACAGCAACAGACAGAGGCCAAGACTTGCCCAGTGGGGCTGGGGTCAGGCTCCTGAAGCCAGCGGAGCCCCCTCTACAGCCATCGCATGCCCTACACACAGACCCCAGTGACTGGCTGCCCCAGGGCCGTCCACTCCCCCAGAGACCCCAGTCCCAGGGAACCTGCCCATCCTGTCCTCCACCAGCCCTGGCCAGTGCCCACCAGCAGCCACAAAGCCGACTCACAACTGTTCTCTCTTCCAGAGTTCAACATCTGTGGACACAGGGAGTGAAGGAACGAGGCACGGTCATGATGTGAGGCTGGCTCTGGAGCCAAAGGCTGGGTCTGTGCGTGTGTAACAGGCTCTGGTGACTGCTGGGCCAGCCCCAAGGTCAGCCCCTGGCAAACCCCAAGGACGGCACTTTCTGTCTCCCAGAAAGGGGCACTCAGACGTTTATGGACAGATGAAGCAGGTTTGTGGTATTGGAAGCAGCTTTCAGCAGTCCTCCTCCCCTCCTCCTCCTCCTCCTTCCCATCCTCTATCCCTTCTCCTTCCTCCTCCTCCTCCTTCCCATCCTCTATCCCTTCTCCTCCCTCCTCCTCCTCCTTCCCATCCTCTATCCCTCCTCCTCCTTCCCATCCTCTATCCCTCCTCTTTCCTCTTCCTCCTTCCCATCCTCTATCCCTTCTCCTCCCTCCTCCTCCTCCTTCCCATCCTCTATCCCTCCTCCTCCCTTCTCCTCCTCCTTCCCATCCTCTATCCCTCCTCCTCCCTTCTCCTCCTCCTTCCCATCCTCTATCCCTCCTCCTCCCTCCTCCTCCTCCTTGCCTCTCTCCAAAGAGTCCTCCAAGTCCTGTTGTGACCACACCCAGCCAGGCCTGTACCAGGGCCTTCTGATTTCCTCACAAAGCAAGAGGCATGCTACCTCCCTGGGAGTTTCTTTCTCCTTTTCTGTTGCTGCAGAGCCGGGCCCATTGCTGCTCTCCTGGGAGAGGTGGCTGACTGCAGGGCACTGGTTTGGTCGGGAGGCTCAGGACCAAGGCTCTCCTGACCAGGCCTTGGCCGGGCCCCTCTGAGCCTTTGTCTCCACGAGGCCACAGCCTGGGGCTTCTGCCCGTCCTTGCCGAGTCCAGCGTTAGCAAAACTACTGCTGGGTCAGCGTAGGGAGGCGACCACCCTTGTAGCTGGGCAGGTCCCTCCTCTCCCACCTTCTATGTCTGCGTCTTCTGCCTGCCCTCCTTGAGAATCCCGCCAGCCCACTAAGCCTCCGGGCTGGCCCCTGCATCTCTGCATCCCTGCGTCTCCAGGTCTCTGCGTCTCCAGGTCTCTGTGTCTCTGGGTCCCCGTGCCTCTGCTTAGTCACTTCCCATCCACGCAGCCCCAGTGTGCAGCAGAGCTCCCGCCGAGGCCAGTGGGTTGGAGCTGAGCCCATCTCACGCCACGTCCTCAGTCCTGGCCCCTGTGGTAGCGGTGTTGATGAGGTCCTCCTTGCCGATTTCACAGGTGTCAAAATGGCCTTTTCCTCAGCGCCCTTCCATGGGTGGGATCAGATGCTCCTTCCTCAGCCTTTGTCTTCCCGCTTCGAGACAGGACTGAGTGGCACTGGCCTGCAGGAACCAGGTTCCCCCTCCCTTCACCCCAGAAGGAAGCCCTCTGAGTGAGTGTCCACGGAGGAGGAGGGGCCGCATCCCACGCTGACCCACGTGGTGCCGGCCTGGCCACCTCACCACCCACCCGAGAAAGACACTAATCCCCTCCCTGCAGCATTGGCAGGAGGAACAAATGAGGTGACATTCGTAAAAGGAGAAAATAAATGTGGCTATTATTTCAGAGTAATTCTATGACTCTGGGCGCAGAGGGAAGAAATACGGTATTTAAGATGCAGGATGTCCTCTAAGGAAGCCAACAGCCCAATGGAGAAGGCAAACGCGGCCACAGCGCAAGACAGGCCAGTGCGCGGAAGGAGCAGAGGACAGCCCTTGGGAACTAAGAGGTCCCCCAGTGTGAGGGCTGAGCAGAGCAGTGCTGCGGAAGGGGTGACCCCCTCAAGCTAGGGACCTGCTGGAGTAGGGGATGCGGTGTTCCGGCAAGGCCCGTGCTGCCTGGTCAGAGGCTGCACCTGAGGCCTGGGGTGGCTGAGACACCGAAGGACCTAGACTTCTGGAAGCAGGCCCAGGGCTCGGAGTGCCCACCTTGCCCAGAGCTCACTGATAACCCGGAGAGGCCACCAATGCAGGCAGCATCTGCAGTGGGCCAGACCCAGGCTGTGCAGGAGGTGCCAGGCCTGGCCACGCTCCCACATCCCTGTCCCCCATCTCCACGGGGCACGCAGCCTCCCAGGAGCGGGGGGACAGGGAGGCAGCCCTGGGCGGTTGGGACAGATGCTGGTGGAAACAGCGGCTGGGACAGATGCTCAAATGAGGGCGCTGGCACCCAGGGTGCAGGGAAGGCTGCTGTCCTTGCTGTCCCTGCTGCCCTGAAATCCTGGCTCCCCCTGATCAGCCTGGTGCCCACCCAGCCCCATTCCTCATCCCGGCAAGACTCACACATGGGACACCTCCCCTGGACCCTCCTCCAGCCCAGTGTGGCTTCTCCTGGGACAGGCTCGCCTGGGCCCTCTAAGGCAGCAGGGCAGTGGCCCATGGGCCTCTTTCAGGCTCCCAGGGGAGAGTCTAGGCTGGGGCTGGGGGCTGCTGGAGGCCTCTGCCCAGTTTCTGCCTAGTGTTTCCCTGCCCGGGAGCAAGAACAGAGGCCCCACTTCCGCCTGCTGAGAGGTGTGCCAGGGTCTCTGGGATTTTGTTTCCTTACATTCTGTGGGGGCACTGACATCTCAAGCTGACTTCAGCTCAGGACCAGAACAGCAGAGTGGTCATGCCCTGGATGCCAAGGCCACGGGTCACTGTGGCATCTAAAACACTAGGCAGGGGAGGACGCAGGCAATGCAGGACCCTGGGGTGGGGAACATGGGCAGTGTGGGACCCTGGGGGGACCTCGGGCAGTGAAGGACCCTGGGGGGACCTCGGGCAGAGAAGGAGGACCTGAGTGGGGATGCGGGCAGTGCAGGACCCTGGGGTGGGGACATGGGCAGTACAGGACCCTGGGGGGGACCTCAGGAAGTGAAGGAGGACCTGAGGGGGGATGTGGGCAGTGCAGGACCCGGGCGGGGGGAACACGGGCAGTGCAGAACCCAAGGGGGGACAGGGGCAGTGCAGGACCTGGGGACACTGGGTGGGCTCCAACGGTCCCAGGACAGCCTGCCTCAGCTGCCTTCCGACAGGCGCTCTGGGCATGACCTTGAGGGCTGCTTGACCTTGGGGGTTCCTTGACCTTGGGGACCACTCCCCATTCCTGAGGGCTCCTTAAACTCAGGAATCCTTCAGGGTTCCTCCCTGGACCCTTGACTCAGAAAGTGCTCAGTACATGAGGGTGCTGGTGAAAATAAGCACACAGATGCGCGCACACACACACGTGCGCACACACATGCACACACATATGCACACACGTGCACACACATATGCACATCCGCACATGCACACACGTGTACACACATGCACACACGTGCACACACATCCGTACATGCACACACGTGTACACACATGCACACATGTGTACACACATACACACCCATATGCACACACACTGCACATGCACATAAACCACACAAACACACCACAGGCACACACACATTCACACGCACACACTCGCTCTCCGACAGGGCCCTTCGGCCTGCTCCCTGCTGCTGCTGGGTCATCCCTACCCATGCCAGCCCACTGCCTCCTGCCCTGTTCTTACCCACACGTGCCCCCATGTGGATCCATGCCCCTGGGAAGTGGATCCCATCCACAGTCTGAACTGGCCAGTCTGGAGGGGCACCTCACGGCTGAGACAGGGACGGCAGAAGGAAGACCCACATAGGAGGTGCCTACCCTGGCCCCAGGGCCTCAGGAGGGCAGAGGCTTGCGGGGTCTCCACTTTGTGATCTAGCAGCTGAGGCTCAGAGAAGCGATGTGTCCCAGGTCACAGACCTCACTAAGAGGGAGAGACAGAGCTTGGCCCAGACAGCATCTCTGAAGGCCAGCACTGAACGGGGAGCTGGGACAGGTTCCATGATGTGGGAGTGGCGGGCGAGCACCAGTGCCCAGGGTCACCCCTCAAGGGTGACACGGGGCCTGGGAAGGAAGTGCAAGGCTTCGATCAGGACCACGAGCACCTTTGCCTCGAGTGCTGGTCACCCTCCACCTCCTGACTCCTCGTGAGCTTGGCGAGGTTCTCTTTATTCTATCAATGGGGAAACTGAGGCTCGGAGAGGAAGCATGGCCGGCCTCAGGCCGTTGTGTGGAACGCCGCGCAGTGTGGCTTCCAGCCAGGCCTTCGTGACACTGCTCTACTGCCTGGGACAGAGAGGATGGAGACACTTGGCCCTGCCCCTTAGGTAGCAGTGGCCAGGACTGCCCCTAACCAAGGTCGTGCCCTTGGGGTGTGGCCTCTGCCTGCTCTTGTTGTCCTGCTGGGGCTGCACAGGGTGGCCAGTGGGGGCCCTGGGCAGAGGGTCCTGGGAGGCTGAGGACTATCTCTGAGTGTCTCATTTGCAGACTCCACTGGTGGCTCAGCTGGCCCAGGGCCCTGGGAAGGCGGCTCTCAGGCGCACAGGAGGCTGTGACCACCCCTAGAACACTAATGGATGGGGCCCATCTGTGGACATCCACACCTGCAAAGGGCTCTCCCCGGACCCTTCACCTTGGGGACGGAACCGGTTCTCTCCTTGGACGGGGCAGGTACTGCTCCCAGCAGCCTGAGTTAGGCGAGGCAGCGACCTCCTTCCCTCAGTGCATGGGGAGCAGAGGGAGCTTGGGCAGCCAGCGCTGAGGTTCCCGGTGCCTCCTGACCCAGGCAGCAGGGAGCTTCCTGGGAGGAACACCCCCAGGAGCCCGCATGGGGCTCATAGCAGGAGGACAGGCCAGGGTTCAGGCCCTTCTGCTCAGCCTCTGGGTATGGGGCTGCTCCTCAGGTATCAATGGTGGGGGCTGCTTTCCTCCCAGCACACTGACGCCTCTCCTCCCAGCTCTCACTGTGATACAGGAACGGGCTGGAGGCCCCTCTCCTGGCCAGGCTGCCCCATCCTGTCTCACTGTGCTGACCACAAAGCCACAGAATACATACTTCATGCCGTGCCTCTCCTCTGTGGGAGGGAACGGAGGACCCTCCAGCCCAGGCACCAGGGCACCCGATGGGGAAGAGGCCAGCCCAGGTGCTCCTGCAGCCACTGTAGCTCCGCCTCCTGCCCTCCCTCCCAGGAGAAACCCAGCCCCTTATGGGAAAAGCTGAGGCCTTGTCTGTCCACCTTGATGGCTCCAAAGACCAGTGACGTCTCCTTGGAAGGAAGCACAGACGGCCAGGCAGCCCGTGGCGCAGCCCCCCAGCCCAGCTGCCCAGTCCGAGATGCCCTATGGAAGAGCAGCTGGGGGGTACCTGGTGGTCCCACCCAGGTGGCCTCAGGTGTGGGCAGCAAGGAGGCTCTGGGCTCCAACCTGCTCTAAGTGGATGTCTCTGCAAAGGGGGTGCTTCAGACCTGGGCCTCCTTGGGGAGCTCTGTGTATGGCACCTGTGTGGGGCCAGCTCACGAGAACCTGGGGCCAGCCTCCCTACTGACAGCCTGGGCTTCCCCACCGGCCAGGGGAGGAATGAAGGAGAGCCGATGCCTGCCACACTCAGGCGGCCGCACGTCAGATCCGTGGAGGGACTCAGGGCGCAGTGTCTGTGTGGGGCAGCGATATTCAGGCAGGGATGACAGCCCCCCAGAGGGCTGCAGCCAGGCACTGCCCACTCGTCTGGGGCTGGGCTTCAGAGGCCATCCTTGTGGGTGCAGAAGAACCCAGGGGCTCACAGGCGGCACCGGCTATGCCGTGAGGGCTGCAGGCACTGTCTGCTCTGACCCTGGGGGTCCCTGTGCTGGCCCCAACCTGTCATCCCCACCAGCCTCACCAGCCACAGCCCCTCTCCCAGGACACCACGCCCAGGGAACAAAAGCCATGCTTATCAAAGGAGTTTTTCTTTATTTTTCATAATTTAGCTGAATCAACACAAAATTGAATACTGTAAAACAAGAAAAAAAAATATGCTGTAACATCTTAAATCTCCCGATCTCTGCCCTCGAAGGTGTCTACACTTGCTTTCAAAAGAAACAGGCGAGGGGGAGGCCGTGAGGACGCTGGCTGGCAGAGGCTGCCGGCCCGGGCCGCCGGAGCCGGGGCAGCTTGGGAAGGACCCTTTCCAGGCCCACCCCCTCTGTGATGACAAACCCAACCTCAGCCCCTTCTTTTAGTCCAGGATACAAATGCCTATAAATTTGTGGTGACTGAAAGGTAAATTATGTCCTCATGGATACCGGAACAGGTCTTAAATAAATGGATTTTCTTTCGTATCTTCAGTCTATGGTTGCTGGAACAGCTTCTATATAGTTATTTTTTTACGTTTTTTTTAGTAGGATAGAACTAGCATAATACTCATGTTAATTGGACTCATAGGTAGTATATACTTCAGCGGGAACTCAGGAAAATGAAGGAGGCTGGCGAACGACGGCCAGGGGAGAAAAACCAGAATTGTCGCTTATTCCTCGGCCCTGCCGGCCCCGCCTGCGCCTCTGCCCGGCGCGACTTTCTGGACCTAGTGACACGAAGACAGAGGACTTCTCAGAACGCGGGGACACAGGCGTGGGGAGAAGGGCCGTCAACTGGCCTCAAGGTCCGTGAGTGGCGAAAGGGGCAGGAAATGGGAAACAAAACCCATTGGAAGAAGCATGTTCAAGATATTGTACGCTCAAGTGTTGACCAATACAGGGACCAGAGAGGGAATCAGGAGCCAAGCCTGGCCCGCAGCGAGGGGAACCCGGCCTCCCCGGGCACGACCGACACATCCGGGACGCCGACGCCACGGTCCTCCGCACGCTTCTCCCAGAGTCCCGCCTTCCGTGCCTGGCACCCCGGGGTCCGCGGGGCACCACCTCCCCGCCGTGTCCCACCCCCAGAGTCTTCAGAAACACACGGGGCTCGGCCCGACTCTCAGGACGGCCGGGACTGCCACGTTAATTGTTAAATAGGATTTTCTACAAATATACAACATATAAAAACTGTTAAATATATAACTTTAGGCTTTGCAAAATACATTTAATGATCTCTTTCAAACAAGTGTTACTCGAGTTTTCTTTGCTTTCTGGAGCTAAATGGGGTATCGATGAGGCAGCAGTCACGGGAGACCCAACATGCTCTTGGCAGATACTGGATTATCCAACTATCAAAAATGGAGCTGTAGAAGAGGCATGTTTAACTGGTTAAAACAGAAAGGGATTTTAGTACGGTCAAGTTGATCTAAGTACAGAGGAATAAAGCGGCCTGCGTTCCCGGCGTCTGCGTGGGGGCCGTCGCTGCCTCCCGCAGGTGTGCCACGGCCTCCGCGCAGCCGAAGCCCGTCCTCCGAGGGTGCGCGGGGTGCTCCTGGGGTGGAGGCCTCCACCACGGCCGCCCTCTCCGCTCCGCCGGGGCCACCAGCATGTCTCTGCCACCATTGCCCTCCCGCCCGCACAAGCGACCCCAGGGACCCTGACAGTGAGGGTGCGTCCAGGTTCAGATAGATTTTGCTCTTTGGTCTATGGAGTATACTGAAAGTATAAGAAAATAAAAGCAATTCGGACAGTCTGGGGCACGGGAGGAGGCCGCTTCTGTGCCTGACAGTCCCCTGGGGCAGGCGTCGTGTCTCAGGCGGGCTGGGCTGCAGCCTTCTGTGGCTGCCGGAGCTGCCTCCTCCTCCTCCTCCTCTGAGGACAGCAGGGCCAACGCCACGGTCGGCGGGGGCTGGGCGCGGCCGGGCTCCCACAGACTGCGTATTGCTGATGCCAGGTGCCGCCCCCCGCCTATGTGTCTGAGTCCGGCCTCCTCGGGTCGGCTGGACAGACCGAAGCTCAGGATGCCAAGGCCTGAGGCCGTCCTTCACGGACCACAGGGAAACGGAGTGGGCGGGCGGCAGAGAACGGGTGAAGTCCGAGGCGAGTGGAGAACTGTGGCTGAGACGTGGGCTCTCCAGGGAGCCAAGGCCACTCCCGGGGCCCCTCAGGGGCTGTGTTTGTCAGGAGACCTGAGGAGCAAAGAGAGAGAGAGGGTGAGCCTCCTGCAGACGCTGCCCAGGGCCACAGGGAACACAGGCTCCTCTTCCCTCCCCGGCTCCTGCCAGCCGGCCTCCTGGAGGGCCTGAAACGAAGAGCTCATCCTCAGTGCTGTGAGGGACATCCAGGCCACCAGACAGTGCCCCCAAATCCCCACCCTTCCTTGTGTCTCGGGAGAGTGGGGCGCCCTCTGTGCACGACCTGGAGGGGCTGTCAGCCTCGGCCAGAGGCCTTCCCACCCCACTTGCCGGCTTCCTTCCTCTATGCAGCCATATCACTTTGCCACTCCACAGCTCAAGAACCATCTGTGGCTCCCTATTCCCTGTATCCAATTCAAACCCCTCCCAGCTTCCTGGGCCTCTGAGGCCACAGACTGCAGAGCTCACCCAGAATGGTCGCTGCAGGCTGGGGGACCTGGCCGCACCCCCACCACGGAGCCACCCTCCCCTGGCCATCCACGCCGGGCCTCTACAGGTCTGTGTGCCATTCCCGTGGCTGCCCAATCAAATGACCACATACTGGGGGATGGGGATCTGAAAGAGCAGTTAGTTCTTCTTGCCCAGACTCAAGGTGTGGACAGGGCCTGTTCCTGCTGGAGGATCTGAGGGAGGGTCCACTCCAGGCCCCCTAGGGGTTTCTGGTGCTCCAAGCAATCCTCAGTGCTCCTTGCCCGGGAGACGCATCGTCCTGATCTCTGCCTCCATCCTCACACGGTCCCCATGTCGACACAGACCCTGTCCCATCTGGCCCCGGGAGTATTCTCTTCAACAGGAGGCAGAGGCCCTGGGGCTCAGCTTCCCCCTGACACTCACCCTTTCCCTGGGCCCCAGGCAGCCCTGAGAATCTGCCCTTGAACCGACCTTGGCCAGGAAACTCATCATGGGACCCTGGCCCTGCTGAAAGTTCTGAGCCCACCCTGATGCTGTCTCCTGGGCGGGCACCTCCAGGCACCTGCCCACCTGGGTTAGGCCTCATCTGCCTTGTGTTAAATTCCTTACTCAGCCAGGGGCGGTGATGATGAGGGTCTCGCAACTGCAGGGCCTCCCCAAATCCCAGGTTCCGTCAGGGCCAGGGGTCATCTCCAGCACCCTGGCCAGCTGCGGTTCCTGAGCTCCTGGGCGCCAGTCACTGCTCTGGGAACGACCTTGCCGTCACCTTGTCATAGCCTCGTCTACCCAACGGGGCTGTGGGATTAGAACCCACACTCAACAGGACCTGAGGCTCAGGGGTGAGGGGACCTGCCCCGGGGACAGAACAGCCCCATGGCACACCTTTGAGACAGGGAGCCTCAGACGCCTTCCCAACCTGGCTTCCTGGAGCTGCCACCACGGCCGTTCTGCCTGTGGCCCAGCCAGCCCTCTCTGCCTGTGGACACTTGTGGCCTGGGTCACAGCTGGTGTGTCTCCTCACTGCACCCCTGGGGCCTGGAAAGGAAGCTGGCTCTGAGCTCCCCTCTGCTGGGTCCACGGGCGCTCGGTCATCCACAGTCCAAGGCCAAGGCCTGTGTCCTGCAGTCTGCAGCCGTTGTTCCAGAACCCAGTCCCCAGAGGGCTCAGAATTGGCCCCAGAGTGAGCTTGCCATCACACCGGGCTGTGGATGCCCAACAAGCTGGCATGAACGGTGTGGTCCCTAGCTGCCTGCTTCACCTGCGGGCACCTGATGCTTGGCCCACACAAGCCTTTCCATCAGGAGTGACCGGAGGGCGTGGTCCTGAGCCTGTGGAGCGCGTGTTCAGCTTACATAAGAGGTTTACCCTGTGCTCAGACACAAACAACAGAACCAAACCTCCCAGCTCCATTCATCCAGGTAAATGATACTTTCTCTTCCTCACTAGAAGTTTCCATCTGACGTTAAGGTCAGGAGGAGCCTGCTGTATGAAGGAACACGCTATTCTTTTTTTTTTTTTTTTTTTTTAGACAGAGTCTTGCTCTGCTACCCAGGCTGAAGTACAGTGGTGCGATCTCGGCTCACCGCAACCTCTGCCTCCCCCGTTCAAGTGATCCTCCTGCCTCAGCCTCCTGAGAAGCTGGGACTACAGGCATGCGCCTCCATGCCGGGCTAATTTTTATATTTTTAGTAGAGATGGACTTTCACCATGTTGGCTGGGCTGGTCTCAAACTCCTGACCTCAGGTGATCCGCTCACCTTGGCCTCTCAAAGTGCTGGGATTACAGGCATGAGCCACTGTGCCTGGCCAGAACACGCTGTCCTGAATGGAGCCCATACTAAAGGTTCCAGTAAACAGTAAGAAGAAAGCAGCAAGACAGCGTGAAGACCATGGTGCCACCTCCACGGACCCCTGGGACGAGGGACACTGTATCTTGGGAAAAACCCAAGTGGAATCAGGGAGGCCACTCTGGAAATACATACCGAATCCCAGCCATGTTCAGGAAGCCTTTGGCTTCTTTCCTGGGGCTGCTCCCTGAAGGTGCAGAGCCAGGTCACAACCAAGGCCCCAACGCTTCCTGCACCCCAAGGCCAGGTCCACGAGAAGGGCTGGAGCGGCTGTGGTTGGTTGCTGCTGTTCAAATCACCATGCAGAACATCAGGGACTCAGGCTACAGGGCATTCATTCTAGCAATCCCAGCAGGCGTCCTGAGCTGCAGCAGGTCATCTTCACAGG
This sequence comes from Homo sapiens, assembly GCF_000001405.40. Lineage (NCBI taxonomy): Eukaryota > Metazoa > Chordata > Mammalia > Primates > Hominidae > Homo > Homo sapiens. The sequence continues at coordinate 48,747,187 of NC_000022.11, read as the reverse complement.
GAACCTTCTCCAGTCCCAGGGCCCCTTAGTTCTTAGGCTGAGCAGCAAAGTGCATTAGGGCAGGGCAGGGCCGGGCGGGAATGGTGACACCATGGTGGCCTCCAGTCCTGTTGGCTCATGGTGTCCACTCCCCTGCCCTCCGCCCTCCTAGCCTGTGAACCACTCCTTCCTGGGCTCCAGGGCGTTGAGCCCACTCTGTAGGGTATGGGCGAGGGTCCTACTGGAAGGGAGGTGCTGGCCACCAGCCTCCTGAGGACATGGGGGTCCGGTACCCATCAGGCTGGTGAGCTGCCTGAGGATGGCTGCCGGGGTGGGACGGGGAGCTCAGCAGGCACCAGGCCCCAGGGGTGCGGAGCAGGCTGACCCTCTGCTGAGGAAGCAGGCTGCCATCCCAATCCACCCTGATGACAGGTGACGAGGCCCCTCCGGCTTCTGTCCTGTAACAAGGCTGGACTAGGCTGCCACCTGGTAGGAGGCCAAGCTAGAACCCCTCTTCCCAGGGCGGGGCACACCTCCCGGGTCCGAATGCTGCAGCAGCAATTACTATCTGAACATCCACTTACTCTCTGAGCGTCCCCCTGTGCCTCAGTTTCTCCATGTGTAAACACACACCCACTTCCTGAGTTAGTGCTATGGCTTGAAGAGATCTAATAGAGCCAGCACCACGTGAGCATCTCTCTTTTTTTTCTTTAACAAGACGGGGTCTGGCCTTGTCACCCAGGCTGGAGTGCAGTGGTGCGATTGCAGCTCACTGCAGCCTTGAACTCCTGGGCTCAAGCCATCCTCCCACCTCAGCCTCCTGAGCAACTGGGACCACAGGCACGTGCCACCATGTCCAGCTGATGTCAATGTCTCTTATGTTGAAAATGAGAGTGACGGGTGACTGGGGTGTCTGCCTGCCTGACGAGTGGGGTGCTTCCTGAACGGCACGGGGTGGAGGCCAGCCTGAAAGCCCAGAATGCCCTGGACGACTTCACTGAGAGCAGAAAGACAACACCGAGAAGGGCCAGGCCCAGTGCCAGCCAGAAACCACAAGGACAGGGGCCGGAGGCGACCAAGCTACTCAGCCCAGGCGGATCCTGGGGACACACGCCCTTTCCTTGAATGGACGCTGAATGTGCCCCAGTGAGGGACACAAGGACCCCAGCCCATCGCTGTCTCCTGGAGGCTGCATCCTGTGTGTGCAGCTCACACACCTCTCTCCCCGGGACAGTGTGCCCCTGCGGGTCTCACAGGTGGCAGCTCCCGCTCTCACGCAGGAGCTCAGCTCACCGGCCCGCCCTCCTCTGACGCGTGTGTGGTGAAGCGAGGCCTCTCAGGACCTTCCTTCCCGTGGTGCTGCCAGGAGAGGTGCCTGACACCAAGCTCCAGCCTGTGGGACCAGGGGCAGAAGAGCCACGGTTTATATGAAATCTTTGGGCCGGTGCTGACACCTCCCGGGCCCCCTCCAAGTACCCACGTGGACCACAGTGGACAGAAGAGGCATCTGACAGGAGGCACCGCTGCTGCCCCAGATGAACAGTCATCAGCTGAGACTGAAGACGGAGTGAATTCTAGGACCTCAGGTAACTCCTGTAACGCCAAAATACAGGGCTGAGCCATTGAACACTATGTCATGTGTGTGCTCAGGGTGAACCCCGGACAGGCCAGCTGCCGACGACAAAGCCGTGTGTGCCCATGCTCAGGGTGAACCCCGGACAGGCCAGCCGCCAACGACAAAGCCGTGTGTGCCCATGCTCAGGGTGAACCCCGGGCAGGCCAGCCGCCGACGACAAAGCCGTGTGTGCCCATGCTCAGGGTGAACCCCGGGCAGGCCAGCCGCCGACGACAAAGCCGTTGTGTGCCCATGCTCAGGGTGAACCCTGGACAGGCCAGCCGCCGACGACAAAGCTGTTGTGTGCCAATGCTCAGGGTGAACCCCGGACAGGCCAGCCGCCGCCGACAAAGCCGTGTGTGCCAATGCTCAGGGTGAACCCTGGACAGGCCAGCTGCCGATGACAAAGCTGTGCCCTGTGCAATGAGCCTGCTCCACCAAAGAGCCAGGACTGGGTAGCAGACTCGGGTTCAGGGCTCAGGGCTGCTGAGACACCCTCACAGGCTAATGGTCCCAGGGATGAGACAGAACCCACTCCTGCCGGGCGCAGTGGCTCACGCCCGTAATCCCAGCACTTTGGGAGGCCAAGGCAGGTGGATCACCTGAGGTCAGGAGTTCGAGACCATCCTGACTAACACGGTGAAACCCCGTCTCTACTAAAAGTACAAAAGCAGGCCATGGTGGTGCATGTCTGTAATCTCAGCTACTCGGGAGGCTGAGGCAGGAGAATCGCTTGAACCTGGTAGGCAGAGGTTGCAGTGAGCCGAGATCGTGCCACTGCACTCCAGCCTGGGCAACAAGAGTGAAAACTCTGTCTCAAAAAAAATAAAGAAAAGAAAAAAAGGAACCCGCCCCCTGCCTCCCAGGGCTGCGGAAGCACAGAGAAAAAGATGTTCGTAAAGGTGCTCTGGAAATGTAAGAAACCACCCAAGTTAGGACCGTGTCGCCGGAAGAGCACACAGGTTTAGCACCGCTCTCTAACGAGGAGGCTGTGTCTGCAGAGCGACTTTGCCGAGTGCCCTGCAAAGCCCATTTCCCCAAGGCTGCAGGGCTGAGGGAATCAGTGGGGGCTCTACAACTTGACTGGGACCCGGCTCCAATCCCACGAACCACACGGGTCATGGCCTGGGGAGGGCCACCAGGTATCGATGCCTCCAGGCCTTCCCTGCTCGCCACACCGCTCCAGCCTTCATCTCACGAGACTCCAAAAACATCTCCTTTTCAGGAGGTGAAGCTGCCCAAGGGTGGCCCTCATCTGGGGTCACCAGAGAACCACAGTCTGTGGCCCCCACCTTGGAGCCTGAGTCAGCCACCCTCTACAGAGCGATGCTCAACGCACAGGGCCCAGAGCTCCCCTCGGTCTCCTTGATCCCACCAAGAAATGTCAGGGACTAAGGGCCATCATGGAGCCAGCATCGTCCTTAGGGCCAGCCCCTTCCTCACGGCCGAAGACACACATTCTGGGAACGAGGCCACCCCCGTGCCGTGGGGCTGCACAAGTGCAGGGTTCAGGGATGACTCCATCTCGACAGAACAGCCTTGGCAGGCGCAACTCGGAGCTTCCCCGACGGCAAACCCAGCCCTAGGACTGAAACTACGCAGAAAAATTAACAAGTAAAATCCCCCAAACTCATCACGACTGGTGTGATCACTGAAGCCAGACACAGTGCCCCAGGCCACCAAGCAACACTCGGCTGCTGTAGGGCAGGTGGGGGCATCGGCTGAGGAATGTGCGGACGGATCATCTGTTTATCTGTCAAACATTTATCCATCTGCCATAAACAAGGCACCTGACTCAGGAGGGCGGCAAAGACGAATGCAGGCAGGGTTCTTTCCCTCAGGGTAGAGGAGCTCCCCCAACACAGCTGGGCTGGCAGATTGGACATCAGAGACGTCAGCGCCTCGGCTGCCCACGGCGGGGCCCAGCTCCCCCACAGTCCGCTCCTGGCCGTGGTACGCCGGAATGAGGACGCACCTGGCAGCCCTCCCCCTCCTCCATGAGCTCAGGAATGAAGACTGTGCTGTACTAGACTTAGTCCTCTGTTGAGGCTGAACTGTGTTCTACAGTAACAGACATGAAGATCCTGACCCCATACCTGTGCATGGGGTCTTACTTGGCAGCAGGTTCTAGCAGATGTGATCGAGTTAGAATGGGGTCGTATCAGATTAGGGTGGATACCACTCCCTTACAGGGAGAAGGAAATCTGGACTCAGGGCAAACACACAGAGCAGCAGGCCCCATGCAGACAGAGACAGAGGCGGGAGCCACGCAGCCACAGCGGCTGCAAGAGGCAGGGAGGACCCTCTGCTGGAGCCTCCCAAGGGAGCACGGCCCAGCAGACACCGTGACCACAGACGTCTGGACCCCCGAACCGGAAGAATGGCAGGAGGAGGCAGGGAGGACCCTCTGCTGCTGCCTCCTGCGGGAGCACGGCCCAGCAGACACTGTGACCACAGACGTCTGGACCCAGAACAGTGAGAACGGGTTTCATGGTTTGAAGCCACCGGGTGTGTGGCATTTTGTTCCAGCGGCTCCCGGAGACTCACACAGCTTGGACACTGTGCCTGACCCGAGTGAGTCCTGGGGATGTTGACTGGAATCCGGGGGCTGCTGAGCCTGCGTCCCAGGGCTGGGCTGAGGGCGGGGCCAGGCAGCATTGCCCCAACATGTCCGCACTGTGGGGGCCCCGCGTGTGGGCTGCATGGAGGCAGCAGAGGGCCCTCCTCACACCGTCAGTCCCTTGGGCTTCATCGCACCTGAGCTCCCAGCTGGGGACTCAGCCCCGCTGAGCACCCCAGGCCATCTCTCCTCTTCTAATACACCATGCTGCCCAGTCCACCATAATGCCTGCTCCACTGTGCTGCCGGCTTCACCACACCACCCGGCCCACCACGTCGCCTGGTCCATCACACTGCCCGGTCTACCACGTTGCCTGGTCCACCATGCGGCCCGGTCTACCACGTTGCCTGGTCCACCATGCGGCCCGGTCCACCATGTCGCCTGGTCCATCACGCTGCCCAGTCTACCACGTTGCCTGGTCCACCATGCGGCCGGGTCCACCACGTCGCCTGGTCTGCCACGCCACCGGGTCCACCACAACGCCCGCTCCACTGCGCCGCCAGCTCCGCCACACAGCACCACCCGCTCCACCCGTCTCCTGCCCCACCTGCTCTGGCTGGGCTCTTGCTGTGTTAATGTGGGCTCTGACTAAAACTGTGCTTGACTCTGCTGTCTGTGTCCTCCGCTGTGAAGCAGGTTTCTCAACACCAGGACCATCCTCGTGGGGGTCAGTTCTTTTCCCGAACCTGGCAGGGGCCCCGTGCACCTGTGCCTGGTGAAGGATGAGGGGCCTGTGGGGTGGGGCAGGGCTGTGCCTGGTGAAGGATGAGGGGCCTGTGGGGTGGGGCAGGGCTGTGCCTGGTGAAGGATGAGGGGGCCTGTGGGGTTGGGCAGGGGAGCCGGTGCAGCCAGACCCCTCCAGAGCCTGGCAGGTGCCCCGACCTCCCACAGCCTCCCAGCTGGAGCCTCTGGGAGCCCCAGTTTCCCCGTCTGTAACACGGGATAGGAACAGTGTTTACCCCCAACCATGGGGTTCTTAACAAAAAACTGTTTAATTTCAAGAGTTCAGCCTAAGAGAGAATGCAGGGCACTTTTTCTATTGCAGAGTATAACTCAGAATAAAGAAGAAAAGCCACAGCGACCTTCCTCATCAGCTTCTACAAGCGTTCATCCAGAAGGCTGCCGTGTTATTGCTGGAGCTGCTGTAACCAGGTACCCCAGACTGGATGGCTTGAACAAAGGACATTCGCTGTCTGCAGCCCAGGAGGCTGGACGTCTGGGATCCACAGGTGCGGCAAGGCTGGCTTCTGAGGCCCCTCTCCTCGGCGTGCAGATGGCATCTCTGAGTCTGCACAGGCTCAGCCCTGTGTGTGTCTGTGTCCTCACCTCCTCTTCTTAGAAAGACAGGGTTCTCTTGAATCAGGACCCTGGACCCCAAGGATCCCACTTAAGCTTCTCTCCTTTAAGGCCCTATCTCCAAATACATTCAGACTGGGGGTCAGTGCTTAAATGTATAGATTTGGGGGATGCCGTTCAGTCCAAAAGAGCTGCTGAGGGGCTGACCTGTGGACTCAGGGACTTGAGGACTCTCTCTGAAGTTCACATGCAGAAAATGCCTAGAGTCCCGCCACCTTCCCCTCCACGCCCGACGCAGGAGGTGCTGGGGAACATGCCGGGTGACTCCCAAGGTGCCCAGATGGGACCCAGCGGTGAGGACGGTTCCAGCTTTGCAGGGAGGGACCCAGGGGTGAGGACGGCTCCACCTTCGCAGGGTGGGACCCAGCGGTGAGGACGACTCCGGCTTCGCAGTGTGGGAACGGGGGGCAGGATCTGGGCTGGGCAGCTCACCAAGGGGCTGGGGTGGAATCACGGACTCCTCACTTCCCAGAGCCTCATTTTCTCCATCTGTGCGGATAAGGACCACAGCCAGGGTGGTGGGAACACCCAGAGTCCAACACAACAGCGCTGTGAGCGCACCTCGGGGACGCTGGGTCTCCACTTCCTACATCCTCGGGGACGTTGGGTCTCCACTTCCTACAGGGATGACGCAGCCTCCCTGAGCGCTGACTCGGGGCCCTGCGAGGAGGCAGATGGGACCTGCGGCCATGTTCTCATCACTGCTGCCATTTCTAAGGCTGTTTACCTGGCACAGTCCCAGGGTTCTCAGGGGTGAGGGCGGGGGGTCACTGAGCTCCCCTGAGAACAGGGCAATTGTGAGGCCTGCCGGGGGCATGTCCTCAGCACGGTGCCTGCAGACCCTGCGAGGCCACATCGCAGCCACCACATCTCTGTGAACTGCCCCCAACACCAGGGCTGGGCTCTCGTGTGTGAATCTCCATCAGGGGTGGACACGTGACATGCTGAGCCCATCTGCTCTCTCTGGAATCTGTCCCTGGCTGAGAGTGTGGGCCAGTGACGGTGCTGGACCTTCGCTGAGACGGTTCTGAAGCCACGACGCTGCCACGTGCTTCCACGTTAGGAAGGAGACAGTACGAGGCAGATCCGCCAACTGAGGCCGGGGCACAGCTCCATCCCTGCCCCCCTGGTAAGCCCACTTTTGCTCACTAAGCAGTGGGAAATGGTTACTATTCCTTGCAACCAGAGAGTGAAGGCTATTGCTGTGTCTTATCTGCAAACACACAGGGAGGGGCCGGAGTCTGGAGGCTCTGTGAGTCCTCAGAGCCACGCAGCCAATGCGGGGAGGCTGGCTCTGCGACCAGCTCGTCTGCCCCAGGGCCCCCGCTCCTGCAGCCACCTCCTGCCCTGCCGTCCTCCCAGCCAGGGAGGCCACACCCAGCAGGGTGGGGTATAGGCTTCTCCTTGGGGCTCCTAGTTAGCAAAGTCACTGTTGGGTCCTGTTAGGAAAAGCCTCGAGCATCCATTCACCCTCTCCAGGGTTGGAGGAGAGGGGCCTGCAGCGTGAGCTCCTCCCTGTGCTAATTAAGGACAAGCCAGCTGGGATGGGCATGGGCAGCAGTGTCCAGGAGGATGGGCACTTGGTGGGTTCTAAGGAATCAGCACATCCGGACACCGATCAGACTCCCACTTAGAAAGCCGACCTGCAGTCCTGGACAGTTGAGGGTGCAGGGCCCCCAGAGCTTCTGCTGACTCAACGTCCTGACGGCCAGATTGCTGCCATAGACCATGGAGTAATCGTGCCTCGCGCCGGGGAATAAAGGGAGCTGTGCACGGCAAATGCACGGGGAGGCGCTGTCAGCTCTGAGAGGGAAGGATGGCACCAGGAGAACCAGTCCACAAGCAATGAAAGCAAGCCCACGACAAACACAGAGAGGCAGGCGGAGCCATCACATGCTCCTCCCCAGATCTGCTCAACACTTCATCCTTTATTGGTCATTGTTAACCTGAGCAGCGAGCTCGAAGATCAGTTATCACCTCTGGACACATCTGGGCTGCAACAGATGTCTAACCTTGTGTCAGCAATTACAGTGCCGGCCACTCACCCACCCCAGAGGACACAGCACCTGCATGCAGGTGTCCTCGGGCTGAAGGCAGGAGACCGCCCTAACCAAGGCTGGGATTAGTGTGCACAGGCATTCGCTATGCAGCCCTTCTGTGCCATGAGGTGGAGAGCTGGGGAAGGAAGCAGAATGGGCAGTGCCAGGGCCCTGGAAAGGAAGGCGTGTATTCTTTCGCTTAGCTTTGACAGAACCAGACCGCAGTCTCAACATTTTCTGCAAGTTGCTAAGCTGTAAGAACACATATTTCTTGGTTGGTTAAATAGTCTAGCATACTTCTCTGGGAAAAAAAAATATTTAATTTAAATATGGGAAAATTATATTTCTGTCTTTCCAATGGTATATTTCCTCTCTTTGCCTCATAGCTATCTTTGGGTCTTTGAGAAGTTCCTAGAAGCTTCCAGAAACTGGGCCCTGGTGCGGGGGAGGGTTCTCAGCAGTGCTGGGGTAGTGGTGGGCTGCAGTTTGCTATTTCTATGGAGCTGCTGCTTTTGCAGATAGACCACGATTTTTCCTTTTTGGAGAAGGGAGCAAAGCATTAAGGTTCATTGTTTTGAATCACGAATACCAGGATCCAGGTGAGATGCTCATACGAGGGGTGGCTTGGTTTATAATCCAGTGGTGAAAGGAGGAGCCGGTGACAATGCATTTGGGCCATGAAGGCAGCGTCCCATCTTGGCCCTGAATTCTGAGCAGCAGCAAGGTCAAGGTGCCATGTCGGGCTGCCTGCGACGGCCGATTAACTCTCAGGACTGAAGACAGAGCCACAAGTGGCAAAAAACACGGAGCTCCTGAGGGCTGACCCAGCGGCTGCCTGGTTATGCATCATGGAAACTAACACACCCTGCCCGGGGAATGTTGGCTTTTTATACCTCTTAAATTAAAATAACCCGTTTAGGAGTGTGCACATCATGGCCTCCCTCACTTAATAATGTGATTATTGGCGCAGATGGTCTCAGGTGAGGAGGCTGTGGTGCAATCACTCCTCACTGGGGTGAGTAGAGGGTCCTGGAGGGACTGAGCTGGGGGGCTCTGTACAAGGAGTCAGGAGAGGCCAGAGGCAGCGAGATGAGACTCAGGAGCACAGGCGTGGCCTTCGACCTTCCCTTGCTGTGCGCCCAGAGGCCCAGGAGTGGCTGCCCGGGAGGAGTGCTGACTGGGACACCCGCTGGGCTGCAGGGGACATTCTGTGTCTGACCTGGGGGCCCCCATGTGGGTTTGGTGACATCACAATCCACGCAGTGGTACCTTTAAGATGTGTGTGTTTCACTGCTGAGAGCTATATCTCAATTTTAAAAACAATATAGACATTCCGGGGGCTTCCCTCCTTTCCTCCAGTGACAATAAGGCCCTCCCCATGCTGGGCTCCCCGTGCTCGGCTCCCAGTTCTGCAGGCACTGCCCTGCTCAAGAAGGAAATTTCACACTTGGCCCCGGCAGCCAGGCTCACTGCAGCAGGCCACCCATTCCGTCCACTCCAAAGGTGGGTTCCTGGACTCAGCCTCACTGAATTCTAAATGAGAGGACCCAGGATCTCCCTCATGTCCTCCAAAGGAGGCCAGAGCCCCCCCAACAGCATCCCCCAGGGAAGGCCCCCACACAGGCAACCGCAGGAGGCACAACAGGGCTGCACAGTGACCGCGGCCCTCACTCATCACTCAGCATCTCACGCTCGGTCCAGCTCAACCCCACCTCTGACCTCAGAGGCTGCAGCTCCCTGGGAGGTGGAAGCCGCCCTCCCTGGCCACAAGGCTGCCCATTTGCCCTGCGGAGGCCCTGGGGCCAGTGTTCACACCTGGAGCCACAGTCACATCCAGCGCTAGGGAGCAGGGCTGGCATCTCCATCCCTGAGGCTGCACTGGCCTTGGGAACTGCCCACCTCTCGGGCAACATCGAAGGGCGTGTGAAGGACGTGGCTCTGCCACTTCCAACCTTCCCCTTCCGTGCTGTGCCATGGTGCAGCTCTGAAGCTCTGTCCCTGTGCCCAGGCTCACCCAGCACAGTGTGCGGTGCCCTCTCCCAGCCCCAGGAGAAGACCCCGGCTGGCATCAGGGGCGACCACAGCATCTCGGCGACTGCAGCTCCACAGCCTCATTCAGTTGCGAGTTCATGGGTGGACAGCATTGAGGGGACCAGGGACAGCAGGGCAGGCTCAGGGGCGCTCCTCAAAGGCAGCGTCAGAAGCACCTCCCACTAGGGCAGCTCGGGGTCCCTAAGGCCAGGCGCTGCCCTCGAGCTGTGGGGGCCAAGTAGCTTCTGAAGCTCAAGGTCAAAGCCCAGCCACGTTCTCAGGTTCCCTGTCTCATGGTCTTTGTCCTGTGTCCACGTTCAGGACAAATGGCCATTTGGGGTGGGACAGGCCTCTCTGTGTGGCCAGGTGTCTGGCCTCTGAGCTCGACACGGGGCAGAGTCCTCACATCAACAGAGGTCAGGAGAGGGGCATGGTGGTCTTGCCAGGGCAGCCCCCACCTGCAGCTGCTGTGCTGTCAGAGCAGAGCCCCTGGGGACCAGGGGAGAGACGGGTCAGGGCCTCTCTGCCTCAAATACCAGGCTATGCCTAAGTACCTGTGTGCTGCAGTTTTATTGAGATATGATTCACATACAATAAAATTTGCCACTTAAAGCATCAATTCCCAGGTTGGGCGACCATCACCACAGCCAACTTTAGGACACCTTCATCTCCTCGAAAGCAACGCCATACCCGTCAGCAACCACTCCCCATCTCCGTCCTGGACCCTGGCGGCCACGGGCCTTCATTCGGCCTCTGTGACCTTGCCTGTTCCGGAAGTTTCACATCACTGGGCTCCAACAGGGCAGACTTCGGTGACTGGCTTCCTTCACTCGGCGTCATGTTTCCGAGGTTCATCCGTGTTGCCGGTTCATCAGAATGCCATTCCTTTTTAAGGCTGAATAATATTCCAGTCATGGCTGTATATGAAGGTTGTTTTTCCGTGGGACCGCTGACGGACACTTGGGCTCTTTCCACTTTCTGGCTGTTGGGAACGGTGCTGCTAAGAACAGGCGTGTACAGGTTTGTGTGTGGACATGTTCTCATTCCTCCTGGGGGGATGGACCCTAGGAGTGCGGTTCTCATTCCTCCTGGGGGGATGGACCCTAGGAGTGCGATTCTCATTCCTCCTGGGGGGATGGACTCTAGGAGTGCGATTCTCACTCCTCCTGGGGGGATGGACTCTAGGAGTGCGATTCTCATTCCTCCTGGGGGGATGGACTCTAGGAGTGCGATTCTCATTCCTCCTGGGGGGATGGACTCTAGGAGTGCGATTCTCATTCCTCCTGCGGGGAGGGACCCTAGGAGTGCGATTCTCATTCCTCCTGGGGGGATGGACTCTGGACTCCAGGAGTGTGATTCTCATTCCTCCTGGGGGGTATGGACTCTGGACTCTAGGAGTGCGATTCTCATTCCTCCTGGGGGGATGGACTCTAGGAGTGCGATTCTCATTCCTCCTGGGGGGATGGACTCTAGGAGTGCGATTCTCATTCCTCCTGGGGGGAGGGACCCTAGGAGTGCGATTCTCATTCCTCCTGGGGGGATGGACTCTGGACTCCAGGAGTGCGATTCTCATTCCTCCTGGGGGGATGGACTCTGGACTCTAGGAGTGCGATTCTCATTCCTCCTGGGGGGATGGACTCTGGACTCTAGGAGTGTGATTCTCATTCCTCCTGCGGGGGATGGACTCTAGGAGTGCGATTCTCATTCCTCCTGGGGGGATGGACTCTGGACTCTAGGAGTGTGATTCTCATTCCTCCTGCGGGGGATGGACTCTAGGAGTGTGATTCTCATTCCTCCTCGGGGGATGGACTCTGTGGACTCTAGGAGGGCGATTGCTGCCTCCCTTGGTAACTCCATCATTTTCAGCCACTGCCAAACTGTCTTCCAAAGCATCATGAGTACAAATTTCAGATTCTCTCCACAGAGTGCCTAACTGCTTTCTGCTTTCCAGAGAGACTGGCGGATCTTCATTCCTATTAGCATCCTTTAAGTCAGCTCAAAAGGAGATCAGATAAAAAGAAAACAAATGAACCTGAGTGGCCTCTGTGTGGGTGTTTTGGTCGCCCTTCTTGACAGTGACTGTCTCTGTCATTTTTTCTGGCTGCTTCCATTTCGTATTTTGGGAATTCTCTATTTGCGGACTTTGCCCATCTTCCTGTGGACTGTGCGTCTATCACAAGGTTATGAGACACGCTGGCCAGCTGTGATCCACCTCCTGCTCCCCACGCTGTGATCTGTCTCCTAGCGTCATGCATGTGACTGGACTGTCCTACGTTTGAGGTTCTGAGGTCAGTCGGGGTGGCTAGAGGAGATCAGGGGCTCCAGCTCCCAGCTCCTTGGTAGGATCCCAGCTCTGTGGCTCGTGGGTGGTCTTCAGGACGTTACTTAGCACCTCCGTGCCTCCGTTTCCTCATCTGTAAAACGGGATGAGAACAGTCTGCAGCCCATGGGCAGCTGTCGGAATGAATGAGTTAATCTACCTGAGTGCCTAGGTGCACAGGGTCAGGCGTTTGCTGTCATCATGGATTTCTCCGATTGAGTTTACAATCGCAGCGTTCTTCCTCACGCCACATGCAGATCAATATTCCCCTCCACTTCCTCCTGGTCATCTCAGAGTTTCCTTTATCCTTTACTCTGCAATACCAGGGGAATTTAGTTTTGAACATGGTGTGAGGTAAGAGTCCAACTTGGGTTTTTCCCCAAATCCAAAGCTGATTTTCCCAGCACCTGCTGCTGGTGACCCTGTCCCATCCTCACTGATTTGAGATGCTCACGACATCCGTATCACCTCTCAGGAACACCTGGGTTCATTTCAGGACGGGGCTGTTCACTTGGCCTCTTCTGTGGATCAGAAAACAGCAGTCAGAAGAGCTAACATTTTAGCATTTACTTATGTGCTGGGACTTTGCCAAACATGGTCCTTGTGTTAACTCCTGAGGCAGGTCACAGTGGTGGGGCCCAGGCTTGGGCCAGGCAGGCCGCCCCAAAGCCCAGAGCCGCTCACACACTGCCCAGAGCCCAGACGGCTCCTCTCCTGCTGTTCACACACGTGTCTACACCAGCAGGACGAGGACACCTGGGTGAGTCTTCCGTTCCAAAGTCTTTGACGCCCGAGACTGAATTACACTCTAGGATAAAACGTAAAATCATCTTGTGAAATTCTGAAAACCCATGGGAAACTGGATTCAAATCTTACTAAATGTAAAGATTAACTTTTGAAAGAACAGCTGGCCTCACGATATTTCGCCCTCCACTCCCCATGTCAGCGTCTATGGCATCTTTCATTTGTTCCAGACTTTTCTCATTTCTCACGGGAAGTCTTTACATTTTACACAGGTGCCAACCATTTCTTACTCATGTTCTTTCAAGTTACTTTCTGTTTTCTGCTGTGATCAATAGTTTTCCCCTCTCATTTATTTCATGCATTTATTGTAATTAAATCATTAGTTTGAAACACATGTGCTTGGAAGTCAGCAGCAACGGTTTTTGTGTACGGTAGCTCCCTTTTTTGCATATGCAGAGTGGACTTCTCCTAAAGGTGACCAGCAAATTCACCACTTTCCCATCCTGACCAACACTGTGCAGGCGGCTGCCCATTCCAGCTCTTGGCAGGTGGGGCTGAAGAACTTTTATTAGTCTGGTCCAGGGGTTGGCAAACTTGTGCTGCAAAGAGTCAGACAGTATATGCATTTGCAGCTCTGGGGCCATAGGTTCTGTTTTGCCACTGCTGAACTCTGCTGCTGTGGCTCCCACCCATCTGTAGACAATGTGCGAATGAACACACGAACGGATGGGCCTGATTTGGCCTGCAGGCTGGAGTTTGCTGAACACAGATCTACACCACAGACTGGGTCTGTGAAAACTTTAACATTGGATACAAGCAGAGAACTTTCTATACTCATACTCGGTCCAGTTTACTGAAATCTTATTAGTTTCCAAGGCATTTCAGCCAATCTCTAGAGTTTCTGAAGCACCTGCTTACCTCACCTGCAAGTAACAAGGATCGTTATTTTCTCATATCACACACTGATGTGATTGCATTTGCCGGAACGTCCAAAAAGTCACCATGCAGGACTCCCCTGAAGGTTCCATTTGAAGAGACATAGGGCAACTTGCCTGTGAGGGTTCCATTTGAAAAGACATAGGGCAACTGGGTTCTGTGTCCCAAAATCTCAGAGCTGGAGGCTGAAGCACATGCTGGCTTGGGTTTCAGATGGACGCTGGGCCCTGGGTGGGCCTGCCCTACCCTCCAGGCTGACTGGAGGTCTGTGGCTTTGGTGCTTTTGCTCATTTGATTTGTTTTGTAATGAGTAAGACTGTGTCCCCCTAGTGACTTTCCCAGCATCTATTGAATTAGAAGACTTTTTAAAATATTCAGTCTGGTGATATAGTCATTCTACCTGATTTTGAAATACAGGCATACCTCAGAGATATGGTGGGTTCAGTTCCAGACCACCGCAATAAAGTAAATATCACGATCAAGAGAGTGACACAAATTTTTGGTTTCCCAGTGCATATAAAAGCTATGTTTATATTATACTGCAGTCTACTCAGTGTGCAAACACATCATGTCTAAAAAAAGTACATACCTTAAAAATAAGTTAGTGCTAAAAATGCTAAGGATCATCTGAGCCTTCCGGGAGTCGTCATCTCTTTGCTGGTGGAGGGTCTTGCCGCGATGCTGATGGCTGCTGACTGATCAGGGCGGTGGTTGCTGAAGGTTGAGGAGGATGTGACAATTTCTTAAGACAACACTAACGTTTGCTGTATCGATTGACTCTCCTTTCATGAAAGAGTTCTCTGTAGCATGCGATGCTGTTTGAGAGCATTTTAACTAGAGAAGAACTTCTTTCAAAATCGGAATCAATTCTCTCACACCTGCCGCTGCACTGTCAACTAGGCCTATGGAATATTCGAAATCCTATGTCATCATTTCCACAATGTTCACAGCATCTTCACCAGGGGCAGATTCCATGTCAAAAAAACACTTTCTGGCCAGGCGTGGTGGCTCACGCCTGTAATCCAGCACTTTGGGAGGCTGAGGCGGGTGGATTATGAGGTTAGGAGATCGAGACCATCCTGGCTAACACGGTGAAACCCCGTCTCTACTAAAAATACAAAAAATTAGCTGGGCGTGGTGGCGGGCGCCTGTAGACCCACCTACTCGGGAGGCTGAGGCAGGAGAATGGCGTGAACCCGGGAGGCGGAGCTTGCAGTTCCAGTGAGCCGAAATTGCGCCACTGCACTCCAGCCTGGGTGACAAGAGCAAGACTCCGTCTCAGAAAAACAAAACAACAAAAAAACCCACTTTCATTGCTTATCCCCAAGAAGTACCTCCCCATCCGTTCAAGTTCTATCCTGAGATTGCAGCAGTCCAGTCCCCTCTTCAGACTCCACTTCCAAATCGAGTTCTCTTCCTACTTCCATCACATCTGCAGTGATTTCCGCCACTGAAATCTTAAACTCTCTCAAAGCCATGCATGAGGGTTGGATTCAACTTATTCCAAACAGGTGTTAATTTTGATGATTTTGACCTCCTCCCATGAATCACAAATGCTCTTAATGACGTCTAGAATGGTGAATCCTCTCCACAAGGTTTGCATTTGACTTTGCCCAGGTCCATCAGAGGAATCATGATCTATGACAGCTATAGCCTTATCAAATGTATTTCTTAAAGAAGAAGACTTTAATTTCAAAATTACTCCTTGATCCATGGGCTGCAGAATGGATGTTGTGTTAGCAGCATGAACACAGCATTCATCTCCTGGAACATCTCCATCCGAGATCTTGGGTGATCAAGTGCATTGTCAATGAGCAGCAATATCTTGAATCTTTTGTTCTGAGCAGTAGGTCTCATCGGTGGGCTTAAAGGATTCAGTCAACCATGCCATACACAGATGTGCTGCCATCCAGGCCGTGTTGTACGTTGTATGGAGCACAGGCGGAGTAGGTTTGTTTAATTCTTCAAGGACCTGGGGTTTTCAGAATGGAAAATGAACTCCAGCTTCAACTTCAAGTCACCAGCTGCATTAGCCTCTAACAAGAGAGTCAGCCTGTCCTCTGGTGCTTCGAAACCAGGCACTGACTTCTCTCTAGTGGGAAATCCCACAGTGGGCGTCTTCTTGCAATAGAAGGCTCTTTCATCTACATTGAAAATCTATTGTCTAATGGAGCCACCTTCATCAATGGTCCTGGCTGGATTTTCTGGAGAACTTACTGCAGCTTCTCCAACAGCAGTTGCTGCTTCACCTTGCACTTTTATGTAGTGGAGACAGCTTCTTTCCTTAACACTCATGAGTCAACGTCTGCTGGCTCCAACTTTTCTTCTGCAGCCTCCTCCCTTCTCTCAGCCTTCACAGAATTCGAGAGAGTTGGGGCTTGCTCTGGATTAGGCTTTGGCTTAAGAGAATATTGTGGCTGGTTGGATCTTGTCTCCAGACCATTAAAACTTTCTATCCCTTTCTTATCATTCGTATATTCACTGGAGTAGTACTTGCATTTATCTTCAATAATTTATCCTTTGCTCTACAACTTGGCTGACTGGTGCGAGAGGCCTAGCATTCAGCCTGTCTCAGCTTTCGACACGCCTTCCTCACGAAGCTCGATCACTTCTAGCTTTTGATTTAAGGTGAGAGACGGACGCCTCTTCCTTTC
Organism: Homo sapiens; assembly: GCF_000001405.40. NCBI lineage: Eukaryota > Metazoa > Chordata > Mammalia > Primates > Hominidae > Homo > Homo sapiens. The sequence continues at coordinate 48,730,893 of NC_000022.11, read as the reverse complement.
ACTTGAACACTTAGAGGCCACTGTAGGGTTATTAATTAGCCTAATTTCAATATTGTTGATTCAGAGAACAGGGAGGCCCGTGGAGAGGAGAGACGGGACTGGCCGGTCAGTGGAGCTGTCAGAATGCAGAAAACATCCATCTGTGAAGTGTGCCATCTTACACGGGCATGGTTTGTGGTGCCCCAAGACAACTGCCATAGTCACATCAAACCTCAATGATCACAGATCACCGTAACAGATATAGTAATAAAGTTTGAAATACAGGGGAAATTACTAAAACGTGACACAGAGACACAAAGTGAGCATACGCTGTTGAAAACATGGTGCTGTCAGACTGGTTCAAGGCAGGGCTGCCACAAACCTTCAATTTGTGAAAACGGCAATATTTGCAAAGTGCAATAAAGCAGAGTACAATAAAACAAGGTGGGCCTGTAGCAAGACGCACTTTTGTTGCTCATGTTGGCTCCACCGCACTGCATGTGGCCTTTTCTTTCTTTCTTTTTTTTTTGAGACACAGTCTTGCTCTGTCGCCCAGGCTGGAGTGCAGTGGCGTGATCTCGGCTCACTGTAACCTCCACCTCCCGGGTTCAAGCGATTCCCCTGCCTCAGCCTCCTGAAAGTAGCTGGGACTATAGGCACGTGCCACCATGCCCAGCTAATTTTTTTGTATTTTAGTAGAGATGAAGTTTCACCAGGTTGGCCAGGATGGTCTCAATCTCCTGACCTCATGATTCGCCCACCTCGGCCTCCCAAAGTGCTGGGATTACAGGCGTAAGCCACCGTGCCCAGCCTCTTTTTTTTCTTTTAAAGGACTCAGAATTCAGTGTGCTGTTATTTTATGTAGGTGTGAGCAATGTGTGTGCCATGCAGTACTAACACCAGAGGATGCACATTCCAGGGACACGGATCCCCAGAGGCGGCTGCTGCCCTCGGGACAATGCTGGGTGGGTGTATGCAGCTGCTAGGCTGCTTGCTGAAGGAATTGCGTGCCTGACACGGTGCCTGGCCCACATCACAGACTCAAAAGTCTTTGTGGAAGGAGATGATAATTGGAACTTTTTTATCTTTTGGGACACTTTCTAAAATATTTCAGTTCCTAAATATATATTTATATATTTATATTTAAATTTATATATTTCATATTTAAATTTATATTTATGTTTTATATTTAAATTTATATTTATATATTTAAAATAAATTTAAATATAAACTTATAAATTTATATTTATTTATATTTTATATAATTAAAAATTACATAAACAAAATTTCCAGATTTAGTGATCAATACACTAGCTACACATACCACATACACTTGTGAATAATTTTTCCTTTGCTCTACAACTTGACTGACTGGTGTAAGAGGCACAGCTTTCAGCCTGTCTTAGCCTAGTAATCTGATTCCTCTTTTCAGATTTATATTTGTGAATTTATATTTTATACAGATTTATGTTTATGAATTTATATTTTATACGAATTTATAATATAAATATATTTATGACTATTATATATTTACATATATTTATAAATTATTATATACTAATATAAAAATATATATTTACAAATAAATATAAAAATATTATATATTTATAAATAAATATAAAATTATTATATATTTATAAATAAATATAAAATTATTATATATTTATAAATAAATATAAAATATTTTAGTTCCTAAGATAAACTGGATGATTTTCCATATTTTCCAATATTTGGGAAAAGAAACCTGAACACTTAATATTTTAAGCAGCGTGCCTATTAAAGTATTTCTCTCTGAAAATTTTACTGAAGAATATTAACATTTATCTATTCCTTCAGTTATGTATGGTAGTTTTTCCCCTAGAAAAAATATACATTTAATAAAAATTTCCAGATTTAGCGATCGATACACTAGCTATGCATACACTTGTGAATAATTTTTCCTTTGCTCTACAACTTGGCTGACTGGTGCAACAGGTGTAGCTTTCAGCCTATCTCAGCCTAGTAATCTGCTTCCTCCTTTCAGCTCTATTTTCTGATATAAAATAATTTATGTAAAGAAGTAAAACCACATTTTTATAGGTTTGTTAAAGGTGCAATGACACACTCCATGCCTTTCTTTTTAAAATTCATTAATATTTCTTTTCAGCTTTACCAGCTGTTTTCTCCTCTTTGAGGGGAAGGGTGGCTTTTCCTCCCGCTTAAGTTGTGTTCATTCTTTCTGATTTGAAGATAAAGGCATTTAAAGACATACATACACTGATGAGTAGCTCTTTCACTGGATCTGCAAAAATACCGTGTGTTATTTCTATGACATTCTAAATGGGATATCAATAACTCAAATGCATATATAATATTGTTCAGTAGTGCTAGCCCTGCTCAAATCACTTTAATATACGAATTCATCCAATGCTTACAAAAGCCCTAGGAAGTGGTATTTTGTCCATATTATAAATGTAGAAACTGAGGCATAGAAAGGGAAGTTTGCTCCAAGTTAACCATCTGGCAGTTGCTCCATCCAGCATTGGACACCAGCAGATGGACTTCAGACATTGCATGTGACCTTCTGTGAGTGTGGCTTCTTCTTTTATTAAAACTTTCAATCAATAAATTATAAGAAAGTCCTGGTTAATAAGGCTTTTATTTTTTGGTGTAAGTCTCAATTTTAAATACAGTGTATTCTCACTGGAAAAGAGGGCTGGTGCATTTCTTCTCCTAGTGTGATTTAATTCATGACTTGGTTTATGGCTCTTTTTGTAGAGATTTCAACAATGATTGAAAATTGGAAGCAGCCTTGTTTGTATACTATAATTTAGATATGTGGCTCAAATTCAATTTTAGTTAATTGTAGTATTCAAAAGATCTATGCACTGCTGCTTTTTGTTGTTGTTATTGGTGGTGTTTACTTGACCTTAATATAGATTAAGTTATTTAAATCTCAGCTAAAAATTGTTTCTGATCATATAATTTATTTGTAATTGTGTTTACATAATCTATTCTTATGTATGCTAATCAGTGCATAATGATTTCTAAATGTGACACTTTCATTACAGTCTGAACTGTAAGGCATAAACGTGTCAATAAGTAAATGTATCAATATATGACAATATTGTTCCAATTTAATGTTTTACCTCTCAATTTCCTTTCAAATGCATTTGCCTGATTTATCTTTATTTATTTTTTGCTTTTAACCTTATTATTTTGTAGGAATGCCCTTAGAAGACAACACGTTTGGCTATTTTCAACACTTGATTTGATAGTCTTTGCTTTTTAATAGAGGAGACTAATCCATTTACATTTATTGTCTTCACTGATAGTGACATTCTATCCGAACACTATGATCCAAGTTGATTTCTGGATATGTTCCTTTCATGATTGGTCTTGTCTTTACATACATGCACAAGTGTCACTTGCTTTTTACTCTCAGTGGTTTAGTTGAAATTATATTTTGTCTCTATTTGTGATAGCTTTTATGTTAAGCAAATGCACTCTTAATGACTACATCATTTCTCTAACGACTTAAATCATCATGGCTCCTTCTATCCCATGAGTGACTCCAGCCTGCCACTGCCTGCTCCCCACAGCCTCTGTTAGTTTTACTAGAGGTTACAGACCACGTTATTTTCATGCACCAATTGTTTTTCATAATATACAGAGTATATTAAATAATAGTGCTGTGAATCTTATGTTCAATTTTATAGCCATAGTTAGAGGAATCATTTATATCCAGCCCCATGTATTCAACTGATATCAATGGTCACCATTAATCATCTTACATGTGACCTTTTCAATGTTCAGCTCCTGATGTTTCTTTCTTTCCTGATTGACTTGAGTGCATCTTTTCCTCACTTGTTCAGGAAAGGTATGTAGGTGGTATGATAAATGTACCTGATAGCAATAATTTAAGCATACCCTGAGAGTGACCCCGTACGGAAGATACACCTGAATGTGTGCTCTGAGCTAGGGAATCCAGGAGTGGCCAACCTGGAGATACACTCCTTGTCTATGAGGAACATCTGAGCCCCCAGCCCGTCCTATGGAACGTGGCCTACACAGGGGATTGAGGCTCCAGATCCGGGGTTGAATGAAGAGTGCCAGGTGGAGCCTGCTTGGGGGAAGGTGCTATTTGAAAATGCCATATAAACTGCAAGCTTTTTGCATGTGGTTGTGATTTTCCTGTCCAGCCCACCACCACTGGACCAGTGATTCTCCCGTATAGACTACCACGACTGGATTGTTTCTGTATGTAAAGTAGTTCACCTGTCCAGCCCACCACCACTGGACCAGTGATTCTCCCGTCCAGACTACCACGACTGGATTATTTCTGTATGTAAGGTAGTTCACCTGTCCAGCCCACCACCACTGGACCAGTGATTCTCCTGTACAGACTACCACGACTGGATTATTTCTGTATGTAAGGTAGTTCACCTGTCCAGCCCACCACCACTGGACCAGTGATTCTCCCGTCCAGACTACCACGACTGGATTGTTTCTGTATGTGAGGTAGTTCACCTGTCCAGCCCACCACCACTAGCCTCTCTACCCTGTATGTAAGTGCCCCCCACCTCCAGGTCTCATTTGCTGGCTCTGGGTCTCTTCTTCAACCTCTTGAACCTGATGCCATCCGCACTGAAGACAGTAAGGGTTCGGCATAACTGGTAAGCTTTCTAAATCCTTGCAAATCTAAAGCTGTCTTATTTATTTACTTTGCCCAAAAACAACAAAACAAATAGAAATGAGAACAAATTCATAAGTAAAACGATGTTTCAATCATATATTTACATAAGTCTCCCTCTTGTCTCCTGGTTCTAAGTCTCACTGAGTTCAGGGGACAGCTTGCATGTGTGTTTGTGGGGATTCTTGTTCTCTTGTCTTTCTATTTTCTTAATATTCCCTGGATGGTTATCACAAGGGTTTCCTTTGTTCTTGAAATTCAAAGATATCACCATAAAATGGCTAGATCCAGGGTGTTTTTGTTTGGTTTTTCGTTGGCAGTTTCCTCCAGCTCGAGTAACTTTCTTTCCAACACTATGGTTTTCACTCTAATGTGATTCTTCCTTCTGCTGGAGCCATTGAGGTTCCCCCTCAGGAGCATCCACGACTCTTCAGTTAGATATTCATCCTCTGTCCTCCAGATCTACCAACTTCTCTTTATCTGTTTTGTTCCATTTCCTTGCTTTTTTTTTTTTTTTTCTGTGAATTATCTCTTGGTTTTAAGATTAGTCTCCTTATCACTGTTTTGATTTTCTGCAGTTATATTTATGTTATTTGCAGCTCCCAATACACAACTAAACTCTACTTTTACATCTTTGGTGTCTCCGTATCCATCTTCTATTTCATTCAGAAAACCCTTGGATGTCTGCCTTCGTTCCAGGTCCTGCCTCACCTTGGGTTCCTGGCTCCTGGGTCACGGCCATGCAGTCCATCTCTGTGACACCAACAAGCAGACACTTTCTATAAAAGTATTGTCTGTTTACTGCAGAGATCTATTTTCAGAGCTACCTCTGCCCTAAAATCTTTAGGACAGGATTGCTTTCCATAGATAGTGCTTATTATTATTATTACTTTTTTACGGGCTCATACTTGAGTTTTGACTTTGAGGCTTAAAAAAAAAATGCCCTTTTAAACCGGCAGAGGTCAATCAATCCTGGTCTAGAATGAGCCATGGGGCATGGCGGGGAGCTCGTCTCCAGTCTCGCTCTGGTTCCTGCAGGTGTGGGAAGCCCTGCCCACTCCGGGATGGCCTGAAAGGTCCGGGCGATGTGCAGCAGGCCTTCATCTTCACAGGATGCCCGACAGGCTTCCCGCCAGCTGGAGGCGGCTCCTCAGGGCTGGGCTCTGCTCCCTTTTGGGAGGTCAGACTTCTGTCTAAGCTGCAGAGTTTTCTGCTCCTTTGGGAATGAGAGCTGAACGGAAGAACACAGTTCCTGGTGCGCCCCTGGCCCTCTTGCTTACTCCTACTCTAGCTAAGAGGCTCTTCTGCCATCTCTGTGCCTCTTCTGTGAAACTTACCTCCACCCACTGCCTTTCCTCCCTGCCATGCCGCAGGCTGGGAGCTGAGTCTCTGCAGGACCGAGCAGGGGATGCCCCCTGGGTGGGTAGGATTCCACCTCTGCCTGCCTGTGAACCCTCTGATCACTAGTTTCTAAGTCCTACGGTTAGACCCAGGCCTGAGAAGGAAGTCCAGGGCTTTTTGTGCATTACAGGAGGTCACTGTCATAGCTGGGGCTCAGAGGATAAGGCACGGGCTTCCACTCCTTTGAGCCCCAGGGGGCTTTCCCCAGTGCTTTTCAGCGCTTACTTGTTTCTTTCTTTAGGTCATGGTGTTATTGACAGTTGTTCTTATTTCCAAAGCATATGTAAAACTGGACACTGGGCAGAGGCTGTGCAAGGAGTGAGTGTGTGGCTGCATTAATCCAGAAAGCCACGGAGGCTTCTATGGACTTGCAGGGGAGCCCATCTTCTCCTCTCTCCTCCAAACGCTGGAGAAGCTCATTCTCTCTGTGAGTGGAGGGTCCCAGGTGTCGGGAGGAGGGAAGCTGCAATCCCCCACTCATCCAATCCTCCTCTCTTGAAACCTCATCAGTCACATGTCCCTGTGTCCTGTGAGAACCTGAAGCCACATGGCCATGACTACACAGTGCCAAATCTAACCAACAACAAAACAAAGCTTTTGAGAGATGCAGCAATGCAAGCAGTACCCTGAGTCTCTCCTGCTGCAGCAATGCAACGAGAACCCCGAGTCTCTCCTGCTTGCAGCAATGCAACGAGAACCCCAAGTCTCTCCTACTGCAGCAATGCAACGAGAACCCTGAGTCTCTCCTGCTGCAGCAATGCAACCAGAACCCCGAGTCTCTCCTGCTGCAGCAATGCAACCAGCACCCCGAGTCTTTCCTGTTGCACAGCACCAATGACCAGATGGGCAGGGGTTTCCCAAAGAAGAGGCTGAGAGTCTGACTTCATTCTAATGCTGGATTCTAATCGGGCATGTAGACATTCCAGGATACTCTGGAAGATACCACATGTGGAAAACAAGAATCCTTTTCCTACACAGAGAACTTGTCTGTGCCTTAGGTAGGGCAGAAGCAAGCAAGAGGGCCAGGAGCACAGCAGAGCCTCAGAAACCTTTCTCGTCCACCATTTTCCTTTCTTATCATCCCATGAACCTGAAGGGTCAACCCTGGGGGCATTCTTACCCCCTTCTACAGATAAGGAAACTGAAACTCTAAAGATAAACTGACTTCCACAAGGTCTCCCACCCTAGCACGCAGAAGAGCAGTCACTCTTCCAGGCAGGGGGAGGATGGTGGGATCTGACCCAGTAAGTCTTTTTGGTACAATGGCCGCATCCCTGGAAGGGGCTTGTCAGTCTGGGAGGCACACAGTGGTTCAATCATGCCCAAAGCCTATGGAGCCTGAGATTTATATTCCAGTTCAGGAAGAGGTGATATGCGAAGGGACCCAGGGACAGAGCCGCAGTGACGAAGACGCCGGCACTGATGAACACGACGGGGTAGAGGTGTCATCCAAGGACCTGTGCCACCCGCCATATCTTGGGTTTAACGGGGAGCTGACATTTAAAGTAATTTGGATGCAGACACAAATCCTTCTATTTCATTTTTAAAGACTGATCTTTAACAAGCGCCCATGCCACACGTCGTATTTCATTCCCACTGTGGCATGCAGAAGCCATTTGGAAGGGGGTGGCTGGCAGAGCCCCGGTATCCTGTGTGCTGCTATCTGGGTCTGAAGAGCTGGGCTGAGAATGAGGCACATCTGGACACACCAGCCAAGAAGACGGCACACACAGGTGCTGTGACAAAGGGACCGGTCTGTCATGATGGGAACCTGGGGCTCAGGGGACAGGCTGGGCACAGGTAGAGGGCGGCCTTGGGGCTAGAGACAGCTAGAACGAGCTTCTCCAGCGTTTGGAGGAGAGAGGAGAAGACGGGCTCCCCTGCAAGTCCATAGAAGCCTCCGTGGCTTTCTGGATTAATGCAGCCACACACTCACTCCTTGCACAGCCTCTGCCCAGCGTCCAGTTCTACATATGCTCACTGTTAGGATGGACCCTAGACATGACTGCCCTGTGGCGTGCAGCCCAGCTGATTGGAGACAGCACCTCACTGTTAGGATGTACCCCCGGCCATGACTGCCCCTGTGGCGTGCACCCACCTTGCATGTTGATCTTACTTTCTTTTTCAATTTTTGTTTTTATATACTTTAAGTTCTGGGGTACATGGCAGAACGTGCAGTTTTGGTACATAGGTATACATGTGCCGTGGTGGTTTGCTGCACCCATCAACCTGTCACTTACATTAGGTATTTCTCCTGATGCTATCCCTCCCCTAGCCCCCCACCCCGACAGGCCCCAGTGTGTGATGTTCCCCTCCCTGTGTCCATGTGTTCTCATTGTTCAACTCCCACTTATGAGTGAGAACACGCGGTGTTTGGTTTTCTGTTCCTGTTGTTAGTTTGCTGAGAATGATGGTTTCCAGTTTCATCTATGTCCCTGCAAAGGACATTAACTCATCCTTTTTTATGACTGCATAGTATTCTATGGTGTATATGTGCCACATTTGCTTTATCCAGTCTATCATTGATGAACACTTGGGTTCACTTTCCAAGTCTTTGCTATCGTGAACGGTGCCGCAATAAACAATGAGATACCACCTCACGCCAATTAGAATGGCGGTCATTAAAAAGTCAGGAAACAACAGATGCTGGAGAGGAGGTGGAGAAATAGGAACGCTTTTACACTGTTGGTGGGAGTGTAAATTAGTTCAACTATTGTGGAAGACAGTGTGGCGATTCCTCAAGGATCTAGAACTAGAAATACTATTTGACCCAGCAATCCCATAACTGGGTATGTACCCCAAGGATTATAAATCATTCTACTATAAAGACACACACACACGTATGTTTATTAAATTTTTTTTTTTCAGACAGAGTTTTGCTCTGTCGCCTGGGCTGGAGTGCAGTGGTGTGATTTCGGTTCACTGCAGCCTCCGCCTCCTAGGTTCAAGCGATCAAGCGATTCTCCTGCCTCAGCCTCCCAAGTAGCTAGGATCACAGGTGCGTGCCACCACGCTTGGCACATTTTTGTATTTTTAGTAGAGGCGGGGTTTCACCATGTTGGCCGGGCTGGTTTCGAACCCCTGACTTCAAGTGATCTGCCTGCTTGGCCTCCCAAAGTGCTGGGATTACAGGCGTGAGCCACTGTGCCCCACCCTGATCTTACTTTCCACAGTACAGTCAGGAAGGAATAAGTTCATCTTTGTCCTTTACAAAGAAATTAATCTCAAAGTGATGTCATCTGTAAGATTATAAGGATTATAAACCAATAGGAGAAAAACAGGTTTTCCAGCACTTGGCCAGCACCTTCTGCCAACCAATAGGAGAAAAACAGGTTTTCCAGCACTTGGCCAGCACCTTCTGCCAATCAGTTCATGAGACTTGGAATCAGACAGTGGCACCGGTTCCAACGGCTCTGGTGAGGACCTGAGATCACACACAGTGGACGGGCTTGAAACAGCAGCACGGAGGCAGTGCTCTGGTGAGGATCTGAGGTCACACGCAGCGGGCGGGACGAAGGCAGTGGGTGGCATGAAGGCAGTGGGCGGGCTGAAATGGTGGCACGGGGGCAGTGGCCCAGGCTGCTCTAGAATGGCCAGGGAGGTTGTCCCTCACAGGGGCAACCCTCTATGGGGAAGACTCCAGTGTCTAAGGCGGGACTCTATCCTTCCCCTAGGATTGTGTAGATTCCAGGGCCATTTGAAAGTCCAGCATCCCAAAGCCTCACCCATCGAGATGGAGCTCACGTCCACCTTCCTGCTTGGGCAACCACACAGTGGGGCTGTCAGGGAGCCTGGCCCAGCAGGGGACAGTGGCCTTAGCGCCCTCAGGAGAGGGGGCCACTCGGGTTCCTCATCCGGGGTCTTCACGTGGGTGTGACTTCACTGTGCATGAGGGGGCCTGAGGCAGGAACAAGAAGTGCCTATTCTGGGATCCACCCAGAAAGGGTCCCCAGGGGTCTGGGCAGGACGTGGAGCCCTTCCAGGGCATTCCGTGGTCTGCACTGTGAGCAGAGTTCCTCTAGACCACAGCCAGGCCCTGGAAGGTGCTGCTCAGAAATACGTCTCGAGCACAGGGAACCCTGTGGAGGCTCCGTGCCCAGGTGCCAGCGTGGTGGGGACCAAGGCATTGCATTTCCATTGTGAACATAATGAGAACTTCTGGGAAGCTGCCCTGTCAGCAACAAGACAGGGTGTCTCCCCATGTCTTGGAGACCAGGCTCCCCGCACCTGCATAGCCGGAGGATGGTCCCCAGGACCCCTCTGTCCTGGCTATGCACGGTGGGATGTGAGCACCTTGCCGCAGTCCCCGCCAGGTAAACAGAGTGCTGTCTGCCATTTACTCAGCAAGCCTTTCCCACCTCTCTTCCCAGTGATGTGCCAGACTCAGAGGCCAACCAAGCAGGCCCATTTGGCACCAAAAAGTGACCCCTCCAGCGATTCTCGAGGGGTGTCCCTGAGATGTTGGGTCACGTGTCTCATCTCTGCATTCCAGTCTCTGACTTGGCACCAAAACAGTGTCAGAGGGATGGGAACGGTGGGGAGAAGACAGGGAAGCAAGGGCAGGGAAAAGGAGAAGGAGGCACTGATCATGTCACTCAGACAAACCCTAAGCCTGATCCTCACCCTGACCCAACGTAACGTAACTTTCTGACCAGTAGGGGGCACCAGGAAATCCCCAGCCCCGCCACACCCACTGGGTTTCGCGACAGACCCCGTCCACCCTTCTGCACCGGGCGAGCGTCCTCACATTTCAGCCATTTGCCATTTATGTATTTAAAACGATTCAAAGAACAAATTCTTTAAGGAAGATCGAGCCTAATGCAGGACAATTACTGTAAATGGCGCCCAGCGTGTCACGTCTCCCATTACAAAAGTGGCCCAAAGTGCAGACAGAAATAATGTGGGTTTGGTCAAACCAATTTTTTTTTGTTTCTGGGCTCATTTCTGCTGAGAAAATGAAGAGTGTCACTGCTTACAATACTAGCTGATGTGGCGCCGGCCATATACGTTTTTGTTTACACACAGAATCTATTAAAATGTCCAGCCATTATCGTGGTGATGAATAGCGGTGATTCAAAAGAACGCAAAATGGATTGCAGACAGGGAGCAGAGTAATGACTTAGTATTTTTCATTGTTTGTGCAGAAAAAAGATTAGTTAGGTGCGGGTCCCCGGCCACTTCTGGCCAAGTACCCACCCCTGCGCCGTCTCTCAGACCTGTTTAAGCCTCAGCCTTCTTTGTCCTTGGGAGAGAATGCAGGGGGGGCAGTCCTGAGGCCACCTCGGCCCACCACCACCCTGCTCTCTTGGGCTGGTGAGAGGGTAGGGAATGTCCTTCTCTCTCCTCTTCCTTCACGATCCTTCTGGGCAGTTTTCCTCTCCCCTGGCCATCGCAGCCACCTCTTCCTGAGCTCAGCCTCCCTCTCCCTCCAGTTCCCTGAGTCAGTCTCCATGAACGCCATCTGATCACACTCCAGACGGACTTGGAGCCTCTGGGCTCTGGCCCAGGCAGCCAGGGCTGAGCTGCTGGCTGGAGGGCTCCGAGGGGAACGGGACGTGCCACCTCACCCGAGGGGCGGTTCTCTTCAGTCCTGCCGGCTCTGCGTCCACCTGGCATTAGTTCCAGAAGGACGGGGAAGGTGAGCCGGCCTTGGGAAGCAGAGCCCCTGCGGGTGTGTGCAGGCCAGGGCCCCTGGCGAGAGGAATGTCTGCACACCTCCCCACACGGGATTCAAAAGAAAAAGTTGAAAATCCCCCTGGGCCCATAAAATGGATTAAAACTGCGTTTCTTCCACGTTGAGAACAGCTATGCTCCCCAGTCCTCAAGGCGGAGCTGACCCGGCCGGGCAAAGAGGATTGCTCAGCTAGGAGGACATGGGGACAGACAGATGGTGGAGGGCAGGGTGGGCCCTCAGCCATGGTGACAGTGAGCCGGGGGCAGGGGCCACCTTGTCACATGAAGGGAGGAAGTGACAAGCTGCACCCTGTCTCTGCAGGGCAAGCCTGGTGCAGGATGGGGACTATGAATGCTCCCAGCAACAGAGAGGGAAGAGGCTCACACGGAGGACTGGAAGGTTGGGGGGCGGGGGTGGAACTCCCAGTCACTTAAGAAACTTCCAGAATCCGAAAGGGCTGCGTGAATTCCTGGTTGACCTCACGGGGCCGGGGGAAGCCTGGCTGGGACCAGGGTCCTTGTGCGGGGAGGGGGCCCCAAGGCCCCGGCTTGGCTGTGCTCTGGGGAGTACCAGAGATGCTCTGGTACTCTGGGGAGTGCTCTGGGAGATGAACCGCAGGCTCCTAATGGGGGTCGGACAGGGCAGACACAGGTCGCACGGGAGGATGGCGCCCACACAGGTCTGCCAGGCCCATGTCCTCCCTCCCTGCTTGCGTGTGGTTGGCTGCCTGGTAACTGTGGATCCTCCCTCAAGACACCTCTTGACTTCCCTCCACAACCACAGCCACCACCTTCCTGCTTGGGGGCCTCCCCGCTGCCCCCACAGAGGCTCAGTGTTCAGCTACAGCATCCCCCTTCTTCCTCCAGCAGCCCCGGCCTTTGCTGACTAATGACGGCCACAGCGGGGCCCAGTGTCTGCTGTGCAGGGGGCCAGGAAGTGGCCATGGGCATCCCAGGGAGAGGCCGGGTGAGGACGCCTGGGTGCACCCTGATACCACCTCGGCTCTCGCCTGCCTGTCTCTGGGAGAGGGCATTGCAGACCCTCCCGGGCCCTCCGCTTCTGCTCAGCCCGTGGCCTGCTGTCCGCAGCAGCCCTGCCCTGGCCATGCAAGGCCACGAGCTCCACAGCCCACCTGGGCTCGTGAAGGCAGCTCTATCTCACTCCCAGATGAAGTGGCTCTGTGTCCTCCCCCACCACACGCAGGACAGACGGCTCCCGGGCCTTGCAGACTGGCCCTGCCCAGCCTGGGGCCTTATTCACTTCTGGTGACAACCTGGTCCCTCTGGATGCCTAAGCCTGGCTCTCCAGGGTGCTGGCCCAGAGGACCTGGGTGGACCCTCTTCCCTTGCCTATGCCCTGACCAATTCAACTGGGCCATCACCCCCCTCAGAAGCTGTGCCCAATGATGATCACCCCCGTGTGGCTCCTGGAGGGCAGAGGCCATGCCTGCTCTGTGGTCCCTGGGAAGCACTGGAACTCTCCAATGGCACCTGCAGTGCCCGACAGAGAACGGGGCCTGATGAATACGTGGGCAATGGATCTGGCTGAGGCAGTGCTGGCTCGGCCACAGCTCTCCAACGTTCCCACGCTGGAGCCTCAGGGCATTTGTGCTTGTTTTCCTAGAAAAATCTTCGTTTTTTCCCTCCCTGAATGCCTGCATATTTGGAATTCATTTGCGAATTCCTGCTAGAAACATTGGGTGCTTCTTCATTGCCCTCTCCCTGGGAGACACCTCTTGTCCCCTGACCCCTTCCCCTCATCTTCCGAAGCACAGGTACGTGCAGGGCTCCTCCTGGGATGTGCAGGGCTCCTCCTGGGATGTCCAGGGCTGGAGCCTGTTCTTCCTGCACCCTTGACGGCCCGTTCCAGCAGTGATGGAGTTCCAGGTCAGGAGTCGCAGCCTGCGCTCTGCAAGACCTGGCAACACTGTTTCCCGGCTTCGGCGATCTGCTGAGAACCCGACGACGCTGCTGTGGGCGTCTTTGCCCATGACCTGGTTTTTCCCTCTGAGTTTTGGGGATGTTTTTCATCTCCCGTGGTCTGAAATTTCATGCTGGCATGCTTTAGGATGCGACTGTATTCATTCATTTTCTGGGCTTGATGAGTACTCTCACGGGGAAACTGACATCAGTTCTGGAGAGATTTTTAGAAAGCATTTCTTTGATAATTTCTTCTTCATTTTCTGCTATTTCAGGAGGTTATATCGTTCAGAACTCCTGAATCAATTTTCTGATTATTGTTTTCCTTTCCTAGTTCCCATTTCTTTTAGAAAATTCCACTCTCTGCTTTCTGAGAGATTGCCTCAGTTTTATGTCTCCAACATTCTACTGGGTTTGTAATACACTCTGCTGCTACACACACACAGGCATACAGTACCTATAGGCATACCATATGTACATGTATGCACACATCTCTGCCATGTAGACATATACGTGTGTGTATGTGTACAGTTTCCCAAAGCGCTCTCCAGGCTCTTATTAAAATTTTACTTTCAGTTCTGGGATACATGTGCAGAACGTGCAGGTTTGTTACATAGGTACACATGTGCCACGGTGGTTTGCTGCACCTATCAACCTGTCATCTAGGTTTTAAGCCCCACATGCATTAGGTATTTGTCCTAATGCTTTCCCTCCCCTGGCCCCCCACCTCCCAACAGGCCCTGGTGTGTGATGTTCCCCTCCTGGTGTCCATGTGTTCTCATTGTTCAACTCCCACTTATGAGTGAGAACACGTGGTGTTCGGTTTTCTGTTCCTGTGTTAGTTTGCTGAGGATGATGGTTTCCAACTTCATCCATGTCCCTGCAAAGGGCATGAACTCATTCTTTTTTATGGCTGCATAGTATTCCACGGTGTGTATATGCCACATTTTCTTTATCCAGTCTATCATTGATGGGCATTTGGGTTGGTTCCACATCTTTGCTATTGTAAATAGTGCTGCAATATACATATGTGTGGATCCTAGGCAGAAAGAACAAAGCTGGAGGCATCATGTTACCTGACTTCAAACTATACTACAAGGCTACAGTAACCAAAACAGCATGGTACTGGTACCGAAACAGATATATAGACCAATGAAACAGAACAGAGGCCTCAGAAATAACACTACACATCTACAACCATCTGATCTTCGACAAGCCTGACAAAACAAGCAATGGGAAAGGATTCCCTGTTTTATAAATGGTGCTGGGAAAACTGGCTAGCCATATGCAGAAAACTGAAACTGGACCCCTTCCTTACACCTTATACAAAAATTAACTCAAGACGGATTAAAGACTTAAATGTAAAATCTCCAGGCTTCTCGACACTCCTTTAATGAGCTCCCCATCCCACTTGTCTACTGCCAGGCCATCAACAGCATCCAGACTCACTGTCCAAACTCAGTGGTGACATCTGTGGCTGGGGCAGGCTTGCTGGCCAGGCTCACCTCTGTCTCTTGAGGCGCCTGGGTCGGGCCAGCAGGCCCCACCACTCACCCAGTCCTGGGCTCCCCTCTTCTCTCCAGCAGGACAGGCTTGGGGTAATGACACCTACAGGGCTCAGGGGTCAGAGCCAGTGTTCCAGGCAGCACATGGGGTCACAACCACACCCTTCCACCTGCCAAACATGTCCCTAAGGCTGAGAGCCAGGGAGAGGAAGCAGAGCACCCAAGAGGAGGAAGATGGAGGCCCTGGCCTCCTCACCTCCCTGCCCCGCCCCACCCCCAGCCTCCTCGCCTCCCTGCCCCATCCTGTGTCTGGATGCATGTCCGCTGTCTCTGAGGCTGAGCTGTGGTTTAGTTGGTGTGCTGGCCCTTCCTCTGCTGTCTCGATGACTCCTTGCGGCCTCTACGTTCCTCGCTCCTCTTCCTTTGGCTTCTTCTGGTTTTGTTTCTCTCCCAGAGTGACCTTTGCTTTCCACCATGTTTCGGAGCACAGCACTGAACAGCCGGCTGGTGGCAGGTGGGCTTCACAGAAGGGCCCTGTGGCCCCCAACTCATGGCACCCATGGGTTCTGATCTGGGCCGGGTGAGTTCAGTGGGTGGAATGGGGGGCCCCCAAAGTTCATGTCCACTGGGGAACCTCAAAATCTGACTTGATTTGGAAATAGGTTCTTTCCAGGCATGATTAGTGAAAGATCTTCAGATGAAATCATCCTAGATTTACAATGGACTCTAAAGCCAATAGCTGGAGTGTTTATAAGAAAAGGGAGAAGGAAATTTGGCAAACAGAGCAGGCCCCATGAAGACGGATGCAGAGAATGGACTGCTGTGGCCACGAGCCAAGGAACACCTGGGGTCACCAGAAGCTATGAGAGGCAAAAGAGGGGCCTCCTCGAGAGCCTCCCAAGACAGCAGGGCCCTGACCACTTGATCTTGGACCTCCTGGCCTTCAGGACCTTGAGATAATATGTTTCTGCCATTTTCAGCCACTCAGAACGTGGTCATTGGTTATGGTGGCCGCAGGACACACAGGCAGGAAGTGTATCCAGAAAGAAGCCTCCTGTCTCTTGACTGAGCCCTCAGGGAGCTGAGTGGGGACTCACCTCAGAACGTCGATTTTCACCTAATCGCCTGGTTTCCAGAAGTTCCTGCCATGCTTGGCTGTGTTTCCGCTGCAGGGTCCAACGCCGCCCAGGTCTCTCCCTCTCTAGCATGAGCCTCTGTGAGTCCAGTTTTCTTTGGATTCTGCAGGGAGCTGAGGCCCAGGTGGTGGGTGGGAAGGACCAGGGGTCTCTTATGCAGCCTGTCAACTGGGCCCACCTCTACAGCGCTGGGAGGAGGCCGTCAGCACTGCCCTGCATCAGAATGGAGGCAGAGCCCACACACTGCTCTCCTGGGGCTCAGCTCTGCTTGTCAGCTCCGTCCACCCGCTCCCATCCTTCCAGACCTGTCTTGCTGAGTTTGCACTCAAAGCAGGAGGCCATTTTCCCCCTTTCGTGTCCCTGTCACCCTACAGGGGGTTCCAGAAGGCACATAAAGGAAGTGTGAGTGTCTCGTCCTCTTTAACTGGGACCCTGGTGCAAAAGCGTCTGCTGTCTCCCATGGATGGCTCCTCCAAGAATCAGGGCTCAGTGTGCGGGCCACGGACACTCTGTCCTTCTGCAGGGCCGCCCTGGGCGAGGGCCTGGCACGGGAACGCACTCTTGTGCCCCAGCTGCCTGGCGGATTGGCACAGACACGGGAGGACTGGGCTGGGACCCCGGTGTTGACACCTCCTTCTTCACGCTGGGGGTGCTCTGAGGCAGGGTAGGTCCTAGCCTGTTCTTCCCATGGATCTGTTAGTGGGGCCACGTTGACACATGCTAAGCCCTCAGAATCCGAGAACGAAGAGACCTCACGGTTTGAGCTTGCTACCGCACAGATGCCTTTCCTGGGATGGGCCCCTCCTCCAGGCTCCGAGCTTGCAGGAAGCTCAGGGGCAAGGATCCTGGTGGCCTGGACAAGGCAAGCCATCCACTGGGACAGGGGCTGTGCAGCCAGAAGGCTCCTCCCCGTAGCAAGCTGGCTCCTAAATCCCAAACAAGGCCCCCGTGGACGACGCTCAGCACTGCTGGAGATGCCAACGGGAGAGCTCTCGAACCACGAGATGACCACAGAACCTTTCCCAGAGGGGCTTGTAGGTGGCGTGAATCATCCATCGGTGGTGAGTCTGACCTCCAGAACTCGCCGGCAGGCTGACAGCACAAGCTGCCCAGCCCAAGTCAGCAGCAGTTTATGGCAAGACGAGAGAAGAGACAGCATTTTGGCAGGCTGCTGGCCGGGCCACCAGGCCCCAAGGAGACCTCAGTGTCCTCTTGTCCATATCCAACGGAGGCCCTGGAATGGCCTGACTACACCACACTCCTGGGATGCCTGGCCGGGGTGGAATTTAGACATCCGAGCCCCCACGAGATCAGCGGCAGCTGCCGTCTGCACGTCCTCAGAATCTCTCACGTTGGGCAAATGGGCTTTTAGTGTAATGAGTTGCCATGAAATACGAGTTCCCGAATAGAACCATACAGAAACCCCGCTGAATTTTCTTCACCCCCACAACTGTGATTTCATGCAGCACAGAATTAGAAGGTGGTACTCAATAGCGAATGTGCAAACAGGATTTCCATCTAGCTGGCTGATTCTGATGTAGGAGATGGCACAGCTCACTGACAAGTATCTTGCAATACATAAACACTACAAAAACGTGGCTGAGCAAACACTGATGAGAATATTTCCAAAAGCCAGTTGCATGTGTGGTTTGCAGCCCCAGCCAAGGAACGTCTGTGGAGAGAAGACCTGCTTGTGTGTGGGCCTGGCCTGCTCCCCTCGGCCCCACCAGCCCTGCCTGTCCCTCCTCCTCCAGCTCTGAGAGCCCAACTCAAGGACAGAGGAAGGCAGAGGCAGAGCACAGGAATGGGAAGGAGGGCGGACAGCAGCTCTAGGCCTGTCCCCAGGGAGCAGGAGCCAGAGTGGCGGGCCAAGAAGGAGCGTTGCTCACACCTCGGGAGAACCTGAAACACCCACCCAGGGTCCCCTCGCCTGGGGCAGGTGGACGTCCACAAGGTAGAGCCAGCAGAGAGGCAGCACCTGGAAAAGCACCGCAGAGGTCAGTTTCTCTCCAGTCCCCACAGGATGCGGATTTCCAGCCTTTCATAGCAACCTAGGAGAAAGGCTTCTCCCATGTGAGCCTGTGTGCCCAGGCGCGTGCTTTGTCACCGGGCGCTCACCCTCCTGACACAGATGTTCTCTCACATTTTCACTCTATTCCTTCCTCCTTTTAAATGCTGGTCATGATCTATTAAATTAATTTCACAACCCACTAATGGGGTGACGGCCTGCACTTTCAAAAGCAGTGATCTTGGGCCGGCACGGTGGCTCACGCCTGTAATCCCAGCACTTTGGGAGGCCGAGGCGGATGGATCACCTGAGGTCAGGAGTTTGAGACGAGCCTGGCCAACATGGTGAAACCCTGCCTCTACTAAAACTACAAAAACTAGCTGGGTGTGATGGTGGGTGCCTGTAATTCCAGCTACTCGGGAAGCTGAGGCAGGAGAATCACTTGAACTCGGGAGGTGGAGGTTGCAGTGAGCCAAGATTGTGCCCTTGCACTCCAGCCTGGGTGACAAGAGCGAAACTCCATCCCCAAAAAAGCAGTGATCCTGGAAACACAAGCATCAGCATGTGCCTGGGGTCCACACTCGGTTAATCCATGAATCGTGAATCCACGTGTCACACAGAGAGGCGCAGGCATTGCAAGGGGACGGGGCAGCAGCACCCTTAGGCCCAGCGCCCGTGCTAGGCGACCCACACTCTGGTGGCGCCACACAGAGAAGTAAACGGCAACGGCCCACACCGGAAGGGGTTGAGGAGTGACGGGGGATCGGCGCGATGGTGGCGCGCAGCTGGGCAGGCTGGGAGCGGGTGGCTGCCTGCATCAGGCCTGGGCTGGAGGCCAGCTCTAATCTGAGAACGTGGCCATTAGGATGGAATTAGCAGCAACTCAGTATCCGCTGAGTCTCTAAAAGCCAAGTTATGAGAACGCCATCATCTCGCAGAAAACCAATTTATGGTAAAGTGTGAAATCTCATGTAGCGCTAATTTACCATCTAGGAGAGAACTCAGATGCAATCGCACAACTGGGATTGTAGCTTCCAATTCTATGGTGTTTGGTTCAAGAGCTCAACTAACCTTTTCAGAAAGCTTTGAACACAGGTCACCACAGGCCAGTGATTCCATTAGGAGCCGGCTCTCCTGCTGTTCCCAGAGACTTCTCCCGAGATACCTGGGAAGATTACAGGGCCCACCCCGGTCCCCTGGAGTGAGCACACGGTCACTCACCGAGATCTACCGGCCCAGGCATCCGCGGCCCATGTATACAAGGTGCCCCCGCCATAGCAACATGAGGCACAGGCTGAGAGACAGGTCTTCAAGCCCCCGACACACACTCTCCCCCAGGAAAGCAGAGCCGTCCCCTCCACCTATGAGACCTCACTCTCTAGAAGAATCAGGGTGCCTGAGAGTCACTAGCCTGGAAGTGGACAGCCGTCCTTCCTCTGCTGGATGACGGAGTGTCCTGCTACAGTCAGACTCCCACCTGCCCATGTCCCTGGTCCCTGCAGGTGCCCTCTAAGCCTCCACCAGCAGAGGCTTGGGGGGTCCCCTGCAGTGTCCTAATGATGGGAAGATCAGAGTATCTGAGTCTCCCGAGCTGAAAGCCACTTGGGGTCTCACACCAAGCCAGGTCTGGCCTTTGTGTTGAGCAGAACAAGCAGAATCAATCCCACCTCCCTGGACTTCTGTACACCTGGCCACCAGCAGTCACTCCAGCTCACCCAGCCGCAGTATTCAAGCCTGTGAAACTGAGCTCCCAAGCCCGTGAGGCCCAAGGGAAAGGGAGTCTGCAGCCATCTCCCCCAGGCTCTCTGAGCACACCAAGCACCGGACAGGTGCAGCTATTGTTCCCAAAGCCAGGAAGGCTCGAACCCCTCTGGAATATCCCAGGTGCCTGGTCAGCCTCTGCCTCAAATGCCCCAGAATAAGGGGGGCTCACTGCCTCCCGTGGTGGGCCCTGTGGGCTTGGACTGAGCTGACACGGTGAGCACCTCGGTTCTCTGTCTCTGCACACACAGAAGCCATGCTGGCCAGGCAGACCTGGACGGACGCGGCAGGCTGCTTGGGCGGCCCTGGACGGATGCGGGAGGCTGGTTGGGTGGCCCTGGTCTGGCTCTGGGGTGGGTGAAGGGGTCCCTGATGAGATTTCATGAGAATGACTCAGGTGCTGAAGAACTACAGGGGAGGAGAGAGGAGAAGACAGGCGTTCTGGGTGAACGCAGGAGGCAGGGAGGGCTGGGTCCAGGGTTTGGGCCAACAGTGAAGGAAAACACCATGAAGCTGTCTGACAAGGCATTATCCAGGCAGCCTGACAGGTTGGGGACAGGCCACATCTGTGTCCCCCACTTACCAGTGTGCGCCCTGCATACGGGGGGCTTCACTGGTCACTTTAATTAGCGTTGCCCTTAGTGGGGCCAAAAGGTCTGCCACGGTAACCCTGGGCAGGAGCGGCTGCAGAGCTGCACAGGAGAAGCCTTCATGCAGATCTGAAGACCCCGATGGTGCCTGGTGGGTGAAGGGCATCCCTCCAGGGGGATGCAAATGCCCTGAAGCAAGGTAGAGGGGGTGGTGGCACAGCACTGTGAGTGTGCCCAATGCCACTGAGCTGCTCGCTTTAAAATCGACAACTTGATGTTATGTGAATTTCAGCCCAATAAATTACCAAAAACCAAAATGTGATGATGCCAGCAGCCTCCAGGTAAGGACCCAATCCTGTTCCTGACAAGCACCTCGATGCCTTTGGAGGGGCTGGGCCAGTCCTGGCCCTGTCACTGGCTCAGCAGGGCTGCCTGCATCCAAGTGATGACCTGCTTATCCACCGCCAGCTCTCACAGGGTCTGTGGACTCCCTGACTTCCCACCCCGGTGAACTGAGCAGTCCTCTCACAGAGGTGCATCCGAGTTCGTTCCTGAAGGGGTGCAGCCTGAACGCTGGCCTGGGCGCCTCGTGGGCCTCAAATCACGAGGAGGAGGGGCTCATCAAAGGGCGACTGAGAAGTGATGGGTCACTGGAAGCTGGGACCCAGAGTGGCTTTCACACCC